>NC_000005.10:113746170-114049200 GCF_000001405.40 Homo sapiens
TCAGGTGATCCGCCTGCCTTGGCCTCCCAAAGTGTTGGGATTACAGACGTGAGCCACCACGCCTGGCTGGGCTTCAGTCTTTTAATGTGGGCTACTGTGAAAGTTATATCAAAGAACAAATATAAGTGCTCACTATAACTATGCTCACTGGACAACAGTTGTTCAGTAATAAAAAATAAATAAGAAATTGTGACTATTGATGTATTAGAATATTCTTGCATCTTTATAACAAATACGTAAGGCTGTTTATAAAGAAAAGAAGTTTAATTGGCTTATGGTCCTGCAGGCTGTACAGGAAGCACAGTGGCTTCTGGGGAGGCCTCAGGGAGTTTTTACTGTGGTGGAAGGTGAAGGGGGAGCAGGCATGTCACATGGTGAGATAAGGAGCAAGAGAGGGAGAAGGGGAGGTCCTAAACTTTTTTAAGCAACAAGATCTCACGTGAACTCACTAACCGAGAACTCACTTATCACCAAGGGGATGGTGCTAAACTGTTCATGAGGGACCCACCCCCATGACCCGGTTACCTCCTACCACGCCCTACCTACAACTTTGGGAATCATATTTCAACAGGAGATTTGAAGGGAACAAAGTTCCAAATGATATTAACTGGTTCTAGATCCAGACACTGTACTAGGTAACCTAGGTCTTGGGCATTTAAGAGGTGACATGGCCCTACACCTGGAGATAAGTAGTCTCCATTAGGAAGAGAGAGAGATTCCTATCAATAACTATGATACAAAGTGTTTTCGTAGAGGGTCTGTATGTATTTCACAGAGCTGTGGATGTACTGGGGACAAAGCCATTAACTCTGCTTAGCAAGGGAATGGTATTTTGAAGATTGTACCAGGAGATGACTTTCAATACGGGCTTTGAAGGAATGGAAACCGGGGCCTAAATCATGGGTCAGCAAACTGTTTCTATAAAGCATTAGATAGGAGATATTGTAGGTTTTATGGGTCATATGACCTCTGTCTACCCCAAGCATATTGTCAAAATTATAGGAGGTCATAACTCTCCTGTAGCCTGCACTGCTCCAGGCACATATGGAGAATTCTTTTAAAAATTCTGGATGCCACATCCTAAGAGATAAACATGGATAAACATATTATGTGAAGAGCATTATGGCCAGAGAGGTGAAGAATGTGTAAATTATATGCTACAAGGTTGCTGGCCATATAATTTGTGGTCCAAACTAGGATACATTTGAGAGTAAAAGGGGACTGTTAGAAAAATTATCTAAAACTTGAAAATAAGAGAATGGTCATATGTCTTTCATCCTATTGCGGCATTATTTATCAGGACTGCCTAAAGATTATTTGATTTCCTAGAAGGATGTGCCTTTGTTTGACTTTGCTCTTCACTATTTGTTTAGAACTCAGACACTGTGAAATCTATTTTATAGATTTCCATCTAGCAGAAAAGATAACACCAAAGATTATTGTTCATTCCCCTTAGAGGATTAATCAGTTTATATCTAAACTAGCAAACTTAGTCTAGCATTCTTTTCTCTCAAAATACCTATAAAAATCCAGTTCTATTTTCTTATTTGTTCCTCCATTAGATTAAGTTGAATAAAATATTTGGCATGCATTCAGTCTACATGTGTACGAATGTCATATTTTAACTTTTTGAACTTTTCACTGTGACAAGGTGCTACTAATTATTATACTGGGAAAACAAGGATAACCAGGACTATTCCAGGACAACAAGGCTGTATAGTCACCCTAAATATGAGAAATGTTTGAAGGAATTCAGAGTATTTATCCTGAAGAAGGCAGAATGTGGGATGTTTGACAGGGGATTTGAGTGGCAAAATGTTATATTTTTGTGTACTTTGAAGGCCTTCAGGGATAAGGATGCAGCCTGTATGTGGGTACCAGAAGAGACAGGAAGACAGTGGCAACAGTTCATAGTTCTTTGGTGTTGAAGCAGACCAAGAGTGAGGCCCTTGTGCAGTGCTTTGGTGAGTGGGTCTATGGCAGACCTGTCACCCTGTGGTTCAGCTACCTGGGACCTGGAGAAGCTGGGACCTGGAGGACAATGTGGCTGGGGAAACCAACTCTGCCAAAAAGGCTTACAGGGATTAAGCATCTTACCCATAGCTTGACAGGTTGGAATTCAGACCTTGGTTTCTAGGCTTCCAGGCTAGTGTCCATCCCACCACTGCATCCCAGCTGAATCCTCCCATTTCAACTTTGCATAGTTGAGTTTTGTTAAGTATGTTTGTACTGTTAAATATAATTATGGGAGGCCATTGTTTTGGAATGAGCTCCTGCACTAAGGCCCCAACAGACCGGACAAATCAAAGTGGAGTCATTCATGCTAAATGCCACATAGTCAAACTGAAACTTTAAGGAAGGAAATAGATCCCCAAACAGACTCATTTTTTTTCCTTCATAACAGGAGATTCCATTCTACCTGAGTCAACACAATAAGGAAGTCTTTTCTGCTTTAACTCTCACAAAAAAGTAACCTGTTTTAACCTGATGTTAACCAGTCAGACTATTGTTCTGTTTCCTTGTTCCTACTTTATAAAACCTACGCTCTGCTTTTGCTCACAGATAGCTCTCATTCTGTTGTGTAGAATGGAGGCTGCTCTGGTTCATGAGTTGTAAAAAAGCACCAATTAGATCTTTAACTAAATTTGTTGTCATTTTGTTTTTTTTTGACAGTACTGTTATGTATTGTTGTAATTTTGCTTTTTTTTGACAGTACTGTTATGTATGTATGTATTGCATATGTATATATTTCCAAGCATTGAAGGAGTCTAGTTTAAAACAACAGAAATAATCTGAGTTGAGCTTCCCAATGACTAAATTCAATTAATCACATTAAGGTATTATAATGTATACTGCCATTACAAGAAAGATACATTTTTAGCTTTGCCAAAGAAATTGCGCATAATAATATGAAATGTTATTATCATTATATGCCAGAGTATATTCTAGAATATTCATATTTGTATAATGTGTGTACCTATGTATTTGTAGGTATGTATTGATATATTTAATTGCAGAACCTTCAGAGCTGTCAAGTCCTGATTTTAAATGAGTAAGACTTGTCATCACTCAATGGGTTCATCTTGCCTACTGCCCAGAAAAACCAAGGCACTGGGAACAGCAGGTTTTTGCAATAGAGAAAGAGTTTAATAATCACAGGACTGGCCAAGTGTGAAGACAGGAGTTTATTATTACTCAAATCAGCTTCCTGAATATTCAGAGACTAGAGCTTTTTAAGGATAATTTGGTGGACGGGTGTGGCTAGGGAATGGGGAATACTGATTGGTTGGGTCAGGGATGAAATCATAGGGGGTTGTAACTGTCTTTTTGTTGTCTTCATTTCCTGAGTAGGATCACAAAACCAGTTAGGTGAGTTTAGCTGGTCTATCAGAATTCAGGGGCTGAAAAATACCTCAATCACCAACCTTAGGTTTTACCATAGGGATGTTATCTATAGGACCTACTGGGGAGGTTAGGAATCTTGTAGCCTTTGGCTGCATGACTCCTGAGCCATAATTCTACACTGTGGCTCATCTGTTAGTTTTCCAAAGGCAGTTTTTGTCCCTAAGCAAGGAGATAGTTTCAGGAAGTGGCTGTTATCATCTTTGTTTTAAAGTTAAACTAAACTCCTTTCATAGTTAACTTGGCCTATGCACAGAAATGAACAGGGATAGCTTGGAGGTTAGAAGTAAGATGGATTCAGTTAGGGCAGATTTCTTTCACCATCATAATTTTTTATGTTGTATTTCTCTCCCTGCCACAATTTTTGCAAAGGTGATTTCAGACTGAAAAAAGTCTTTTAGCTGCAGGTGTGACGTATTGGTCTAAACCACTTAAACATGTCTAGAGAGATATATCAGTCCTTCTTGTAACAGCCTTCAGTTTGACTTTAAGAGAAAACAATTAAAAATGGCTCAGTAAACTCCGAGAGGACTCCATTTTAAGGATGATTGCACCACTAAAATAAGAAACCATTACCTGTGAAATAATCTAATTGAATTCCTGATGGCATTGGTCAGCTTTATTGTTTTTCAAAAGAAAGCCACATTTAAGATAGATTCGTGCTTCAAAACGGTTATTAGGCTTCCAAATATTTTTGCTTTTTTGTACAGTGTATTTGAAATGTTTAGAAAGCTAATAAAATATTATTAAAGAGACTAATAACAAAATACATTAAAATCTTGAAAAGAATAGATTAGTATAGTCTGAATTCACTTGCTCTATTATCAACCCTTAAACCTTTTTAATATATTCAATACTATCCTGTTTTTTAAAATGTTCACCTCAATTGCCTAGTGCTTCAGGTTATATCCTTGGTTATTATGGGATATGAAAGACATACATTGCTTAAAGTATCAGTTTTCAAACTTTTTTAAAACTGTACACCACTGTTACAACCTTCCAGTGGAAAATGGACGCATCAATAATAGAAAACTGGCAAAGAACAAAATAATGAAAGTGGCATAAAAAGTCATGGACCATGGATTTTTAAAAGTGTTTGTTCTTTGTTAGAGTTTGTGGTATAAAACTGAAAGTATCTGGAATTGTAGATGAATCTTCTTTAAAGATAAAGAACTTGCATTTTTCAATCAGTTTGCAGTCTGTAAGGAAGACCCTCACCTACTATGGGCTGACTGAATACCACGCTTTTTGAATCTTTAATTTAAAACAGCAGAAATAATCCGAGTGTCAGATTGTTTAATACCAAAGAGAAGTGACTGAAGTGAGATAGGAAGACAGTCTGCCATCCCAGAGGAACCGCGGCCACTTTGGGGACACTGATAGAAAGCCAAGGATAAGAGACAACACATGGAAATGATGTTAAAGATTTGGCTTTTACATATTGATGGGCTTGAATGATTTTCTTTCTGTCCTGTGATGGCTTATCTTTGTGTGGGTATTTGGTGGTTGTGGTGGGGTGGGGGAACAGGCACTGAGACAAGGAAGATAGAGGAGATGATCAAAGGATAAGGAATCTCCAGGGAGACCACCAGACCACTCAATAATAATCATTTGTCCTCTCTTTTTAAATAGGTATTTGTGCCTTCCGTTTTTTGTTGTTATCTTATTTCAGAGGTAAGTAACTGTAGAGTGAGCAATTTTTTCTAATCTCTGATAAGAAAATGCTTTTGAAGTTAAACTATTAAGTGAAAAAATACTGCTTTTGGTTTAAGGTAAATACTCCTTATCAAATGAAAGAATTACTGTTTATGCAGTCATTTGATAACTATTTCTTGAATCTTTCCAACCTTATAGCATTCTTCTAGGTGCTTGAAATATCCTTCCTGGTCTAGTTTACTAAGAGGTTTTAAATTTAAAAAAATGAAGACTGAATGCTAAGATTTATCAAGTGCTTTTTGTGTACCTATTTAGAAGCACTTAAAGATTTTCTTTTTAAAGTTCCAGTATGTACTGAATTATGTTAATATATCTTCTCATATTAAATCACTCTTACATTCTTGAAATAAAACTGATTTGGCCATTTTTAAAAAGCATTGTCCTGGATTTGACTTGGTATATTTTTATTTGGACTTCATAAATATTTTGAATTATTAACTCATAATTATGCTAACTTTTTTTAAAATTATTGAATACATATTTATAGGAGAGACTGACATAAGCATACTTTTTTCATACTATTTTGTCAGATTTTGTATCAGGAATTCACTACTTTTGTGTGATTCATTGAGGAGTTTTTCACTTTTTGCATGATCTGGAATAACTTAG
This sequence comes from Homo sapiens, assembly GCF_000001405.40. Classification (NCBI taxonomy): domain Eukaryota; kingdom Metazoa; phylum Chordata; class Mammalia; order Primates; family Hominidae; genus Homo; species Homo sapiens. The sequence continues at coordinate 113,751,898 of NC_000005.10, forward strand.
ATGGCAAGAGCATTAACTACTCTGAAAGAGTAGAGAGCTTATTCTATAAAATGGACTCAATTGATGTTATTTGTGGAGATAATTTTAGGACATCTTTTTAACTTTTCTGTATTGTTATTGATATATCTTCTTGAGGCAATTTTGATAACTTCTGTTTTCCTAGAAAATTCTTCAATTCAGGGAAAATTTTCAAATTTACCCTCCGCATCTGACTGAGAGACAGGCAAGAGAGAACAACGTTAGAGTCATAGAGTAGGTCAGGCCTAGACATGGAGTGTATTTCTTTTACCAGTTGTTTTAAATATTCTATTAGATTTTCTTTTGAGTTTAATACTCAATGCATCAATCATCGTTACTGCTGATATTATGGAATATTTACTTATATTAAGATCATAATGTGTCCGGAATTGGTGGGTTCTTGGTCTCACTGACTTCAAGAATGAAGCCGTGGACCCTCGCGGTGAGTGTTACAGCTCTTAAGTTGGTGCGTCTGGAGTCTGTCCCTTCTGATGTTCGGATGTGTTCGGAGTTTCTTCCTTCTGGTGGGTTCGTGGTCTCGCTGGCTCAGGAGTGAAGCTGCAGACCTTCGCGGTGAGTGTTACAGCTCTTAAGGCAGCGCGTCTGGAGTTGTTCTTTCCTCCTGGTGGGCTCGTGGTCTCGCTGGGCTCAGGAGTGAAGCTGCAGATCTTCGCTGTGAGTGTTACAGCTCATAAAAGCAGCGTGGACCCAAAGAGTGAGCAGTAGCAAGATTTATTGCAAAGAGTGAAAGAACAAACCTTCCACAGTGTGGAAGGGGACCTGAGCGGGTTGCCAATGCTGGCTGGGGCAGCCTGCTTTTATTCTCTTATCTGGCCCCACCCGCATCCTGCTGATTGGTAGAGCCCAGTGGCCTGTTTTGTCAGGGCGCTGATTGGTGTGTTTACAATCCCTGAGCTAGATACAAAGGTTCTCCACCTTCCCATCAGATTAGTTAGATACAGCGTTTCCACACACAGGTTCTCCAAGGCCCCACCAGAGCAGCTAGATACAGAGTGTCGATTGGTGCACTCACAAACCTTGAGCTAAACACAGGGTGCTGATTGGTGTATTTACAATCTCTGAGCTAGATATAAAGACTCTCCACGTCCCCACCAGACTCAGGAGCCCAGCTGCCTTCACCTAGTGGATCCTGCACCGGGGCTGCAGGTGGAGCTGCCTGCCAGTCCTGTGCCGTGCGCTCACATTCCTCAGCCCTTGGGTGGTCGATAGGACTGGGCGCCTTGGAGCAGGGGGTGGTGCTCGTCGGGGAGGCTCGGGCCGCACAGGAGCCCATGGAGTGGGTGGGAGGCTCAGGCATGGCGGGCTGCAGGTCCCCCGCCCTGCCCCGCAGGAAGGCAGCTAAGGCCCAGCGAGAAATCGAGCACAGCACCGCTGTGCCAGCACTGCTGGGGGACTCAGTACACCCTCCGCAGCCACTGGCCAGGGTGCTAAGTCCCTCATTGCCCGGGGCCAGCAGCGCTGGCTGGCTGCTCCAAGTGCGGGCCCACCAAGCCCACGCCCACCCGGAACTCCAGCTGGCCCGCAAGTGCCGTGCGCGGCCCCCGTTCCCGCTGGTGCCTCTCCCTCTACACCTCCCTGCAAGCTGAGGGAGTGGGCTCCAGCCTTGGCCAGCCCAGAAAGGGGCTCCCACAGTGCAGTGGGGGGCTGAAGGGCTCTTCAAATACCACCAAAGTGGGAGCCCAGGCAGGGGAGGTGCCGAGAGCAAGCGAGGGCTCTGAGGGCTGCCAGCATGCTGTCACCTCTCAATAATATACATATTGTTCTGCAATTTGGTCCTTTTTTTTTTTTTTTTTTTTTTTTTCCTCACTTTGTTGCCCAGGCTGGAGTGCAGTGGCGTGATCTCGGCTCACTGCAAGCTCCGCCTCCCAGGTTCACGCCATTCTCCTGCCTCAGCCTCCCGAGTAGCTGGGACTACAGGCGCCTGCCACCACACCCGGCTAATTTTTTGTATTTTTATTAGAGATGGGGTTTCACCATGTTAGCCAGGATGGTCTCGATCTCCTGACCTCGTGATCCGCCCACCTCGGCCTCCCAAAGTGCTGGGATTACAGGCATGAGCCACTGTGCCCGACCTGCAATTTGTGTTTTTCCCACTACTTTGTATGTCAGGGACATCTTTCTTTGTTAGCTTATGGAGAGCAAGTTTTTTTAAACTTGGAGCTATTGACATTGGACCCAACAATCTTTGTTGTGGGGGCTGTCCTGTATTGTAGGGTGTTTATCAGCATTCCTTGCCTCTACTCACTAGATGCCAGTAGCACATTCTCTCCTCAGTTGTGACACCCCAAAGCATCTCCAGTTATTGCTCTATGGCTCCAGGAAGGAGGGGCAAAATTGCCCCCAGTTGAAAACCACTGATGTAGAACTACATCATTCTTTTAAAAACAGCTGCACAGAACTTTATAAATATACTATAGTTATTGAATGAATGAATCACCTACTGATGAATCTTCAGGTTTTTTGTCTATTATTTTTATTTATAGAATTTGTTTTTACATAATTTTAATTTTTATGTGGTCAAATTCACGTCATTGCTTAATTATTTCTCTGCCACACTCATAACCTGAGAGGATTAAAATATTTGGTCATTTTATCCTAGACTTTTATGTTTTTATTCTTTACATTTAAATCTCTAATCCCTACGGAATTTATGCTACAAATGGCTATGTAAAATCAGCTTAGCTTTTTCTCAAGTGGTTATCCCATGGTCCCATAGTTTTATGTAAGTTTGTCCTTTCCATTCAAAATGTTACCTTATCGTGTACTAAATTCCCACATACGCTCTCTTTTCCATTTGTTTATTCACCCATTTCTGACAAATACCATACTGTTTTAATTATAAAATCTTTATGTTACATTTTTATATTTGGCAGGAAAGTTATCGTTTGGTCTTTTCCAAAATTGATAAGGGTATGCTTGCACATTACTCTTCTAAGAATTTTAGTATCCATTTTTTGTGTTCCATGAAAAATTTTGGGTTTTTTTCTGATTTTACTGGTCTTATTATATTACTGAAGAGAAAATTAAAAGGTTGCAATATTAAATCTTCCTTTTGTTAACATAATTTATCTCTGTTTATTTAGTTCCTCTTTTAAGCCCTCTTGTAAAATTCTTCTTTGGTAGTTTTTTTTGTTTGTTTGTGGTTTTTTTTTTTTTTTTTTGAGATGGAGTCTCTGTCCCCAGGCTGGAGGGCAGTGGCATGATCTCGGCTCACTGCAGCCTCTGCCTCCTGAGTTCTAGCAATTCTTCTGCCTCAGCCTCCTGAGTAGACGGGATTACAAGCATGTGCCACCATGCCTGGCTAATTTTTGTATTTTCAGTAGAGGTGAAGTTTCACCATGTTGGCCAGGCTGGTCTTGAACTCCTGACATCAAGTGATCCTCCCGCCTCAGCCTCCCAAAGTGTTGGGATTACAGGCATGAGCCACACTGTGTCTGGCCTCTTCAGTAGTTTTGTTCAGTTGGTTGTATCTTTCCCAGGTTAAAATTCTTCAAATGACTGTTTATTCTTAGTTTTACATTTATTTTTGTGAAGGAAAGATTTGCTGATTACAATAGGGAACCAATGCGGGTATGTTCACCCCAAATACCTATCCTTTGTATGGACTCTGTGGTAGTGGATTTAGGGTAGTGGGTAGGTCCCGTTTCATAGGTAGACCTCCCTTTGGTGTGTGTGGAAAGTTCCCTATGATTGCTAAGTGAGGATGACTTTACAGGCAGGGCGTCGGACAGATGTGTACTTGAGTGTGTTTCACTCCTGGGAAGAGTGGGGTCAGGCTGTCATGCTTATAAAAAACACCCAATCAGGCATATCTTTCCCTTTGTTTAGATTGAGGATAGAGTTTTCAGAGTTCAGGCTGAGGGCAAGTGCTGTAGCCAACTTTTCTGGCAAAGGATGTACTACCATGACAAGAGAATATTTACTATTAAGTGGTTGCTCATAAGGTTTTTCAAAGGAAGGAAAATGGGGCAGAGTAGACCCATCTCTCCCCCAGTTCTACCATTATACACAGAGCAAAGTCTATATTTATGAAGTACTTTTCTGAAAGGTTAGAGATTCCCAAAAGGGTATTGCATGGTAGGAGGGACAATGGTTGAAAGTTAATGAGTTTAGATGTTCCTTTTATTGCACAAGGGAGAATGTTTTCAGGCATTGGGCTTTCATATGCTTCGTGTTCCCTTGCATGTTTCCTTCATGATGACTAGCTTCTCTTGCAAGTGTCCCCACCTCCCTGAAACACACTTATTTCTCAGCTTAGCAACTTCTCTATCCCTCAGGAAACTCTATCCTTTTCCAAAGAAGCTTTTATGTTGTAAAACAAAAATCACATTCTAAGCCCCCTGATAAACTGAATGGACCCCTTCTCTCAGCCAAGGGCATTCCAAAGTTAACCTGAAAAAAACTAGGTCAGGCCATTATGGGAATGCATGGTTGGATATGTCTTATTATACCTTCCTCACTTTGGAATTCAGGCACCGCTGACCAGCATTAGCATTAAAACAGAGACCTTAAGACTGACAAAACAGACTATTTGTAGCAATAAGATACCAGCATGACATATAGCAGGCCCTGAAAGAAATAAAAGTATTTTACCCCAAAATACATTTCTTTGACATATTTTGAAATGGTCCTGCAAAGCTGTCTCTTGTGGGGAAAAATCTACATTGTGTAGAGAATCCCTTTCCCTTTCTAGGTCTTTTCCCTGATCCAGGAGAGAACTGACTAAGAGCTTGGCACCTTTTTAAGTCTGATAAGGAACATTTACAATCTATTCTCTCTGAAGCCTGCTACCTGGAGGCTTCATCTGCATGATAAGAACCTTGGTCTCTAGAACCTCTTATCTTAACCCACACTGCCTTCTCTTGATTCTAGGTCTTTAGATATTAGCTTAACTCTTCAGCCAATTGCTAATCAGAAAATCTTTGAATTCACCTATGACCAGGAAGCTCCTGCTTCTCAAGTTGTCCTGCCTTTCCAGACCAAACCAATGTATGCCTTACATCTATTGATTGATGTCTTATGTCTTCCTAAAACATATAAAACCAGGCTGACCACTTTGGGCACATATTCTTTGGACCTCTTGAGACTGTGCCTCAGGTCACGGTCACTCATATTTGGCTTAGAATAAATCTCTTCAAATATTTTACAGAGTTTGACTCTTTGTTGACAATGCCTTGATGTTTTCTGGCATTGTGTTTAAAAGAAGGAACATAGGATGAGCATGATTGTTCATCTCTGAAGAGTTGTGCAGAATCCAGAGGGTTATAGGCTCTTGTTCCAGGAGGGAGAGTGATCATGCTCTCCAATTGTACACAATTCTATGTCATCTCTTCTGTTAGTGAGTGAATGAGTCAGAGTCCACTTAGAAAAACAGCATGACACCAAATAGCCTAACAGAAAAAAAGAAATATGGGGAATTGGTATTGGAGGATTGAAAAGCAACCAGGGATAACTGAGCTAGCACAGTGATAGGAAGTGCTATGAACAGCTGCCACGCCAGGGCCAGGGATGAAAAGGAAGAGAGGGTGGGGTTAATAGAACCCTTAAGGTTGGTGTTTGGGGCCCTGCAGAACTGCTGCCTGGTTGGTGGTCATGTCTCTGAGGAAGTGCATCTCTGGGAGTGTGGAAACAAAGCTGAAGCTATAGTGGTGCTACAGCTAAACCCAGCTGCCACTGTTGTTTCACAAAACCATTGCTGGGGCCATGCTGATAGGAGCAATGAACACACAGGAAGAAGAAAGTCCTTTGTCCCTGCTCCAGCGTCACAGTCTCCCTCTAGTGAACCCTATTGGCAGAACCTAACAGGGAACCACTGGCAAAGGAGAAATGTTTGCAGAGTCTAAACCTCTGTATCACCAAGCTGAGTAAGGAAGAGAGCGTTTGGAGGTAAGAGATAACAGTGAATATTCTGCACAGTGAAAGTCAGTGAGGTTCAGAAGGGAAGTGGGCATTTGTGCAAAGATGAATATTTGTACTCATCAGAGACACACAAGCTAATCCCACCTCATGGAAATACTATTTTGGTGTAAGGATGGACAAATAAACCAATGGAGCAGATAAAGTCCACAAATAGATGTGCACATATATGGTTTCTTGATTTGCAATAAAGGTGCCATTGTCATTCAGTGGAAAAAGATCATTATTAAATAAATGGTGCTGGAGAAATTGGTATCTATTCAGGGAAAAAAGAAATGAATCTTGAACTTGACCTTATACCACACATAAAAATTAATTCAAAGTGGATCATAGACCTGAATGTGAAAGGCAGAACAATAAAGCTTCTAGAATGTAACAAAGGAAAATGATCATGGAGTAGGCAAGATTTCTTAAACAAGACACAAAAAACATTAAGCCATAAAAGAAAAAGGAAAAAGATAAATTGGGCTTTCTTAAAATTAAGAACTTCTGTTCATCAAAAGACATAGTTAAGGAAGCGAGTTCAGTGAGCAAGCCACAGATTGGGGGAACATATTTGTAATACATATACTTGACAAAGGAGTCATATCCAGTATATATAGTTACGTAAAAATTAAACACCTATAAATCATATAACCCAAATTAAACCCACAATGAGGGAAAAGTATAAACAGAGTAGATTGGCTAAAATGAAAAGATTCAACATGAAGTGTAGGTGAGATTGTAGAGCAGCTGGAGCTCACATACATTGCAGATAGAAGTATAAACACTTTCCAGACAAAGTGGTTCAGCCACTTAGAAAAACTGTTTACTGGTATTTATTAAATCTAAATGAACTTCTGTCTTCTTCTATCTTATGACCCAGCAGTTCTCAGTTCTACTTTTAGGTGTATATCCAAGAGAAATGAGTTCATATATCAACCAAAAGGCACATGAAAGACCGTTCTTTGCAGCTTTAGTCATAATAGCCAAAAACTAGAAATGCTACAAATATCCAACAACAGAGGACTACAAAAGCAAATTGTAGTGTATTCATAAAATGGAACACTACTCAGCAATAAAAAAAGAAAGAACTGATATTTACAATAGTATGGATAAATCTCAAAAGCATTCTGTTGGAAAAGAGAAACCAGACACAAAAGTGTATATACTATGTGATTCCACATACATAAAGTGAAAGACAGGCAAATATCGTCAAAGATGATAAAAGTCAGAGTAGTGATTATCATTGAGGTGAGTGAGTGAGGAGGCATGAGGGAACTTTCTGGAGTGATGAAAATGTTCTGTATCTTGGTCTGTGTGGTAGTTACATAGGTTACATACAGAAGTAAAAATTTAGCTGTGCAGTTAAGAATATATAGTTTATAGCAAACAAGTTTTATCTTTAAAAACAAACTACAGGCCAGGCATGGTGGCTCACGCTTGTAATCCCAGCACTTTGGGAGGCCAAGGCGGGCGGTTCAGGACGTCAAGAGATCGAGATCATCCTGGCCAACATGGTGAAACCCCATCTCTGCTAAAAATACAAAAATTAGCTGCGCGTGGTGGTACATGCCTGTAGTCCCAGCTACTCAGGAGGCTGAGGCAGGGGAATCGCTTGAATCCGGGAGGCAGAGGTTGCAGTGAGCCAAGATCTCGCCACTGCACTCCAGCCTGGGCGACAGGGTGAGACTCCATCTCAAAAAAACAAAAACAAACAAACAAAACCTACAAAAGAAAAAAGTATTTCTTTTGTTATCATGTTCCTGGCCTAGCCCTTAGGAACAATAGATAATCATAATTGTGTGAAGGAGTATCTGACTCTTTTCTGTTTTGCTGAAGACTGAGCATCACTGAAAACAAAACTAAACTAAAGAAAGCAAAACAAAACAGAAATCATGGTATTAGGTTGACCTTTTTGTGTCCTGTGAGGAGTAGTATCAATTTCAAATTGATTTCTTTTAATTTTATGGCTCTTTCTAAGAGGGGGCAGGGGATGGGAAATTTATTCATTACACTTTTCCATATATAGAAAGATGAAAAGGACCTTATCTACAAAGATCTGATAGCACGTGGAGGATGGAGGTCCCAGAGCACTTTAGAAACATAGCAGGGAATCAGTGAAGCAGTACATAGAGAAGAACTAGAGGATATGGGTATGCAGTCAGGTAACCTGTACACAGAGAGCACTTGAAAAGTATTAGCTACTCTAATTCAGATCTTAGGTTTTTGATAATGCCAATAGCATCACTGAACAACTGGTGAAGAATTATCTGGCTTTATTTTAATCTTTGGACAAGTGCATTCCTGTGTGTGTGCACCTGTGTGTGTATACATTACAAGAAGAAGAGAATTATCTTTATATTAACCTAGTGATCCTTTTCTATCCCTTCTGCTGGATTTTTTGGTGATAGATAATAGCCTGCTTGCATCCCTAAACCTTGTCAGCAAGGGGACCAGAGGAGAATCAAATCCTTTTTTGAAGTCATAGGCATTTTGCAAGAGAAAGTCTCGTGCTCTAAGAAAAAGATGATTCTAACTAAAATATAATTAAAGAAGCAAGAGAATTAGAATGGCCATTATTTGGAAGTTGGGGGAAAGACCAAAGAGAGCAAATGAAGACTAATGGTATAATGCTATTCCAAAGCTGAGTTTCTAACATTGCCTGAATAATACATAAACCTGTAATTAAGATTTAAAATGATGCTTGTGGGAAATGTTCTTTTGGGCCAGAAGAATTTAATATTTCTTGTGGTCATTGAAAGCAAGATGAGCAATCATTTTTTCACCCTCTGTTGGAAGTAGGAGAGCAGTAACTTAAACCACAAAGAAAGTGCTAAGGTATTTAGGAGGAGGAGCTAAAGCTGTGGGGGTGGTGTTAGAATGATAGAAATTCCAGACTGATAAGAGTCTTGGTTAGTCCCATAGGCTGAAATACATGGCAAAACCCAAAAAACTGTGACTCTTTGGTGCGTGTGGAATAGAGGGTGGGAGAGAATTGAATTGGAGTATTGAACTTTTAAGATTTTTTTTTTTAATGAAAAGTTGATCTAAACCGTTTTTGGCCTACCAATCTACATTTCTTGAGCATAGATTTTAGGTTTGAGATTTTCGCCTTGAAAGGTGAGACTATTCAAGCTCTCTGGACTGAATTCTGTGAAATAATTTTGTGTGTGGACCCTGGGTGGATCCCAATTCACCATTGTCAGGAGGGTACAGGGTGAGTTGAAGAGTGATGGAGATTGGAGTTGTAAAAATCAACCAATCACCCACCTATTTTAATATACAAGGAACCAGAATAAATCATTCAAAGTTGCAGAGGTAATTAGTGGTAGAGTTAGAGCTTGAATTCAGGTTTCCTGATTCTGCACTTAGGGTCCTGTCTGTTCCACACAATGTAGCACAGAGATGATTTCCACCAGAGACGCTGTTCCGTGTAGGAATCATCATCTCTATCGTCAAAAAGTATTCGGTGGTACCTTATTGGCTTCTAATAAATAGTGATGCTGTGCATAAATGGAGAGAATTATAGAAACTTTTTTTGTTTTTTTTTTTAAGCTACAGGTTTAGAGCATAAAATTGTATTGATTTCACTAAGCTGCAATATAGTTCTATATATTGTCAGTAAGAAAGAACATTGAGAAATTTTCTCCTTCAGTTTTGTCTGAAAATGTCTTTATATTACCCTATTCTTTAATGATAGTTTGGCCACATTTAAAATTTTCTAATGGCAGTTCTTTTCCCTTAGCACTTCAAAGATGTTATTGAGTTATTTTCTTCTGCTGTTAGTATTGTCTGCTATCAGTCTGATTAGTGTCACTTCATAACTAATTGATAGCTTTATTCTAGCCTTTTCACTTTTTGTCTTTGGTTTCTTTGCAGTTTCACCCTGAGGGTTCAGTTTTGGCTGTGTCAATTCTGCTTGAAACCCATTGCAATTTCTAAAACCAAGGTTTTGTCTTTCACCAATTGTGAAAATGTCACAGCTATGATCTCTTTCAGTATTGCCTCTTTCATTTCCTCCATTCTCTCCTTCCCCTTCTCTTATCAGGCATGCATTGGAGCACCTCATTTTGTCCTCTATTCTGCTTAATGTCACTTTCATGGCTTGCATCTCTCTGTCTGTTCCCGCTTCATCCTTGATCATTTTTCTCAAATCTATCTTCTGCTTGTCTCATTTTCTCTTCAGATTTCTAATCTGCTGCTTTACCCACGCATTGTGGTATTCAGTTCCCAAAGTTCTATCTGTTACTTCAACAAATATGTTTGTCCTGTTGTTTAGATGGTGGGAGAGTGTTTTTCCTAATCCACTCTTTTCCCAAGAGTGGGTTCCTTTGGGGAATCCCAACTATGTGTAGAGTCTGTTCCCCTCCCTTGCCTGGCTCAGGACCCAGGCTCATCTCTGATCTCTTCATAGCTGTTAGAATGAAAGTCTCTGTCATTGCCCTCTCATCCTCCATTTCCTCGTCTCACTGAAGTTTCAGCTGCCATTTACCATTTCACTCACAGCAAGAATGCTATATGAAGGTGAAGTCAGTGATTGAGCTGATGCATCCACAAACCAAAGAACAACAAATATTGCCAGCAAAGCACCAGAAGCCTGGAGAGAGGTAAGGAACAAATTCTCTTTCATAGCCTATCTTAGCTCATCTGTACAGCTATAACAAAATGCTGTAGACTGGGTAATTTATAATGAACAGAAATTTATTTCTCATAGTTCTGGAGGCTGGGAAGCCCAAGATCCAGGTGCCAGCAAACTGTCTGGTGAGGTGCATGGTCTCTGTTTGCAAGGTGGTGCCATCTTGCTGTATCCTCCTGAGAGGAGGAACACTGTGTCCTCAAATAGAGGAAGGTAGGTCCAAAGGGCAGAACACCACTTGACACCTCTTTTCTAAGTGTCTTAATCCCATTCATGAGGGAGGAGCCCTCATAACCTAATCACCTCTTAAAGGCTGCACTTCTTACTGCTATTATATTGGCCATTAAGTTTCAACACCTGACATATTCAAATTATAACATGCCCCTTAGAGGGAACCAACGCTGCTAACACTGGGTTTCAGGCTTCTAGTCTCCAGAATTGTGAGAAAACAAATTTCTGTTGTTCTAAGCCACCCAGTTTGTGATTTGTAATGGCAGCTTAGCAAACTAATATAGGTAGGTAGGTAAATAGGAAGAAAGGTAGATAGGAAGATAGGTGGATAGGTAGGTAGAAGTCACCAGCTTTGACTTGCATTAAATACAGTAAAACCATAGTGGCCATTGGTACCAAAAGATATTTTATACAACCTTATTTTCCTTGCTAACATCTGTCTAGTGGTACAGAGTTCAGTCAGGCCCACTGGACATGCAGTTGCAGGCTGGGTGTGGGAGCAGCAGACAATTTCTATTTCCCAAACACTGTTAGAAAATTGTTAATAAAACACCGTGGACTAAGCTCTCATTAGTGCAGTTATTGCTGAGAATGAGCATTCAAGTGCTGTACTTTGGTATGGCTGATGAGCAGAGACAGCCAATATTGCCATGGCAATGGGAGAGGAGTGGTTATGAGGATGAAAACTTACTGTTTCCAAGTAGGTCGACTATCATGAAACTTGAGCTTATAAGGCCAACAGCTTCTGGGTTTGGGAATGCTGCTTTCCTGTTTTGGGGGAATGGGCAGTGTTGGGAATCTATATCTTGTCTGTCTTACAGAAATCTCTAGGGACTCTTTGCAATTTCCAGGGAATTTGGTTGTATCTTCCTTAACCAGAGAACCAACTTGCTGTAGGAAATTAATTAAATAAAAATATTCTTGTATCTGTTTTTCATCTTATTAAGCACTGGAATCCCCAATAATGTGGGCTGAAATTGTCCCAAATCTCATTCATTGCTGACTTTTTCTTATTCCAATTTAATTTTGGCTCAGATTCTGATGTTTTATTCTGTCCCACGGTTATGATGCCTTTCCTGCCCTAGGGCCTGCTGTAGTGTGTGTGTTTTCTGACTTTTTGGCTTGGATGCTTTCAAAGGTTGTGCATCTTTGTCTTATTCTGCTTCAGCATTATTTGTGTAGGATCGCTCACCCTCAGGCACCAAGCCCTGGCTGACCCAGCTGGCCTTGCCCTGTCTTTTATGTAACAATGTGAAAACTGAAGATCCCACTAAACGCCAAGGTAGGATAAACATGAAATTTTAGTGTGGTGCCCAATTACCTTAGAGTGATTCTTCAAGGGAAATGTAAAGAAATGGCTCCATGACCCTTGACTTCCTTACCCACTTCAAAGTTGAGATAATAGAAGAGGGAGGGTTTGCATGGAGGTTTCTTTGGAGAGACCTGTTGCTGTGAATGCCTTTTTTTTTTTTTTCACATTAAGCCCTGTGAGAGTGGTACCCACAGGTGCACTCAGAGAAAGGTAACGTGCAGGCCACTGTATTTAAGAACCACTGTACACTGGGGTAGAGATGGAGCAGGGGCCCTTCTTAGGGGCTTGTGGGAACTCCAAGCATGAAAATGAATAAAAATCTTGAATTTCTTCCAGGGAATTCTGGGCACCTACCTAGTTCTGAGAAGTAAATGACCAACTTCATAAGCAAGAAGGTAATAGTACCTTAAAACAATAGCCAAATAAGTTAGAGTTAGCATATATTTGGCTCCCTATAGAAACTAAAAATAATGGCTTAACATAAGTCTCTGAGTTACTTTTCAGAAATCCAGACCCCCACCATATGGATCTGCCAGTGCATAGACCTCAGATGAGGAACTGAGAACTGGGCTCTGGCCACTGTTCTTTGTTCTAAATTTCTTCCTGAGGTGCCTGAAGTTTCCACCCATGAGCCAGAGCTCACAGTCTTCTGGTGATCCTAAATTTTTAGACAAAGCTTTGCCTCCTTAACCAATAGCAAATCAGAAAATCTTTGAATCCACCTATGACCTGTGGGCCCCTGCTTAGAGATTTCTTGCCTATTTAGGTCAATCCAATGTATAACTTCCATGTATTGATTAATGACTTTGCCTATAACCTCTGCCTCCCTGCCTTTAAAAACTCTTACCTGGTGAGGTAGGGTGGCTCACGCCTGTAATCCTAGCACTTTGGGAGGCTAAGGTGGGAGGATCACTTGAGCCCAGGAGTTAGAGATCAGCCTAGGCAACATAGGGAGTCCCTGTCTATACAAATAATAAAAAAATTAGCCAGGTGTGGTGGCACACACATGTGGTCCCAGCTACTTGTGAGGTTGAAATTGGAGGATCACCTGAGCCCTGGAGGTTGCGGCAGTGATCGCACCACTGCACTCCAGCCTGGGTGACAGAGCAAGACTCTGTCTTAAAAATAAAAAACAACTCTGACCTGTAAGGCATCAGGAAGTTCAGGTCTTAGGCATTAGGTGCCTGATTCTCCTTGCTTGGCACACTGCAATAAATGCCTCACTTCTTTCACTGCAGTCCCAATGTCAGTGTTTGGCTTTGCCTTGCCAAGCAGGCTGACCCAAGTTCAGTTTGGCAACAGTAGGATGCCAGTCTGAGAAATTCTGATGTGGAAATAAGGGCCAGATCAGTGCAGCCTGGGGATCAGTCTGCTCTCAAGAGTTGTCAGGGCAAATGATGTCTGAGTGTGTACTGTGGATGAGATGTGAGCCATGTAGGAGAGGGAACTGGCTTGGCATGTTCTATAGGCCTGCCCAGAAGGGCAGAGGGACCAAAGCAGCAAACCCAGGGAGGAGACATCTGATTATTGGAGGCTAACAAAGAAGTCACAGGGCATGGAAAGGTTAGAATGGTGTGACCAGAAGGAGTGAGGTGCTTGTGATGTGAGTTCTCAAGATGGAATTTTCATAGTCTATTGAAGTTGAGTGAAGGAAAAAAGCATTCTCTAAAATCCTGGGGATTTTAGTTAAAGCTAAAAGGATAAAGTAGAATGGCACACTCTGCCCCTCCTGTCTGCCTTTATCAGCTCAGGCACAGAGCTCAGAGACAGTGGCACCATAGCATCTAGAAGCAGACTTTACTCTTTCCATAAATTTATCCTCCTACATTTTCCTGCTTTTTAGAAGCCTAAAGATACCTCCTTCTTTGTCCTTGTCTCTATAGGATTTATGGATCTTTGTTAAAATATTATTTAAACAAGGCCCCTAAGCTGCTGCCTTGAGAGAGAAATACTTTTGGACTGACACCGGTCCCACATCATGGGTACAGCACATGTTAATAAACTTCTGTTTTTCTTTTGTTAATATGACTTGTTTTCAGGAAAGTGTCTCAACTAAGAACCCAAAAAGGAAATTATGTTTTCTCCCCTGAAACATATTCCATGAATGTGAGAAAGATGTGGTTTAAATATTCACCAAGTCCAGAGAGCACAAGGCTCACTTAGTCAGAACCAGTTCAAGTGAGACCTTCCCCACAACCTTCTGCCAGGGTTGTTGGGAACCCCAGAGGGCTGTCCTGTTTCACTGCTCTGTCTTCCATAGCTTCCTCATGGTGAGGGAGATGTGTTTTCTCCACCCTTCACTAGATTCATGGCTGAGGCCCCATAACAAAAGACAGATTAACAAGAGAAAAGCATACAAATTTAGTACAGGTTTAACGTGACATCGGAGCCTTTAGCAATGAAAATTGAAAAAAAACAGGTAAACTTGTATATTTTTATGCTAGGTTTGATAAAAAGGTTGTGGGGAAGTATGATTGGACAAAGAGGATAAGACCTAATGGTGACAACTTGGGGGATCTTAGCAAATCCTGTCTGCCCAGATTCCTCTTGGCATCTCTGTGTCTTTGAGGGTAAGCATGTTAGTTTCCTTCAGGTATAGGGTAGTGATATGATTCAGCTCTGTGTCCCCACCCAAGTCTTATCTTGAATTGTACTCCCATAATTCCCATGTATTGTGAGAGGGACCCAGTAGGAGATAATTGAATCATGGGGGTGGTTCCCCCATACTGTTCTCATGGTAGATAATAAGTCTCATGAGATCTGATGGTTTTACCAGGGGTTTCCGCTTTTGCATCTTCCTCATTCTCTTTGCCTGCTGCCATCCATGTAAGACAGGACTTGCTCCTGCTTGCCTTCTGCCATGATTGTGAGGCTTCCCCAGCCACATGGAACTGTAAGTCCAATTAAATCTCTTTCTTTCATAAATTGCCCAGTTTTGGGTATGTTTTTATCAGCAGCGTGAAAATGGACTAATACAGTAAATTAGTACCAGAAGTGGGGTGCTGTTGCTGAAAAGATACCCGAAAAGGTGGAAGTGACTTTAGAACTGGGTAACAGGCAGAGATTGGAACAGTTTGGAGGGCTCAGAAAAAGATAGGAAAATGTGGGAAAGTTTTGAACTTCCTAGAGGCTTGTTGAATGCCTTTGACAGAAATGCTCATAGTAATATGAACAATAAGGTCCAGGATGAGGTGGTCTCAAATGGAAATGAGGACCTTATTGGGAGCAAAGGAGACTCTTGTTATGTTTTAGCAAAGAGACTGGCAGCATTTTTGCCCCTGCCATAGAGATTTGTGGAACTTTGTACTTGAGAGAGATGATTTAGGGTATCTGGCAAAAGAAATTTCTAAGGAGCAAAACATTCAAGAGGTGACTTGGGTGCTGTTAACAGCATTCGGTTTTAAAAGGGAAACAGAGCATAAAGGTTTAAAAAAGTTGAAGCCTGATAACATGATGGAAAAGAAAATCCCATTTTCTGAGGAGAAATTTAAGCCAGCTGCAGAAATTTGCATAGGTAATGAGGAACCAAATGTTAATCACCAAGGAAATGGGGAAAATGTCTCTAGGGCATGTCAGAGGTCTTCATGGCAGCCCCTCTCATCACAGGCCTGACCGTGGTTTTGTGGGCCAGGCCCAGGATCCCTGAGATGTGTGCAGCCTAGGGGCTTGGTGCCCTGCATCTGAGCCACTCCAGCTGTGGCTGAAAGGGGCCAATGTAGAGCTCAGGCTGTGGCTTCAGATGGTGCAAGCCCCAAACCTTGGCAGCTTCCAGGTGGTGTTCAGCCTGCCAGTGAACAGAAGTCAAGAATTGAGGTTTGGGAACCTCTGCCTAGATTTCAGATGTATGGAAATGCCTGGATGCCCAGGCGTAAGTTTGCTCCAGGGGTGGGGCTCTCATGGAGAACCTCAGCTAGGGCAGTGCAGAAGGGAAATGTGGGGCCAGAGCCCCCAAATGGAGTCCCTGCTGGGGCACCGCCTAGTGGAGCTGTGAGAAGAGGGACACCATCCTCCAGACCCCAGAATGGTAATGGTAGATCCACCAACAGCTTGCACTGTGCACCTGGAAAAGCCACAGACACTAAACACCAGCCCATTAAAGCAGCTGGGAAGGAGGCTGTACCCTGTAAAGCCACAGGGGCGGAGCTGCCTAAGGCCATGGGAACCCACCTCTTCAATCAGCGTGACCTGGATGTGAGACATGGAGTCAAAGGAGATCATTTTGGAGCTTTAAGATTTGACTGCCATGCTGGATTTTGGACTTGCCTGGGCCCTGTAGCCCCTTTGTTTTGGTCAATTTCTCCCACGTGGAATGGTATTTAGCTAATGCCTGTACCCCCATTGTATCTAGGAATAAACTATCTTGCTTTTGATTTTACAGGGTCATAGGCAGAAGGGACTTGACTTGTCTCAGATGAGACTTTGGACTGTGGACATTTGAGTTAATGCTAAAATGAGTTAAGACTTTGGGGGACTGTTGGGAAGGCACGATTGGTTTTGAACTATGAGGACATAAGATTTGGCAGGGGCTAGGGGTGGAATGATATGGTTTGGCCCTGTGTCCTCACCAAAATCTCATCTTGAATTGTACTCCCATAATTTCCACGTGTTGTGAGAAGGACCCAGTGGGAGATAATTGAATCATGGGGGCAGTTTCTTCTGTACTGTTTTCCTGGTAGTGAATAAGTCTCGAGATCTGATGATTTTATCAGGGGTTTCCACTTTTGTGTCTTCCTCATTCTCTCTTTGCCTGCTGCCATCCATGTAAGACGTGACTTGCTCCTCTGCCTTCTGCCATGATTGTGAGGCTTCCTCAGCCACATGGAACTTTAAGTCCAATTAAATCTCTTTCTTTCATAAATTGGCCAGTCTTGGGTATGCCTTTATTAGCAGTGTGAAAATGAACTAATATAGGTAGGCACATCTCACATGAGGTTTTTATGGCCTACTTGAGAGGAAGGTCAGAAAACTGTTTTATGACCTGCTTTAGGGGAAGAGGGAAGGGAAAGGTCATAGAGTGACTTTCCTGGGTTTTGCTATTTTTTCAAATGCCAAAGTGCCATATTTTGTGCTTGTGTGTCCTGAAACCCATCATGACCTTAAAGAAACAGTCAATCTGCTTCATCAAGAAATAAGGCAGGGTATGTTCATCAAATATAAGGTGAGGTATATTCTCAAACTACTTCTTACTAAAAGGAAAATGACTTTATAGTCAAGCCTAGACAACAGTTTTTATTATAGGGCATTCTCTTTATTGTTTTATTGGTTTAGAAAAGACAATTTGTGAGGGTAGGTAAGTTTATGCTGTGATAACAAATTAATCTCAAAGTTGCTGTGCCTTAATATAACTTTTTCTTACTCATATTACGTGTCCCTCATGGGTTGGCAGACTGCAGTTCCATACAGGAATTCAAGACAATAGAGGCTCCACCATCTTGTAGTTGCAGCAAGTGGAATATGTGCCAATGATACTAGAAACTTGCATGTGGACTTTTCCCTACCTTAGCTAGGAAGAGACACAATCATTGACTCCCAAGTTTTATTGATTTGAACTCCTCACTGAACCTCATCTAATTGCAAGGGGACTGGGCATGGTGGCTCACACCTGTAATCCCTACAGTTTGGGAGGCCAAGATGAGCAGATGGCTTGAGCCCAGGAGTTTGAGACCAGCCTTGGCAACATGGTGAAACCCTGTCTCTACAAAAAGACACAAATTAGCCAGGCATGGTGGTGCGTGCCTATAGTCCCAACTACTTGGGAGGTTGAGGCAGGAGGATCACCTGAGCCCAGGGAGGTCGAGGTCACAGTGAGCTGTGATCATGCCACTGCACTCCAGCCTGGGCAACAGAGTGAGACCTTGTCTCGAAGTAAAAAAAAATGCAAGGGGGCTGGGAAGTGTAGGAAAAGAAATGTATTTGTTGAGCATTATACTCTCTGCCACAACACATTATCCCAATATCACCTTAGTTAATGTTAATTTGTAACATGTAATACTGATCAGTGGGCAGAATTGTTTTTAAAAAGGGGAAATAATATATTTTACACAATTTAGTGAGAGATTTTTGTAAACAAAAGTTTTAAAGATCACTTAAAAAGCGATATAATGAGTGGTTACATTTATTTTCAACCATACACTGAGGATAAATTTTAAAATCACTTTCTTAATATTATACAGGTACATAAGACCTGAGATAAAGTATCCATTGTCAGCATCATACATAGATAGATTCAGAAAGATATCTCTCTTCCAACAACTAATGCAGAAGTGAAAGTGTTGTACTCTAGAAAATATGAGCCTAGAAAAAAAGCAGCACTTCTAAATTAACTTCATTCTATATATTTTTAAGTTTATAAAGCAAACTAATTATAAGTACATAGTTGTAATTATAAGTACATAGTTGACTACTTTACCAATAATTCTAAAGTTCATAAATGGAAGTTATCCTTAAGAAACTTGTTAAACTCTTCTCATAAGATAAAAGGTAAATATTGTCTTGAATTTGTGCTTGCATGGTTTATAAAATGAATGAAAGAGACTATAAAAGAGACTTGGAACAAATTGATTTCAGGTAACAGCAAAACGTATTTAAGCATTCTAGAATCTGCTTAAGTTCACCTGAAAAAAGTAAGGTTATGAGATGAGCTTATATTCTGAACCACACAATCCCGTATTGGCTGTACACTGTCTTGAGTTTTTGCTCCTGCTGCTCTTTAGATTGCCAAGTCCTGCCCCCATAAAATGATCATAAACACATAGGCAGGAGTCAGGCTTCATCTAGTTCAATTGTCTTTTAACCCCCAGGAGCCCTAGCCCTAGCACTGTCCTGAGTGTCGAGCAAGCCCTATTCTATTAACAATTCTGAGGTATTTGCAGTGGTTGCTACTGACAATTTGACAAAAGCCTGGGCAGCCTCAGCCATTTTGGATAATGAATAAATTCCTAAATAGGTAGTCAAATTGATTGCCCATTAATTTAAAAATGCCAAAGTGGCACATATTTTTATTATCCTTCTCTTCTCCCGTCTCCTCTCACATTTATCTTCACATATATCATGCATTTTAAATATTTTTAAATATTTGTCCTCCTGAGTAACTTTTCTTAAAAGTCAGAAAGAAGGGAATATTTTCAATGATGACTTAGCAAGTTTTGTTTTTAAATTGTGAGGTACAGAAAAAGATCCAAGTATGTTTTAAAATAAAAATAAAACTATGTGATTTCTCTGACTAAGCAAGATAAATCACATTTCATGCAAATCATCCTGTTCATGTGAACAAAAAGCCCCTTTTTATTTATCAATTTTTAAAATTTACCAACAAATCTATGCTTGTTTCATTTGAATAATTTGTAAAAAGCTTATTTAGAAGCATGTAAGTGTCACTGGTAGAGGGTCAGGACTGCAAGTTGTCCAGGTTCTTGGCATTTTGAACAAAGAATTGGACAAAACGCTCAGCAAAGCAAAGAAAGAATGAAGCAACGAAAGAACTAAAGCAGGGATTTATTGAAAACAAAAGTACACTCCACAGTGTGGGAGCAGGCCCAAGCAGTGGCTCAAGGGCCTTTTGGAAACCCCCAAAAGTTTCCCATTGACCACTTCATGCTCACCTCATGTAAATGAAGTGGTAGCCTGCAATCAGTCTGATTGGTTGCAGAAAGCAGACAACCAGAGGCTGAAGTGAAGTTACAAAGGTCACACTCTTGTGCAAACATCTGATTGGTTGCAAAAACCAACCAAGCAGAGGCTAGGGTGAAGTTACAGGGTTATACTTCTATGCAAATGAAGACTCGGCCCACAATCAGTCTGATTGGTTGCAGACAGCCAGTTTCCCATCTGCAGTGCAGAAAAGGTCAAAGGGAGTAGCCTCTGGTCCTTTTGTTACTTAAGCCTGGAAAGTTAGTATTTTCCTTTCAGTTCAGTTCTAGGAAGTCAGCGTGAAATACCTTAGGTTCCCTGCCTCCAGACCATATTATCCTGCCTCATCATTCCCTTGAGAGACATGATCCCCATAAATCTTTATGGGATACAGAGGGACTGAAGGTCTTTCTTCTTTAACTGCTTCATGCTGACTTGGGGCATAGTCCCTACCTGTTGGAGATCCCGGAACTCTCAGCCCACTCTGTCTAGTGGAGACAGGGTGCTTCTTGATGGCGGTGGGGTGGTGCCTTCACCTGGAGCTGGCTGGAAACCTTGTTGCTTGATTATCTGAAGCTTGATGGTCTCTAGGCAAAAGGAAATGAATTCGGTTAAAAGATTTAATGGGAATTTTGGGAGTGGATGCCTATGCTGTCAGGAATGTTTGTTATAGAAATAAAAAATTCTGCTTAATTACTATAAAGGAAATGATTCCATCCATTTGGAAGAAGGCAATTAAACTGCAAAAATAAAAAATGGCTACTATTATCCAGCCTACAGTAACTATGCAACAAAGACACCAAAGAAAGTTGGTAGGCATTTACTTATCTTTTGGCTGTCTTCTAAACAGGTACTTCAGGTCTTCCACAGGTTCACAGGTGTAGTGGCTGATGGGAACTTCAGGTTCCTGATCTGGGGCTTCTGGTATCCCTGGCTTGATCCTTGACAGATGTATCCAACTATCTAATCCTACTACTTTGACCATGGAAGATATGGCCAGTGTTACTGAAAATGGTCCCTTCCATTTGGGTTGTAATTGTTGAGCAGGTGATCCCTCCTTCCACCTTTTAACAAGTAACTTATCTCCTGGCCTGATTTTGGGTTGCTGGTTAGTTCCCAGTGTGGGGATCCTTTGAATTCCAAACTTTTGTAAAGCCTGTTGAAATTGTCCTAGGTTGACTAGGTATTTTACTAAACCTGCTGTTCCTGGGTCAGTAATTAAATCAGTAGTTAAGAATGGCCTTCCATATAACATTTTGAAAGTGCTTATATTAATTTTTGCTCTAGGGGTATTACGGATCCTTAAGAGGGCTATGGGCAGTAAGCTGACCCAAGTTTCTGATGTTTCCTGACATAGTTTAGCTAATGCTAATTTTAGAGCTTGTTAGCCGTTTCTACTATCTCGGAGGATTGAGGCCTCCATGCTGAATTCAAATAGTATTTTATTCCAAGAGCCTTAGCAACCTGTTGAGTTATCTGGGAGATAAAGGATGGGCCATTATCACTTTGGAGACTCTGAGGTAACCCAAACCGGGGGATTGTTTCTTTTTTTTTTTTTTAATTATTATTATACTTTAAGTTTTAGGATGCATGTGCACTACGTGCAGGTTTGTTACATATGTATACATGTGCCATGTTGGTGTGCTGCACCCATTAACTTGTCATTTAGCATTAGGTATATCTCCTAAAGCTATCCCACCCCCCTCCCCCCACCCCACCACAGTCCCTGGTGTGTGATGTTCCCCTTCCTGTGTCCATGTGTTATCATTGTTCAATTCCCACCTATGAGTGAGAACAAGGGATTATTTATTTTAAGAGAAACTTTATAACCTCATTAGACTTCTCCATTCTGGGAGGATAAGCTTTGACCCAACCAGTAAAGGTATCTATTAGCACTAACAAAAACTTATGTCCTCTGTAAGCTGGCATATGTGTAAAGTCTAATTGCCAGTCTTCCCCTAGATAAGTTCCTCTCCTCTGCACTGGTTGTATTAGAGGAGGTATTTTGTTTCCTGGGTTAAGTGCACATAGTGAGCAGGCTTGGCAGACCTGCTTAGCCACTGAAGCTAGGTTAGACCTGGTAAGGAGCTTATTTACATGGCCAGAGTTGCATCCCTCCCCACATGGAAAGAGACATGCAGGGCTTTTCTAACTTTCCACTGGACTGTCTGAGGGAGATGTATTTTCGACTCCATATACCACCAGGATCCTTGGTTTTATCCCCTTGGTTCCTTTATTAGCTGTTCTTCCTGTACTCAGGTTCTATTGGGGAACCATAGAAAGGGAGCACTGCTAGGATCTGTTGGGATTGCACTCTGAAGGCTGCAGCTTTGTCTTCTCTGTTGGCCTTGCTGTTCCCTTGTGCTATAGGGGTTAAGTTGCTTTGATGCCCCCTACAGTGAATTATAGCCACAGGCTTTGGCAGGTGTATTGCTTCTAATAGCTGAAGAATTTCAAGCCCATGCTTTATAAGGGAGTGTTTGCTAGTTAGTAGTTCCATTTCCAGATTGTAGCATAAGCCTGAACCACAAGGAATGCATATTTAGAATCTGTATAGATGTTAAGCTTTTTTCTTTGTCCCAACATTAATGCTCAAGCGAGAGCAATAATTTCAGCCTTTGTGCTGATGTGCCAGGGGGCAGTGGCTGGGCTTTGATAATTGTGTTATGATTTAATACTGCATGTCCAGCTTCATGCTCCCCATTTGACACAAAACTATTTCCATCTGTGAACCAGTCATCCTCAGAATCTGGAAGAGGCTGGTCTTTTAAATCAGGCTGGCTAACATATGTGTGTGCAATGACCTGCTCACAGGAATGATCAGTTACTGGGGCTGTGGGCAGCAATGAAGCTGGATTCAGAGTGTTACAGGTTTTAAGGGTTACGTCTGGATTGTCTAGGAGCATGGTCTGGTATTTGGTTAACCTTTTCCCCAGTATCCAGATGGGTCCCTTTATCTCTAAGACTGACTTTACCTGATGGGGGATTAGAACTTCCAGTGGTTGGCCCAGGGTGATTTTAGTGGCTTCCTCCATTAACATAGCAGTGGCTGCTATTGCCCACAGGCAACTTGGCCACCCCGAGGCCACTCTATCCAACTTATTTAAAAGTAGGCAGTTGTTCTGGGTTCTGAACCTAATTTCTGGTCTAACACTGCCACGGCTATGCCCCTTTTCTCTGCTATATACAAGGAGAAGGGCTTAGTTAGGTCTGGGATGCCATAAGTGGAAGCTGGGTAAGAGCCTGTTTTAAGTTAGCAAAGGCTTCTCTCATTTTTGAGGTCCATTCCATTAGGTCATTTTCAGGCCCCCTTGTTGCTTCACACAGGGGCTTTGCTATGATCCCAAAATGTGGTGCCCATATTCTTGAAAACCTGGCCATTCCCCAGAAAAGAAGGAAGCTACTGCTGGGTGTGGGGGTGCCCCCAGACCACTATGGCTTGTACTTGTTCTGGGGATATTTGCCGGGCTCTGGGTGTTAAGACATACCCTAAATATTGGACCCATTTGAGGATAATCTGCACCTTGTTTTTGGACACTTTGTATCCCCTGTCTACCACAAAATTCAAAGTTTTTATAGTATTTTGGTCAGAAACATACTGGGTTGGGCTACACACAAGAAGGTCATCCACATACTGAAGTATACTCCCATTCCCCGTTTACAGGTCCCTCAGATCCCTCTCTAAGGTCTAGGCAAAGAAATAGGGCCTATCCCGAAAACCTTGAAGGAGCACTGTCCAAGTGTATTGTTGTTTTTTTCCTGGTATTAGGATTTTCCTGTTCAAAGGCAAAAATGTATTGGGACTCTGGGGCCAGAGAAATGGAGAAAAAAGCATCTTTCAGGCCTTGAACTGAGAACCATTTTGCATCCTGTGGTACTTGAGCCAGGAGGGTATATGGATCTGCCACTAATAGGTGGATAGGGATGACAGCCTCATTTATTACTCCGAGGCCCTGAACTAACCGGTATTCCCCTGAAGGCTTTAGAACAGATAAGATGGGGATATTGCAGGGAGAATTACAGATTTAGAACAGATAAGATGAGGATATTGCAGGGGATTTTAAGAGCCCATGGGTAAGTATTACCTCAACTATGGGTGCTAGGCCTTTTCTAGCTTCCTGCCTAATAGGGTATTGTTTTCTATTGGGAAAATAGCTGGGGTTTTTAAGCTGTATTTTGACTGGCACTGCTGTTCTATCCTTCCCCAATTTTCCAGTATACCATGCCCAGCGGGTTAACCTGTTTATTAATGTGGTCTGGGACATTTCCAAGCAGGGAATCAGGTGGAATAGGTGAAGGGTTGTCTACAGTGGAATCAGGTGGAATAGATTGAGAATTGCCCACAGTGGTCTAGTAAAGAGACTTTGAACAGTGGAGGGCTCACTAGGTGACCCAAATTTTACCCAGAGAATTCCCCTGGAAAAATTCTGGGCCCAGACTAGGGTCCCTGGGGGCATCCCCCTTTAGGGCTGCAACTTAGTCTGTTGGATGTCGCCAACCTTAGATGGGTGCCAGCACCTCTTTGGAATGGTTTTCTCCACCACTGAGGACTTACTGTGAACTTTTCTTAAGGTTTTTCCATCCCACTTAAAGCAACTCTTTGACTCTCTCAACTTAGGCAATAATAATCCCCACCCCCCATGCACCACACAGACCACCTACGACATGCCCAGGCCATCTGACTTGTATAACCTTTTTGCATAGCGAGGTGGGTTTTCTTTCCTTAGCTAGTAGAGTGGGGGAAGGGAAGAATTTAGCATAAGAAAAGAAGGGGTTTAAGTCACCTGAAACGTGTGTGAATTCGCCCTGGATGAGCTGCCACATCCAACTGTGTCACACGTAGAGTTCTGGGAGTATAACCAGAAAGGATAGAAAAGAGTCTTTTCCCCTTCCAGGCAGGGCATCTATCCCTGTTTGCTTCTTGGTCTTCAGAGAATGCCAAAGAGCGGTCCTGGTCAGTTTCCCTCAATTACCAGGAGCTACTAGGAAACTGTTGCTGAAAGACTGAAAACGGAGAAAAGGAAAAAAAATCTCAGAAAAAGGGAAAAAGAAATAGGACTCAGAAAAATGAAAATAAGAAAAAGGACTCAGATCCCTCACCTGAACTGGGCGGTGGCGGTCAGGTGCTTCCATGTGGAAACCTTTCAGTTTCACTAGATAGTGACCCTGGGCAGAAACTTGCATGAAGTCTCCATGCTTAGGTGCTGTCCACCAAGGGCACTGAGTTGGAAAGGAAGAGAGAGAGAGAAAGATTTACAAGGGGAAAGGAGAAAAATCCCAAACTTTGGGCCTACTTTTCCTCCTGGCTGGCTTGCCAAGGTATGTCACTGATAGAGGGTTGTGACTGCAAGTTGTCCAGGTTCTTGGCATTTTGAACAAAGAACTGGGCAAAACGCCCAGCAAAGCAAAGAAAGAATGAAGCAACAAAAGAACCAAAGCAGGGATTTATTGAAAACGAAAGTACACTCCACAGTGTGGGAGCTGGCCGGAGAGGTGGCTCAAGGGTCCAGTTACAGAATCTTCTTGGGTCCAAATACCCCCTAGAAGTTTCCCATTGGCCACTTCATGCTCACCTCATGTAAATGAAGTTGTAGCCCGCAATCAGTCTGATTGTTTGCAGAAAGCAGCCAACTGGAGGCTGAAGTGAAGTTACAAATGTCACACTCTTGTGCAAACATCTGATTGGTTGCAAAAAGCAACCAATCAGAGGCTAGGGTGAAGTTACAACATTATACTTCTATGCAAATGAAGACTCAGCCTGCAATCAGTCTGATTGGTTGTGGACAGCAACCATTCAGAGGCTGGAGTGAAGTTACAAAGTTGCAAACGAATACTCAACCTGCAATCAGTCTGATTTGTTGCCAACAGTCAATTTCCCATCTGCAGTGCAGAAAAGGGGAGGAGTTTGCAAAGGGAGTAACCTCTGTTCCTTTTGTTACTTAGGCGTGGAAAGTTAGGGTTTCCTTTCAATTTAGTTCTAGGAAGTCAGTGTGAAACAGCCTTGGGTTCCCTGCCTCTAGATCCTATCCTCCTGCCTCATAAGGATGACCTCAAAAGAAAGAGACAGAGGGCTGGGTGCAGTGGCTCATATCTGTAATCCCAGCACTTTGGGAGGCCAAGGAGGGAGGATTGCTTGAGCGCAGGCGTTTGAGACTGGCCTGGGCAGCATAGTGAGACCTCGTCTCTACTAAAAAATCAAAAAAATTAGTTGGACATGGTGCTGCATGCCTGTGGTGGGAAGATAGCTTGAACTTGGAAGATCGAGGTTATAGTGAGGTATAATCACACCACTGCACTCCAGCCTGGGGGACAGAGTGAGACCCTATCTCAGGAAATAAAAAAAAAAGCAAAAGAGAATACTGTTTAATTAACAAATACCACAGGTGCTTAACGCTGATATAAACTCTATATAGTAATCTATAGATTTTCCCCCATGTTTACTTAATGAAGGTAAGATAATTTTGAGACAATTTTGGATATTAGAAAATGCATTCAGAAATAGGAAATACAACACCACACAGTCCTTTCTGCCTACATACGTGTTCACAACTCCAATAACAGTCTTAAAAACGAAAGGAAATTAGTCCTTCCAGAGAATCCATTGGTTCCATGTGCCAGGGATGAGGGATCATACAAAAATAGAAAGAATCTGCTGCTGAAATGGGCCACACCAGGGCTCTAATCCCAATTACGTCACTAACCCTATGACTTTGGACAATTACTCAACCTGTTTAAGCTGGATTTTTCATCTGAAACCTAGGAATAGGGTCACCAGACAAAATATAGGACATACAGTTAAATTTGAATTTCACTAAAACAATGAATAATTTTTCAGTATGAAGTATGTCCCGTGCACTACTGGAAAAGCCCATGGAAGAATGCAACAGTATATAATAACTTTTTCTCTGAAATTCAAATTTAACTGGGCATGTTGTATTTTTATTCATTGTATCTGGCAACTCTATGTAGGAATAATAATCCTCACTCTAGCCTTTAGGTGGGGACTCGATAAGTCAATTTTCTAGAGGCTGTACTAAAAGGCTTTGCAATTATTTTCAATCTCATTTACTATTGAAACAAGTCCAATGAAGAATGGAAAATTATTATCTTCATTTTCCAGATTAGCAAAAAAGGTTAAAATTCAGAAATTTGTCCAAAGTTACATAGTCATAATGGCAGAGCAAAGATTAAAGAGGGAGCTGTTTAACACCAAGGCCTGGAAGCTTAACTCTGTGACAGTGGTTCTTAAACTTCAGCATGTTTCAGAATCATCAGGAGAGTCTCTTAAAACACACATTACTGGGTCCAGCCCACAAGTTTCTGGTTCAATTGGTCTGGAATAGGGCCCCATAATTCACATTTTTCACACATTCCAGGTGTTACTGAGGCTGCTGGTTTAGGGACTAGTTTGAGAACTGCTGCCTTCTGCTGTCCTGTGGTGTGCCATCAGTGCCAGTGCTTGGCATATATAAGTGACAGCCTCATGATGCCACTCATTGTGAGCCACCAAAGAAATCATGCCCACTTATCACTTATTGGCTTTTAAAACATTGTTATGAAGCAGAAGGTAATAATGAAAATACGCAACCCCCATAAGCAGTACTCCAAAAGCCCTGATCTTTTTAAGGCCATGGATGTCTTTCCTGCTTCCTTTTCTGACTTTGGAGAGCTTCTCTCTAGTATTGTCCTTGAAAGAATCACTGTTCCCCAGAGATAACCAGTAATTGGAAGAAACACCACTTGGAAGTAATCAACACACAATTTTATTTAGTCCCTCCCTGTTTCTTGAAAATTTATTCAATGGGGAAATTTTTTCTCTGGCCTCTGAATAAAGATTTGGGCAAACTCATGACTTTTCTCCTCTTTTAGCTAATAGACGGTCCAAAGGCCACTTTAAGTCTCACACACACACACACACACACACACACACACACACACACACACACACTGCCCACTTTAGAAATTAGACCATCTAGCCCCCCAGTTAACACATTTCTCCCCCTCACCTAAAATTTCTTTAAAGAGCCCCAAACTACTATTTTTTAAATTTATAAATTATTATTTGTCACACTGTAAAAATGATATTGATACTGATACCATTTCTAGCATGTCCAGTAATTTTTAGAGGGCAAATAACATTAACAGCTGGTCACTGCATCATCATTTGGGGCTGCAATATTGTGAAATATATATTTGATCTTCTTCCATTTCTTGATGAATAGCTTCTAAAACCCTTGGAATCTCCAGAAAGATAAGGGTGTCTTTTGTATGCTAATGAGGTAACTGGTGGTAGGGAGCTCTTACATAGCTTCAGGATGAGGTTGGTCACTGCAAGACCAAGGCATGATGAGAGGGTTGGTGACTTTCAGTCCCACCGCCAACCTCTGAGGAGTGGAGGGGGCAAAGAGTTAAAGGTTGAGCTGATCATCAATGGCCAATGATAGAATCACTCATGTTTATATAAGGAAGCCTCCAGGAAAACCTAAAAGGCAGGGTCCAGGCAACTAACTGATATCTGAACACACAGAGGGTTCCTGGAGGGTGGCATGCCTGGAAAGGGAATGGCAGCTCTGTGCCCCTGCTCACATACCTTTTCCTGTGTATCTTTCCATGTTGCTGTTCATCTGTATCCTTTGTAATATCCTTTATGATGAATGGGTAAACATAAGTAAAGTGTTTTTCTGAGTTCTCTGAGCTGCTCTGGCAAATTAATGGAGCTTGAGGAGGGGCTCATGGGAACCCCAATTTATAGCTGGTCAGTCAGAAACACAGGTCACAACCTGGGCCTTGTGATTGGCATCTGAAGTGAGGGGCACTCATCAGACTGAGCCTTTAACCTGTGGGATCTGAAACTATCTCCAGGGAGATAGTGTCAGAATTGAATTATTGGCCACCTAGCTGGTATCCACTAGAGAAGTACTTGGTATGTGTGGAAGTATCCCCCAACATTTGGTGTCAGAAGTGTTGAGTGATGTGTGAGTGAGAGTAGGAAAAAACACCTTTGGATTTTTTCCATATCTTTTATGAGCAGAATTGGTATTAGGCTCTGAAAAATAATGGTCTTTACATTGCTGGCTCTAGGACCCACAGTTTTCTCAGGAGGTCTCTGTAAACATTCTCCCAGATTCACATAGGCCAGAATTTGATGGTTAAATGCCAGAATAATGATTGAACTAGGCGAACAGGCAGTTCTATTTGTACCAAAGATATTGTGGTACCAGAAAATAGTCCCCATGACATAGCAGCAGAGCCTTGTCTCCCCACAGGGTGCCTGAGGTGTGTTCCCACAGTGTTATCAAACTGAATTTCAGTCTACCTGCCCAGCGCAGCAAACCTAGACACTGACATCAGGATCGCAGTGACGGAAAGTGAGACACTTATTGCAGGGCACCAAGCAAGAAGAATTGGGCAGCTAAGGCTTAAGACCCAGACTCCCTGACAGCTTACAGGTAAGGGTTTTAAAGGTGAGGAGGCAGAGGTTATAGACAAAGCCATAAATCAATACATGGGGGCTATACATTGGTTTGACCTAAAAAGCCAGGGGCCCACAGGTCATAGGTGGATTTAAAGATTTTCTGATTTGCAATTGGTTAAGAAGGCAAAAATTTGTGTAAACATCTGGGATCAGCAGAAAAGAATGTGAGCTCTGGCTCATGGGTGTGACCTCCTCCAGGTCACTCAGGAAGAAATTTAGAACAAAGAACAGCAAATCAGAGCTCAGTTCCTCCTTATCTGAGGACTACACACAAGTAGAACCATGTAATAGGGGTCCAGATTTCTGAAAAATAACTCAGGGACATATGTTGAGATGTTATCTTTAGTTTCTCTAGGGAACCAAACATCCCCTGACTCTAACTTTTTGGCTATTGTTTTAGGATACGATTTCCTTCGTGCTTATGAGGGTGCTTACTTACTTTTCAGGGCTAGCTAAGTGCCTGGAATTTCTCTTGAAGGAACTCAAGATTTTCCTTTATTTCCATGCTTAGACTGGGGGTACCTGGTAGGCTTCTAAGAGGGGTCTCTACTCTATCTCAGTTCCCCCTGTCTCTTGTCAACCCATCAATCCTGATGGGTATGGGGATGCAGGCTGCTGTGGCTACTTGCTGCTGAACTGGGGCAATGATTGGAGACTAGGATATGAGGAGAGAAAGTTTCTAGCATGGAGCTTGAGATATTCATGTGTCTCAGGCATGGCACCATGGTGCTGAACTATGATTGTATTGTTGCTTTAGTTAATGCTGTACCATAACATTTTAATACACATTTGGCTATAATATAAAGCATAAGTAAAATTAGCAAGATGCCTAATTAGCAATCCAGAAAACATGGACTGCATTCCATAAGGAATCTAAGAAAACGAGGAAGAAAACCAGTTCTTGGGGACAGTCAAGGAGACCTGCTGTAACCAAATGGCTTGTTCTTTAATTCTTTTTAGATGAGTTTTTAGATGATTTTTTACCTCCACAGATTCATTTATGTAAGTATAGCATGTGATATTTACAACCACACACATTTTTTTTCTGAACAGCTAAAATGTAATCTAAGGCTATTATATAAGATCAATTATGTAAGACAATCTGAGCTAATGAACTAATTCCTCTCTTCTGAGTGTCTATTGCCAATGCAGCTTCATCACAAGAATTCATAAAGTTGGGGAGAGATTTCTAATCATGTACACATTGGATGCCATTCCTCACCAAGGTAACAAAGTTCACCCGAGAAAGTACCCAGCTCCATCTTTTTGGTATTTGGGCAAGTATAGATTTGTGGATCCCCAAAGTGAGTATGTGGACTGTTTAGTTTCAATAAATTGCTTAATTTGTTGGGAGCTAAGATATGTGATTTCTAACATGTTTAGGGAACAGGCCTCTAAGGAGGCATATTGAGGGTGTAGGGGTCTTGCTTATCTGAAGAGGAAAAATTGAGGAAGGCATTATAATGAGGTAGAGCCTCAATATTTTTCAGCAAATTTCCTTGAGATCCAACAGAGGGGACTTCTAAAATAATGGAATTCTCTTGTATACTACTTTTGGGGGGGCATTCAGGATATGACAGTTTAATGAACTGGTGCACTGTTGTTCTATTAACTGAGTCAGATGACATCTACAGGTTACCTCTCTTTGCCAATGAATGAGAAATCCTAAACATAGAGTTCTCCTTTTGATTTGGGGGGATCACAGTCCACAAGGAAGCATAACAAAAAAGGCAATCATGTCAATAGTTCAATGTGAGCACCTGAAGAAATTAAGACCCCCACAGCAGCACACAGAATCTGCTTAGACAGTAGTAGATGCAAAAAATAAGAAATGCAATGACAAATAATATTGTTAAGTACTTTGGTATCTCTTATTACTTATATTTAGGAGTCTGTCTTCTGAGTGGCAACTTGGGATCTATCAGGGATTTGCTGGTCCAATTAGAGAAGTCAGCCTTGGGGGGCCTCCACCTCAGGCTTGGATGGTCAGGACTGTGATGTTGTTATGATGTGCTTCCCATTTTCTGTTGCATTTCGAGAGTTGGGGTCAAATGACTCTTGGAAACCAGCTTTACCCAGGAATCAGTTTGACTCTTTAATTTTACTGAGGAATGAGTCATCAGCAGCACCTCATATGGTCCCATCCAAGAAGAATAAAGTTGATCTGAAATCAGTCTCTTTAGAATCTGGAAGCACTAAGTTGAGGTGTCTAGATGTTAGAGTCAAAGCATCTTTAGTTAAAGTGGCAGAAGGCAGTGGCAACCCGACAAGTTTTCTTTGCCTGTATCCCAAGGTAGAAACTTCAGCTTGAGGGGCTTCAGGAAAGATGGTAGCAATTTCATTGAGTTCAAGTCAGAAAAGTGGGAAGAAACATTAGTTTTGAGACTTTTATTCAGAAAAGAATTCAGGATTCAGTTCAAGTAAAAACTCAAACAATGGACAATCCTAGAATCTAATAACAGGTATACTATCATTTTCTTCTGAAATGTAATTTTTCTCTTTCCAGTCCCCCTTCTCTTTAAAAAAATCAGACTAGGACCAATTTATTTGCAAAATAAGTTTTAGCTTTATTATATTAGGCCTAATTATTTGCATAAAGTGCAGCAAGACAGTTATTGGCCATATAGACTTTTAAAAATAGGCTTTACTAGAATGTTTTTCATAGAAAAACTCAGATTAGACATTTAAAAGCCTCTTGAGCCAAGCCAAAGTTTTATCAGTGTCTGCAGATACCTGTATGAATTGGGTGATTCCTCTCTTTTCAAGGTTCCAAAATATCTTGAGTTTCCTGGGCCTGTCAGAAAATGACCTTACTTACCAAAGGTTCAGCAACATTGTAAGAAAACTGTGTACACAAAGTACCAGGCCAGTTTTTCCCAGGGGCTATTTATTGACTCTATAAATTCAACCTCAATTCCTCAATGCAGTCTGGTCATATCAGAAAATATGCCATTCCAGTCAAAGCCTTGGTAAAATAACCAGTGTCTCTAATTGTGTCCTGTTATAAAACAGATTCTTACTGAACTTAGGCAAATAACTATATTGCTATAAAATAAAAAAATACACAATTTCCAAATTTTAGAGAAATAAAAATGCTTCAAATTTTGCTCACAAGAGTATACTTTACTCAGTTGTTAAAAGCTATAAATAGCTCAAAAGAAAAAAGTTTCCTTGACTCTGAAAAACAAAAGAATCAGCAACATTTCAAACAAGAAAGCGAAAAATTATTTTAGTCCTCTTTTAGTTTAGTCCCATGTACTTAACTTGTTCTGCTTGATATTGGGTTAGCAAGCCTCATGAATGCATCAGCTTTTTAATTAAAGCCCTGGAAGCTTTTTAACCAGTCTAACGGTACAATCTCCAAAGTTATCAGAAATCTGTATTCAAGAGCACTTGCATGAGTCCTTTCCATGAACTTATTTGAAGAAGAAAATGCTTTTCGAGAAGAATCAAAGTAAAACAATAATTGTCTATAGATGACAAAAGTCTTAGGACAGCCATGTTAAAAACCCAATTGACAAGGAAATGTGGTTATTTCTGTGGCACACAATAATTTAACATAATCATAAGTATTACTGATAACATATACTGAGATATGAGAATTACAGAAATCTCATGCAATTTTGGAATGCCTATTAATAACACACATATATATAAATGTAACTCAAAGAAAGTTAAATACAATTTTATATTTGGCAATGCTTACTCTGTGATTTGAACATACCAAATAAGCCTAATATGTCTCTCTTGGACCTCTAGGGGCTCTAATATCCGAAATATTCCTTTGAGGTGAGAAAGACTAAGTTTAGAATTTGAAATTTGATTTTGGAAAGTTTGTCAGATATCAAAGGTTTAAATCACTTGATAACCCCAAATAAGATCACAGGTCACTGTAAAATAATAGTCGTTCATTTAGCCAAAGTGGTTATTCAGAGATTTTGAAAAGCAAAATCCTTTACTGTTTGATAGAGGGGATACTCAGTTTCCCAAAACAATCACTAAGACCTAATAAAACAGCATGGGGCCAACTGAATCTCATTTTCTTTCCTGTCTTTTATTTTTTGGAGTTTACGCAAAATGTTAAGACATCTTTTATTGTCTCTTATTTTTTAAAATGTATTTATTTGGGACAGGGTCTCACTTTGTTGCCCAGGCTGGAGTGCAGTGGCACAATGATGGCTCACTGCAGCCTTGATATCCCAGGTTTATGTGGTCTTCCCATCTCAGCCCCTTGAGTAGCTGGGACTATGGGTGTGTGCCACCACACCTGGCTAATTTTTTAAAAAAATTTCTTATATCAACAGGGTCTCACTATGTTGCCCAGGCTGGTCTCAAACTCCTGGGCTCAAGCAGCTCTCCTACCTCAGCTTCCCAAAGTGCTGGGATTACAGACATAAGCCTCTATACCCAGCCTATTATCTCTTATTAATATTACATGAAAGTCTCATTTGAAAAAGAAAAAGTTCTACCTTTGCATTAGTGTATTATTGATGCTAAAGCTAATTTTAATAAAACAATAAATTCATTCAATCTCAATCAATTTTGACTATACAGGATAAGGTTTTCATAAACCTTTTATAATCTCTCATAATTTTTTTATTAAAGAGTAGATTTTGCTGGACATGATGGCTCACACTTGTAATCCCAGAATTTTGGGAGGCCAGGGTGGGAGCATGACTTGAGATCAGGACTTCAAGATCAGCCTGGGCAACATAGTGAGACTGTATCTTTACAAAAATAGAAATAAGAAAATTAGCCTGGTGTGGTGGCATGGGCCTATAGTCCTAGCTAGTCCTAGCTACTTGGGAGGCTGAGGCAGGAGTTTGAGGCTGCAGTGAGCTGTGATCATGCCACTGCACTTCAGCAGACTATGTCTCTAAAATTGAAATAAATAAATAAATAAATAAATAAAAAATCAGATCAGTGCTTCAAGAAAACGCTATTATCCTGACACCGGGGCCCAGACTATGGCCCTGCATCAGTGTGTCTTGGATATTGTTTAATTTTTAGAAAAACTAAGTAACTTTTCATTTTAGCTGACTCGATTATACACAGAATTCCTTTCACAGAAACTACTCTCTCTCTCTCTCTCTTTTTTTTTTTTTTTTTTTTTGAGACAGAGTCTCACTCTGTCCCGCAGGCTGGAGTGCAGTGGCGTGATCTCGGCTCACTGCAACCTCCGTCTCCCGGGTTCACGCCATTCTCCTGCCTCAGCCTCCCGAGTAGCTGGGACTACAGGCGCCTGCCACCACGCCTGGCTAATTTTTTTGTATTTTTTTTAGTGGAGACGGGGTTTCACCGTGTTAGCCCGGATGGTGTCGATCTCCCGACCTCATGATCTGCCTGCCTCGGCCTCCCAAAGTGCTGGGATTACAGGCGTGAGCCACCACGCCCGACCTACTCTCTCTCTTGAACTCTCTTTACATTTTACTTTTCCTTTAACAAAACAAGATTCTGAAACTTTTGAATAACATTTTAAAATTAAAAACTCATCCTGTTTTCTTTATATACTTTGCATATAGAATTGCTTTTCGTATATTAGTAGTCTTAATTACATATACTAATTATAGTATTAACTCTTACTAAATCTTATTTTTAGTGGAAAATCTTGGAGGTAAGCAATTTTAATTATGTATCAGATATAGAACCCAGGACATAGGGCCATGCCTGGAGCTAGGCGTTGTAACCTAAGGCTCAAATCTGAAGACATAAGTGTGTAGACAAGTTAAGCAAGTATCCAAAGTACTACAAAAGCAGTAGTTTTATGACCTGAAAACATCTAGCAAAGGCAGTATCTGACCAATAGATCTAGGCAAAAATGTCTAAATTAAATTCTGAAGATGGTTTTGTTTAACCAACAATTTTGAAAATATCTTTATTTACTAAAGATTATTAAAATCACATGAACCAAAAAAATATTTGGACTTATTTAATTTATGAGTACTCCTTTATTTATAAACCAATTTGATATCATAGACAACATACAAAGACATACACACATGCATACATGAACATCCAAACAGACATAAACAAAGAACCTACAGCCTTGATTTTATTTTATTTTTATTATTAATAATTTTTTAGGGTTTATGTATTTCATTTTTATTTTTATAGATTTAGGGATACAAGTGGAACTGTGTTATGTGGATATGTTGTGTAGTGGTGAAATCTGTGCTTTTAGTGTACCATCACCTGAATAGTGTCCATTGTATCCAATATGTAGTATTTCCTCTCTCACTGCCCTCCCACCCTCTCAGCTTTTGGAGTCTCCCGTATCTTGTATACCACTCTGTATGTCTGTGTGTACTCATTGTTTAGCTTCCACTTATAAATGAGAATATGTGGCTTTTTACTTTCTGAGTAATTTCACTTAGGAAAATGGCCTCCAGTTCCGTTCATGTTGCTGCAAAAGACATGATTTTATTCTTTTTTGTGTAGATTCTAAAACTCTAGTCATGAGCCTGGAAAGACTCACTCGTTCAAATAGGACTGTATTCAAATTATGCCTCAATAAATGGAACAAGTCAAAATCCATTTGTCCCACATGGCTCAAGCCCTCACTGAGCCCCAGTGGAAACAAGGTAACAATCTATACCTCAAAGCAAAGAGAGAGAGAGAGAGAGACAGAGACAGAGAGAGAGAGAGAGAGAGAGAGAGAGGAGAGAGAGAGAGAGAGAGAGAGAATATGAATCTATTATCCTTTAAGAAGGAGTTTGGGCTGCACTAGAGGAAGACTGCAAATGGATACCAAAGCTGGGTGCATGGTGGCTCACACCTGTAATCCCAGCACTTTGGGAAGTGGAGGGTTGCTTGAGGCCAGGCGTTCAAGACCAGTCTGGGCAACAAAGCAAGACTCTGTCTCTACAACAAATTGAAAACAAATCAAACCATTAGCCAGGCATAATGGTGTGCGCCTGTAGTCTCAGCTACTTGGGAGGCTGAGGAAGGTGGATCACTTGAGCCCAGGAGTTTGGGGCTGCAGTGAGCTATGATTGCACCACTGCACTCCAGGCTGGGTGACAGAGCACGACCCTGTCTCTCTTTATCTATAAAAGGATACCAAAGCAACACAAAATCACAGGAAATTACCACAGGATTTTATAGGACAAATTTTCTCATAATATAATTTCTAGTGCCCCCCAAAGCCAAAGAGATCAGGTAATGCAATACAAAAGAGAACAGAGATTTAGATCTGAGAGGATGCTGTCCATTTACAACTCTTGAGATTCTCTGAGGAAAAACAGACGTTCTTCTCCCAAAGAAGAGTCTGTGATGCCTTTTCTGTTTTCTTTAAGGAATCTCAGGCTGTTAAAAAAAATGTTTTTTGGTTCCCACGATGTGACATCAAGTGTGGTAAGAGGAAGGAGGGGCGGGTAGAAGTAAATAGGGAAACAGAGGGAGTGCATATGGCTAGCAGGGCGTTAAGAAGACATACATCAAGTTGACAGAGAAATTTCTGCAGAGAGAAAACAGAGGCCTTAAAATAATATCCATACACATATATTGCCTAAATGTCAGTTTTAATTAAAGTGATTTTTGACTACAGAGCTCTTAAAAAAATCCTTTCAAATCTCTTATTACCAGATATTAGCTGGGACAAACAGCTGATATTCCTGACTTTTGAACATTTTCCCCCGAAGTTGTCTTCTCCAGTGAAACTAGTAAGCCTTAACCAGGGTTATGCCTTAACCAAGGAGGCACAAGGTGTCCGAAGAGGTGCAAAGCAGTTCTCAAAAGATTCAGAATCACTTCACACACTGCTCAAAGAAAGGAAAGTTTTGCTAGCCACAAGTGGAGTACAATTTACATCTCCATTCAGCCATATTGTTTAGGGTCTCAGCTTCTTAGCTAACCGCCTGTACACAAAGGCACCAAAGTCCCCTATGTCCCCACAGACCGAGGACAGAAAATTAAAAGCTCTGCATGCAAGAAAAAAGGACCAAAAATGGCAAAAATCACACAAATACCACACCCAAAGGACTTGTTCCCTGGCCAGGCTGCCTCAGTGAAAGGGTGGAACTTTAGCTACTGAACTACAGCATGGGATGGTCTCCATTATTCTTCCCAGAGGTGGGGGTGCGGGGGTCTATAGCAGGCAGTTTTGAGCTTGCAAAGGATTTTAACTTTATTTAGGTGGGATTTTTGCTCTTTAATTTAGTAAAGAGAATTCTTATGGCTAGCCGTGACACTATTATGTATCTTCAAAAACTTGATATTCCCATGAATTGTTTAGAATAAGAGATCTCTAAAATTCTTCTTTTAAATTTAGGAGTCCAATTTAAAGGATCCCTTTTTCAGGCCATTTTCTTCCAGAGGCTAAAGAATATTGCAGCCAAGCAGTGCAGTAATAAAAAATCATCTTTTTCATAGGCTCAAAGATAAAAATGGCTCAATTCTGCAGAATACCCCTTAATGGGCTACAAGGAGGAATAGAGCTCATATTTCCCATTTTAGATGACAAAACCTTAGGTGACAAACCCTTAATGCCTCCTCTGGGCTTTAAGCTGAGTTTCAAGCAAGCAAATAAAAATCAAAATGCAATTTCTCAAGGGGTCGCTCCCTTCAGCTTTTTACAGGGTATCCCCTACCAAATGCACTCTGACTTGCCAAAGCAAGGCCAGTTCCTACTGCTTTGCTGAAGCAAGGCCAGATGTCCTACTAAAGCAGAACCCCAGGTCTGAAGGAAGAGTACGTGGAGGCTGTTGCCCATGCACTCTCCACTTACCAAAAGACATTTTTCCAGCCTGGTGCCTTGTTTCTAATGCTGCAAAAATGAAAGTGCTATGGGCCAGCAATGGCTGGTTGGCAGCCAGACTCACGGACCTGTCCCTTAATGAAATAATTTAGGCACCTGCTAGATGGGATCAGAGGGTGGCTGCAGCCAGGAGCCCATGTGTCATGGGTGAGATGCGCACTTAGGACTTTTGTCCTTTCTATGGTGCCAATTATTTGTTACCAAACTGAACTTCAGTCTAAGTGCCTAGTGTAGCAAAACCAGACACTGACATCAGGATTGCAGTGACAGAAAGAGAGGCATTTATTACAGGGCACCAAGCAAAGAGAATGGGGCTGGTAACACTTAAGCCTGGAACTCCCCAATGGCTTATAGGTAAGGGTTTTAAAGGTGGGGACGCAGAGATTATAGGCAAGTCATAAATCAATACATGAAGGCTATACATTGGTTTAACCTAAAAAGGTGACATATCTCCAAGCAGGGGCCCAGAGCTCATAGGTGGATTCAAAGATTTTCCGATTTGTAATTGGTTAAGGAGGCAAAGCTTTGTCTAAAAATTGGGATCAGCAGAAAAGAATGTTAGGTCTGGGTCAGGGGCGTGACCTTCTCTCCAAGCCACTCAGGAAGAAATTTAGAACAAAGAACAGCAGAGTTCAGTCCTCAGTTTCTCCTTATTTGAGGTCTCCGTGACAGTGGATCCACTGATGGGGATTTCATTTCTGAAAAACTGAGAGACATATGTTAAGATGTTATCATCAGGCCGGGCATGGTGGCTCACGCTTATGAGCACTTTGGGAGGCTGAGGCAGGCAGATCATGAGGTCAGGAGATCGAGACCACCCTGGCTAACATGGTGAAACCCCATCTCTACTAAAAATACAAAAAATTAGCCAGGCGTGGTGGCACGGGCCTGTAGTCCTAGCTACTCAGGAGGCTGAGGCAGAAGAATCGCTTGAACCTGGGGGGCAGAGGTTGCAGTGAGCTGAGATTGCGCCACTGCATTCCAGCTCCAGCAGGAGACTCTGTCTCAAAAAAAAAAAAAAAAAAAAAAAAAAAGAAACAAAACATCCCCTGACTCTAACTTTCCTGTCTATTGTATTAAGCTATGGTTACCTTCGTCCTTATGAAGTTGCTCATTTACTTCTCAGGACTAGCTGGGTGCCTGGAATTTCTCTTGAAGGAACTCAAGATTTTCCTTTATTTCTGTGCCTGTGGGTGGAATGGGGTCTGGCAAGCCCCTAAGTGGGGGTTCCTGCTCTGTCTCCACAGTGGCATGTGACTGGTGGGCACCATGCCACATCTGCCCTACCCTTCTGCTCTTGCTGAAGCCCTCTGGCCTGCAAAGCTGCTAGGAGAAGGCTGCCGTGCCATTGCCCACCTGGAAGACAGCTTGGTCTTTCCTTGGTGATTGTCTCCAGAGTCTCAAAATCCTTAATGGTGGATTTTTCAGAGGCAAGGAGGCCTTCCCAGCCCTGAGAAGCACACTGCGTGATTTGAGCCTTGAAACAACTCCCTTGTCCTGAAAATCTCTAAACAATATTCTATGCTATAATCTAAACAATATTCTATGCTATAATCTTCAGTCTCCTACTAATAGAGGGTCCAGCCCAGGATGCTCAGAGAAATAGACAGCATACCAGCCTTTTCATCCTCCTCTGCGGCTTCATCTGGTGTAATATCTCTGTGGAAAAGCTTTTCTTCTTCAATTATGAAACAACGCCCGACATGCCTTTCACTGGACATCAGCATGAGATGGGTGCCTGTGCTTGTGTGTGCTTGGAAGGTGGAAGTGTGAGCACCAGTAGAAGTCCTGCCTTTTAAAATGGAAGCCTACCCTGCACATGCTTTACTCCTCTATGACTTGCTTTTCACGGTATAGAGCATTGTAATTACATTGGAGAGACTGATATATCTCTGACGACAATTGAAAAAGACTGATCTGGGTCTTTCAAGCCAAACCAAATACAGAATTTGTAGAAATCTGAAAAAGAAACAAAGTTACTTAACTAAAAAAAAAAAAATCTCCTATCTTTGGGAGGCCGAGGCGGGCGGATCACGAGGTCAGGAGATCAAGACCATCCTGGCTAACACGATGAAACCCTGTCTCTACTAAAAATACAAAAAATTGCCGGGCGTGGTGGCGGGCGCCTGTAGTCCCAGCTACTCACGAGGCTGAGGTAGGAGAATGGCTTGAACCTGGGAGGCGGAGCTTGCAGTGAGCCGAGATCGCACCACTGCACTCCAGCCTGGACGACAAAGCGAGACTCTGTCTCAAAAAAAAAAAAAAATCTCCTGTCAAAAGGTGGAAATAACCGGTGTCCATGAACAAATAAATGGATGAACAAAATGTACTATAAGCACACAATGGAATATTATTTGACCTTAAGAAGGAATGAAATTCTGATAATGCTACAACATGGAGAAAGCTTGAAAACACCATACTAAATGAAAAAAGCCAGACACAAAAGGACAAACATTGTATATGATTCCACTTAGATGAGGCAGCTAACATAGGCAAATTCATAGAGACAGAAAGTAGAATAGAATTTAACAAGAACTGAAGGGAGGGGAGAATGAGAAGTTATTATTTAGGGGTACCTAATTTCTGTTTGGGATGACATAAAAGTTCTAGAAATGGATAGTGGTAATGATTGTACTTAATGAATGTTCTGAATGTCACAAATGTCATGAATTAAATTTTATGTTATGTATGTTTTATCACAATAAAGAAATGATGAAAAACTCCGAAGATACTAGAGTAAGTACACTCCGGTAGAGACTAAACCAGGAGATTAGAGGAGGCTTATTTGGTTTTGCTAGATTGTAAACTGCTTGAGGACAGGAACTTTGTCATTGTGAATGTCACACTACCTATAATAGTGTCTTGAACATGGTTAGACTCAATGATTCCTAGCTCAATAGAATTAGATGATGACCTGCAGAATTTTTCAATTTAATTCATTCTCGGAGGAGGGAAAGAAGTGGATTTTCTGATCAAATTCAGGGGAGTGCTTTTAAAGCCTTGTTTTTTGGGGAACAGTTTGTGTAAGCTTGCCAATGTTTGACTGCAGACTGGCTCCTTGAAAAGCTTGGGAAAAAGCCAGGCAGAGCAATAAGAGAGAACTGGAGGTTGAGGGCTGAGTAATCAGAATTCAATCTGATGTGCGGCTCTGGCAAAGGGATGCTCAAAGGTTAATAGCACAAAGCTATTGGCTTTGAAAAAGAACATTCTTTGAAAGAATCCAAAAGGGCACGGGAACAAACTTGATTGGAATTGATTGTACAGAGAATCTCTATTGTGTAAAAAGAGGAGACAAATAGAAAGCACTTAAGAAGGATAGTATTCCACTTTCGCCGCAGGAATATACAAGTGACAAAAACAGCCAGTGTTTATAGCAGCTGAACTTTTCCAAAAATTTATTTAAAAAGACTCTTTTTTTGGAGTCTTCCCTTTGACACAAATGATATCTCTGCATACAAAAAGAAAATTAAAACATTTTTTTTTTTTCTGGGAGATTACAGCCTTAGGGGTGTGCAATGTGGCATCTGGATTTTGTAGTGTAGATTGAAACATTATTTTGTAATTGGAATTTAATCAAATAAGTTTTATTTTAGATAATTTCTTACAAGTGCTACATAAACATTCTCACCCTTAAAAATTCAAACAATTGGCTGAAAAGCATCCCCCTCTTCCTATTATTCTTTTAATAGAGGGGTCTCCTGGTAAGGTTTGAAGTATATTCTCATAGATGATTCTCTTATATTTGTATACATAGGTGTGAATATAGAAATAGCTTTTATTTTTCATTAACTTTTTGGTATGAATTGAATCAAACCATTTTTTCTGAAATCCACTTTTTGTTGAAGTTTTTCAAAGCAGTGAAGTGACTGAAAGGAAAGTGAAGAGTAAGAACAGTGGCCGTAGGAATCTACACACCTAAAAACCAGTGTTTGTGTCATGAGGAGTTGCCCGCATTACTTGGATATTTAAAGAAACCATACTGTACAAGGTGATTTTCACATTCTTGTTGTGAAAGGTGTGGAAGTTTATGTGACCATAAATTAATAGAAAAAATTCTAAACACTGCACATAAAAAAGTCTCACCACTTCAAACTCCTGTCTTTATGCTTACATGCAAAAAGCGCAGGTAACTTACTTGTTGTTCTTTGTCTGGCTGACACCTTGAGAAATAAACACCTTTTGTATAAGTGTAAAATTTTGCATTTTTCTTCATCCTCTGTTTATTGAAGTGAGGAATCACAGCTAGCTGAATTAATTATCCAAACTAGAACATGCATAATATTAAAGCCAGGTATTTCGGGAATCTAAAACTGCAAAAAATTAAATTAGCTAGAGCATTCTCATTTAAGTCATAGCCCCCAAATTAGTGCTTGGCTTTATGCATGGTACAGTGAGTAAGAAAGAGATGGGGCATTTCCATTTCAATTATTTTCTAATCACTCTGTTACAGATTAAAAAATATTTTGTTAATTTTATAGGTATTTGTGTTTCACTTGCAAAAATCAGGTGCTTCAGGTTGTGGCTTACTGTTTTGTTTGCACTAGGCAGTCTCTCTCTTTGATCTATAGACATCCAGGCTGCTGCCACTATGCCACCCTATGCAGTGGGATAGCTCACCCACCTCAAGCCATAGAGACTCTCCAATTTCCACGCCTCCCTGGATCTCAATCTTTCCCAGAGTTCAAAAGGCCTGAAGTGGGGATGAAAAGGGGGCTCAAATGGATTTGGGGCCTTGACTCCTACGGGTACCATGTCAGCTGAATTTTTGGTTAAAGAATCTTTTTCATCTGGCAAAGTATAAACGTCAACAGTCCATGAATGTCAATTCTCTTGGCTTCCTTTTTCCTACTTCCTATGATTCTAATATAGGTGGTTGCTAACTTACAGTGCCCCATTTTTTCTAAACAAATGTGTCAGTTGCTAATAAGAAGAATGATTATTTTTCATAGCTTTCAAGATAGACCGTATCAACCGATATTTATTAAATGCCTATTTCATATAAACAATTCAGCATTTACTTCTGAAATTATTTTTGACTGGGGAGAAATGTATGCCTTATACCCTTAGTTTTGAACTTGAGCAGAACAAGATAAGAAAAGAGGTTTGAATATAGCAGGAGACTGGGTGTTTTATGGCTTTTTTTTTTTGTCCTTTAGCCAAACTATCTGTCATCAAGGGAGCTGATTCCTGATGAGCTGATTTAAAGCCAAGGTTTAGGAGGGTGGACTGAAAGGCAGATGAAGGAAAACAAGTAAACCTGTTAATGATCTGTACATATGGAGTTTTATAGCTTCCAAAATGTACCTAACGGTTTTCATTTTTGTGAGCCATAGTCTAAAGGATAATGGCAAAACCAACTTGGATGGCAAAAAATGAAGACTGTTTAAACCAAGTAGGTTTGGAAATGTCTCAAAATGCAAATTACTACTGTATTTGTTAATGAGGTTGCTATTTTTAAAGACACACAGTAATACATCCAATATTCTTCATAGCACAAGGTGACTTCTTTGCTATTGCTCCTTCTCTTCTTTATTTTTTCATTTTTATTACTTTCTTCCATGTACACATTTCATATCTTTTTTTCTTCTGGTAGGCTCTACTCAGATACTGTAATTGGGCTAGGAAGCACACATTAGGAAATGTACTTGGTTTTCCTAAGCTAATTATTTATAAAGAAGTTTCAGGGATCTTCCAGCTGGATTCTTGGAGGTCAGCACTATCCAAGTCATATTTGGAAAGTCTCAGGTAAATATTATTACAAGAGTAACATCAAAGATCACTTATCACAGATCACCATAACAAATATATTGATAATGAGAAAGTTTGAAATATTGTGAGAATTACCAAAATGTGACACAGAGACATGAAGTGAGCACATGCTGTTGGAAAATTGGTGCCAATAGACTGGCTTGACTCAGGGTTGCCACCAATCTTCAATTTGCAAAAAATCAATATCTGCAAAGCGCAATAAAGTGACGCACAATAATACAAGGTATCCCTCCACAGAAAAGAATATGCCTTATTACCTTGTATTACTAAAAGATTGGGAGCAGCCCAATAGAACATTGGTTAAATAGATTTTGGTATATGTATACTATTGAATATTATATGGCTGTATGAAAGGAAGAGGGAGCTCTTCAATACTGATATGAAAAGATGTCCAGGATATACTGTTAAATGAGAAAAGCAAGGTTTATAAGAGTTTGTATAATGTGCAGTCTTGTTTAAAAGAAGGATACGAAGGAATCAAAGAAGAACAATTATATACTTATATATTTGTATTTGTTCTTATTAATGCACAGAAAACCTTTGGAAGGAGAAAAGCTAATTGAGAACCCAAACCATCCACCTCTATTCTCAGCCAAGACACTAAGAACAGAAACCACACATTACGGTTTAAACTAAAATAACTTTGCTTTTCCACTATCTCCATTACCATTTTGTTACCCTGATGGGAATTTCCTTCCCAAATTATTCATTATAGGTACTTCCAAAAGACTAACCTACTCATGTTTTTCCCCTAAGATTATTGAATCCTTGGTCTCAAAATCCTCACTTTGGTGATTCCACCCATCCTGGGCTGTTGTATTGTGATTCTTACTTGGTCTAGTCAAGTCTCTACATTGAAAGACTTACCTTAAACCACACTTCCAATACTGAATAAGTTTTTACTTCACCTTATG
This sequence comes from Homo sapiens, assembly GCF_000001405.40. Taxonomy (NCBI): domain Eukaryota; kingdom Metazoa; phylum Chordata; class Mammalia; order Primates; family Hominidae; genus Homo; species Homo sapiens. The sequence goes on from NC_000005.10 coordinate 113,796,556, forward strand.
CCCTCTGAGACACTACAAAGCTTTGCAATGTGTTCTCTCCTGCTGCAGTAAGCAATTAACTTAGCTTCATCTTTTCAACAGATTTTGTTGGTGATATTTGGGGAAATAGCTTTTGATATAATTTAAAGTAGGTACTTGTTTGAGGTGGGTATATTGTGTAAGGAAACTGGACAGATGGTGGTGGGAGAGTGGAGAAAAGACAGTTTGTCTTACCTTTTTATTTTTCTTCACTGAAAATTTTTATACTGCTGAATCATGTGAATACATTATCTATTAAAAATTAAATGAAATAAAAGTTAATATTATTTTGCATAAATACAAGTATAAGAGAAAATTAGGGATTAATTTTTAAATCACTAACCTTTTTTTCAATGGTATGATTCTATTACAGTTTATATTATCTAGTAAGAAAATGACTTCCAAAATTGTTGCAACATTTCAGAGGGCTGTACATTTATATTCCTGTTGTAAGGAGATGGCTTTCAAACTCCCAGCGCATGGATTCACAGGTGTTTCTAATGCTGATTTCAATTAACATTTGTCAGAGCTAAAAATATGAATTTTATCTAGAGCCCAGCTCTGTTTTGTCAATATCATTTTCAACATTGTGACTTTTTAGCATAGACTCATGGTTTTAATAGGAAAACCAATTACTTTTAAAACTATTCTGCTCCTGCCCTTTAACATGATTTCTATCAAGAGTGTCGTATTTTTGGAAGATTATAATGATTATTGGGATTTGTGACTGTCAGAAGAATCTAGGGTGTCTCAGAGAGAATTGTGGGTAACTTGAGAGGACTCTGAGGATGTTCTCAGAGCCTCAGCTGACTGGAGCTTCGAAGTCTATTGTTGTATTAGTTTAAAAGTTAGAGTAACATTAAAAAATGGCAAAAAGAAAAGGAAACAAATTTGTAAAAGCAGGGAGAATGAATATCATAACTGACTTTGGCAGGTTTTTTTAAAAATAGGATTAGAGCCTGTTTTACCTTTTTATTTTTCTTTAAATCATGTTTGGAGGGAAAGGGCTTAGAAAACAAAAGAAAGAAGTGATACTGGGTGAGGGTATGCTAGGGTTAAGCAGGATGGAAAAGTAAACCTGAGCTTCCTTCTTTTTGTAATGTAAGGGCTAAAAGAAGGAGAAATTAGACATAAATAATAGAACACAAGCCCTGTATTATTTATATGTTATTCTTAAGTATCCCTATCTTTTAGGAACATCCTTTTTACTTTATTAAATCTGACTGTAGAAAGAAATTATTAATTTTCAAAGCGTTGTAGCATAAATTTACATTTGCATAATAATACCATTTGTTTGAATGGCATTTACAATTTATCAAGTGCTCTGAAATACCTTCTTATCCCAGATACTCATTGCTCTCTATGTATGGCACATTGAACAAATAATATATTCTTTCTTTCTTTTAATGCCATTTTTTCTTTCATTTAATTAATATCATTTGACATTTACTTACATTTTTCAGATACAAGTAGTTATCATATTTCTTATCACTCAACATTAAATTCAATTATATATTCAAGAGAGTTTCTTAAAACTGGTTTCCATCTGTTAAACATACCCAGTTGGCTGCCTCGATTTAATTCTTTTCTTATGAGCCTTTCTTTTCACTCGGTCATTTTGTTTTTTCTTTGTACATTGACAAAAGCTGACATTTTTATACTGGCATATGGGGTTGAAAATTTTAAAGTGTGGGTATCAAATTTTTCTTTGTGGCTAGAGAAGTGGTTGGATTGAAATTCTATTTATCCTCCCGTTGATTGTGATGAAAAATTGGAATACTCTCTTTCTCTTTAGACAAAATAATGCCCGCTGTGTTTTGGGTCTGAGCCTGTCTGGAAGCCAGGTGAGGCAGCTGCCAGGAGAGCATTTGCATGAAGGGCTGAGGAGATGTCTGGGAGAGAACTCATCTAAGGGAAGGAAGAATTTGAGGACTGCCTAGAGGCTGTCCGTCAGCTCTGTTTCCTCTCCTGCCATTTGGACATATATCTGCTTCTTTGGTAAGAGTAGAGAGGTTGGTCAACGCTGAGAAGAACATGGCCACAGGTCACCATGTGGCTCTGCACCTCAGTGTACCTAGTGAGAAGTGATTGGAAGTGCCTTGTAGGCACCAGTGATTTTGCATAATTGATGTGGCACTGCCTGAGGGCCACTGTGGCAGTGAATAAAAGCAGAAACAGTATCGATGCGGTGCTAACAGGACCTAATCATGAGCTTTCTGAGAAGACTCCGTTGTGTCTCCCAGAAATAAATGTGGGAGACTTTGCAGGAAGCAGAGGTCCTGCATTGGCAGAGGAGAGCCTAGAGAGTAAAACACTAGTTAAGATGGATGTGTTGCTGCGAAAGGAACATTTTTTAGATGATGTCCACTTCTTAGGAAGGGATGTAGGTTGAGCTGATTTACATTGACCTGAAAATTAAAAAGGTTTCTGAACAGGAATCTCTTAACAACTGGATTTGGTGAATGAGACAGCCTAATCAACACTAGCTTTAGTGCCAGGCCACCACACTTTTAGCTGCTTATTGATCATTTCCAGTGAAGAGTTGTAGCTCATTCTCAGAGTGAGTTCAGTGGAAGTAGTAGTGACTTCCAGGTAGCTAGAGAAGAGTAATGTTTCTTAAGGAAATATTTTGAGGGAAATTCAATTTGTTAGACCTAGAGTGCTCACAGGGCTTTCCACTGAGCAGAACTCCAGTGAAGAATCATTAAGGATACTGAAGTAGAGGCAAGAGACACTGATTCAGACTAACTTTAGCAAGAATTGTACTGAAAATACTATTAAAATAGCTTATGAATGCTTAAAGAGGGAAAGAACATAGAGGTTTCTTTAAATGCAGACATCTTGCTTCACAACTGAAGTTCTCAACTTTTTTTTTTTTTTTTTTTTTTGAGAGGGAGTCTTGCTTTGTTGCCCAGGCTGGAGTGCAGTGGCACGATCTTGGCTCACTGCAACCTCCGCCTCCCGGGTTCACGCCATTCTCTTGCCTCAGCCTCCTGAGTAGCTGGGACTACAGGTGCCCACCACCATGCCCAGCTAATTTTTTGTATTTTTAGTAGAGACAGGGTTTCACCGTGTTAGCCAAGATGGTCTCGATCTCCTGGCCTCATGATCCGCCCATCTCGGCCTCCCAAAGTGCTAGGATTACAGGCGTGAACCACCACACCCAGCCCAAGTTCTCAACTATTAAAAGAAGGCACCCAACTTTCATATCCATGGGAAAAAAGTACCCAGAATTCCAACTATTTGATGAATAAATGAATAGCTGTTGATTTTTGAGGGTCTCTCCCAACTTTGTGAGATGCAAAATTGTAACAAGAGGGTTATCTTTGCTGACCTTCTTTGTATTATAAAGTTTCTCTTCCTCAGAAGCAAGGTTTTGTATTGACTGCTTTAGATATTTTTGTGCTTGAAGCTAGGATGACATCTAGCTTGAAGCTAGATAACAGTAAGATATATCTCAGTGCTGTGACTCTAGTATTTCCCTAGTAAAACGCAACTGTGCATTCCTGACCCCCAGCATCTAGACTCCTTCCATGCCAATAAAGAGCGGATTAGAATTTTGGTCAATTTTTGGTTCTTTTCTTCATGTCCTAAGATGACTGGGAAAAATCCCCAAATCTACTCCAACTTTATGTATTTACTAATTGAAAAGTAATAGACATATAGAAACTGAGAAACTATTGTCAAAATGCAAAATAAAAGGCTAGCCAAATATTTTCTTATGAACTCTTAGACTTTCTACTCTTAAGAAAACCCTTTTCCCCCTCATTCATTTATTCATTCCTTCAACAAATATTAATTGAGCATCTACTATGGGCCAGGAGCTATGCTGTTTGTGTGTCTATGGGAATATTTACAGCTAGAAACAAAGGAGACATGGTCCCTCCTCTCACAGAGCTTTGCACCTAGCAAGTGAGGCAGTCAATTCAGGACTTTGTAAGAAGGAGCTTAGCATGCTTTGGGAGCACAAGGCTAAGTCAACTTATCTCAACATGTCTAAAGCTAAACATTTCATCTTCCTCCCTATATTTGCACCTTCTGCTCTATTCTGTTATAACAATTTTATTTGTCGGTGGCACCATGTTAAAGCCGTCCTTGATTCCTCCTTCTTTTTCACCCAAATATCTCACTAGACATAACCATTTTTAAATTGATAAATTTGTTGACACTTTAGTCAACAAATATTTCATTCTGTATCTAAAATATTCTTCCTCGGAAACATTGCTGTATTATTTCCTGTCTATGAATAGTACCTAGCTTGATTGAGAGTTACTATGTGCCAGGCACTGGTATAAGGGTTCACTCCTTCCAACAGTGTATTATTTAATTGCCATGACAACACTTCGAGATAAGTGCTACAACTCTCCTCGTTTTAGAGATGAAGGAATTTAGCAAAGACAGAACTAGGGTTTGAAGCCAAATGGTCTGACTCTAGAATCCATGCTGTTACCTACTATGCAATACTGCCTTTCCTATGCCTTGTATATATCTGCTAAGACTTTTATTCAAAGACTGATGGCCTTATGCCGGGTGTCTCTGCCTCCAAGTTCTCCCATTATAATCTATTCTGTTCTTCATATAAGATTAATCTTCCCGAAGCCACAATTTAAAACCCTCTCTAGCTCTAAAATTCTCACAAGCATTTTAGCGTTTATGGAATAACATACAAATGATTTAATAAAAGGCTAAAATTTATAGAATACTTACTATATGCATGGATAACCACCTATAGTTATCTATGGGGATAATCTCATTTATCCAATACAACAACCCTGTTGTAGTAGGCCAACTGTGAGATGCCTCCCAGTAATCCCACTTTCCTGGTATTTATGCCCTTGTATAATTCCATCCCCTTGAGTGTGGTTTTGACTCACTGACTTGTATGTGATGAATAGAATACATCAGAAGTGTTGGGATGACACTGTTTTTTAACCTTTAGAGTGGGTGCATTTATTGAATGAAAAGTATACCTCACAGAAGTAGATTTGTAAAAAAGTGAAGTTGGCAATACTGTATTAATACTCAACTGCATTTTACCATTTGTCTTCCAGTTGTGTAAGTAAATCAGTCTCCTTTCTGTTAAACCAATTTTTATTGATTTTCTATTACTTGCTTCCAAAAACCTCATTACTAATATGTGAGATGACTACTTTCAAGAATAGATTGTAAATTTTGGCATTTTGGATAATTTGATATATAGCAATAGATATCTATCTATTACAACTATGTGTAATAGATACTAATACACCTATGAACTAGGGAGTGGACTCATCCCATTTTACAGATAGAGCAATTAAGGTAAGTTGAGTAATGTGTTCAAGATTACTTGGTGGCAGAGCTTGGCTTTGCCCTCAGGATTGTCTAAGCCAATTAACCTGTATTCTATAAAAACAACTCATATTTATTCAACCCTAGAGCTAGATTCTGTTTGGAGCACTTTATAGTATTAATTCATTCAATGCCTACAACAATCCTATAATGTATTCTTTCTGGATTGTTGGCCAGCCAAGATTTAGCCGCAACCTAGCTTTCTAGGTGAGTCTCCCCAAAACAGTTTGTTCCCAAAATATGCCTGGTGTTTTCCAACCCTTAAGCCTTTGGTCAAATACATCAACATTTTAAGATGCCTTCCCTATGTCTCTCTGCCGTCCCATTTTTCAAAATCCAGATCAGTTTTCAACTTCAAGGTAAAGTCTAGCCCAAATAATTTATTCTTATTCTGAATTTCATCAGTGATTATTTTCTGTACAATTTATTAGCAGCAAAACTTTGTCTTAGGTGAAGGTTTTGCTGTTGTTTGAATAGTAACTTAAGCATTTTATTCCAATATCTCTGTGTTTATGGCTTATCTCCCCAATGTGCTCTTAAATCCTTTAAGGTTATATGTGTCTTAATTTATCTGTTTATAGTGTATACTCAATAAATACTTATTGATTTGATTATGTATCATGATAATTAGTTATTTGGTACTGATTTTGAGTTCCAAATATGAGACACTACCTAAATACAATGCAATTACATTTTAATTTTAAAAGTAATTTTGAAGGCAGGTGCAGTGGTGCGCACTTGTAGTCCTAGCTACTCTGGAGGCCAAGGCAAGGGGATTGCTCGAGCCCAGGTTTGAGGTCAGCCTGGACAACATAGTGAGACCCCCCCATCTCTAAAATAATGAATAAATAAATAAATAAATAATTTTGATTATTTCTAGTATTAAAAGGCTCTGCCTTACAGTATTAAAGTACTGTTTATAAAGAAGTTAAGGGAATGACTTATACTTTTTTTGAATACTTTCCCATATTGTGTATGCAGGAATTTTCGCATTTCACAACTAAAAGTATTTTACCTTCCTGTTTGCCTTTCTTAATGTTAGCTTTTAAAAATACTGTTTTATTGTTTGCTCTTAAGCCTTTGTTCTTAAAATTTTACTCTCAGACATTTATTTTAAGGGGAATTGCAAGGGATATAGTATAGTGCTAAAACTTGTTATTTTGGAGTTAGAAAGACAGAGTTGAAATTCTTACTTTACCATTTTCGAGCTGTGTAGTCTCAGACAAGTTACCTAATGTCTTTGTGCCTTAGCTTCCCTGGTGTACAGTAGAGAAAATGATGCCCAACTCATAAAGCTGGTGGATTTACTAAATGAGGCAAAATATCTAAAGTATTTAGTAAAGTGTGTAACATGGAAAGCTCAAATATGTGATGGCAGATATAGGTATTATCCTTTTTCTCACCCTTTTGAACCAAAATAGTCTGTAAGACAATAACATTATGAGTAGTTTTGAAGATCAATTATTTTTATTATTTTTAATAGATAAATAATAATTATATGTATATTTGTGGTATAAAATGGGATGTTTTGATACATGTATACAATGCAAAATGATTAAGTTAAGCTAATTAACATAGTCATCACCTCACTTATTTTTTATGGTAAGACATTTGAAATTTACTCTCTTAGCAATTTAAAAATACACAGTATGTTATTCATAGCTATAGTCACAATGCTGTGAAATGGATCTCAAAAACTTTTACCTCTTGGGAACACTTATTCTATTTGATGGAAGAAAGTACTGTTCATTAAAAAAAAATCAAACTTATTCCTCCTAATCGAAACTTTGTATCCTTTGAATACATCTTCCCATTCCCTTCTCTTCAAGCACCAGCCTCTGGTAACCACCCTTCTACTCTCTATGGCTATGAGTTTGACTTTTTCAGATTCTACATATAAATAAGATCATGTGGTATTTGAAGACAAACTCCTCTTGAAATATCAAGGAACAGCCTCATTGAACTTTCCTCTTACAGGAGATTGTCTCCTTGTATTTGCTGAAGAATCACTAGAGCTGGGATGAGAGAGTGAGGAATGACCTTGATATGGTTTGGCTGTGTGCCCACCCAAATCTCATCTTGAATTGTAGCTCCCAGAATTCCCATGTTGTGAGAGGGACCTGGTGTGAGATAATTGAATCATACAAATCATCATTGTAGATAATCCCATATTGTTCTTGTGGTAGTGAAAAAGTCTCACGAGATCTGGTTGTTTTAGAGGGGTTTCCCTTTTCACTTGACTCTCATATTCTCTCTTGTTTGCCACCATGTAAGATGTGCCTTTCACCTTCTGCCATGATTGTGAGGCCTCCCCAGCCAAGTGGAATTGTGAATCCATTAAACCTCTTTTCTTTATAAGTTGCCCAGTCTTGGGTATGTCTTTATCGGCAGCTTGAAAATGGATGAATATGACCTACACCCAAGCCTTCCCTTCTACTTTCCTTCTCCAGTGGCTGCTGTCTCCTCTCCCAGGATTAAGGAATGGAGTTGCCAGCTCATCCTAGGGGAAGCCCTGCTACTGCAGGATATCCAGTAGCCTGAGCTGACTCATCCATTTCTGAAGCTGCCCATGGTTCCTTTCCAGAGCCACCTGGTGTGCAAAATCCACCTATGCACCATGGCATCCAGGCTGAGAGAAGGGCACTTCTCTATCACCGCACATGTGAGTAGAATTTGGTAGCATTCGTACAGAGCCGGTGAAAAACTCAGGACTATTGCAAAAAATTTGAGGGTATTAAAATATGCATCTGACAGTCCCCCCTGACTTTTCACTCCATCTCCCCCTCATGTACCCTAATAATTGTGAGACAGAAAACAGTCTCTGAAGTCATGGAACTAGAAATCTGACTGGGGGTTAGGAGAGATAAGGCGTATACCCATGAAAAGGGAAATAGCTTAACAAGCATTAAATAACAGTACTCTCTTTATTTAACAAGAAGAGCTTATAGTCTAGAAGGGAAGACAGGAAGAAAACAGGAGTTAAAGTAGAAAGGTTAAGTCTTTGGTAACAATTATGTAGGTATTTAGGTGATGACAATATCAGGGAAGTGACGTGACAGTACAGAATATGAGCTCAATAGGAAAGAGATCTATCATTACCTGTACTTCAGGAGAGAGCGCGACTGCTGTGGCTGTACTAGGCAGGGAAGGCTTGAGATAGGCCTTGCAGGATAAACACAGCTTATGTAGACCAAGGGGAGGATATCCCTCTGCTCACTGCTGATTCTCCAGCCTGACGTGTGAGGCAGAGCAGGCGCCAGCAGATGGAGGTAAGATGGTTTTCAGAGGAAGCCTGGAATGGAACTGAGGGAGCTGTTGGTAGAGCTGCACGCTAGGTCAGGAGGCCTGGTTTCAGTCTTGGACCTGATATTAACTACTCTGATGGTTTGTGTTAAGTCTCCTCACTTCTTTGGGTCTCTCTTTCTCATTTTAAAAATGAGCAGGTTGGGCTAAGTGATCCACAAATCCCTTTTCCGGGTCATATCTATGATTTTATTATTTCCTCACCTGGAGCATACAGATAATTCAATGAAGATTTAAAAGGCTTGTCAAAATTTGGAAAATATTATTTCTTTTCACTTCAGAGCAAGCAATGTGGGAGAATATAAAATAGCCTCTGAATTTTATTGTATTAGGTATTTCTTTGCACTAGGAAATTTGTATTTTAATGAATTGGAAATGTTTCACTGGCATTTCTTCCTACTCATTATGTATTTCAGAAGGGACATTTCTCCCCGACATATCACTTGGTCTTTTGTGGTTGTTTTTGTGTTCTAAGGAGCCAGTCATTAATTATGCTTCTCCACAGACTTGGAGAAATACCTCCAAGGATCTGCCACTTGGGTGGAATTTTCTCAATCTGGTCTACACCATGACAGAAACACTGTTCTTTAGACTTCTCAACTCAAGGACTTTCTTTCAGTTTTGAAAAGGTTATGTGTCATATGCCAGAGACTACTAAGGGCTGGAGATTGTCTTGGCTACTCATATGAAAATATATTGTAGTTGCAGTGGTGGAACTGAAATTATAGTTTTTGAATAAGAATAAATGCAGGAAGGAATTCTATCCTTTTATCAGAGCATTTTCCTTCAGGAGTATAAAAGACTATATCTACACAGAATCAAATAAAGTGAAGATTTGTCCATTATACAACTATTCTGATCTTTGTAGATAACCAGAATGCTGGAAGCCAAAATGTTGAAAATCTTTCATATGGTTTTATTACTGGAATATCCAGATGGGTTGCTTGCATTGATTAGATTCCATAGGAAATGAATAAAACTCTACTTCCTGTTTTGTATGATAATTATAAAGTGAGTGACGTGACTTCCTTCTCCAGTTCAGATGAACGTAGGATAACATTTTCTTTAAGTGTTAGTAAAAAGGCCATTTTTCCTTCTACCCAGGCTGTCTTTCACTTTCTCTTTTCCTGCAGTTCTGCAGGCTTGAGAATGGTGGTGCTACTGTCCCATTCTTGTTTTCCTGTTGAAAAAAGATTTAGGGCTTTCACTTCTCTGGATCATTAATAGCATTTACAGCAAGGTAAAGGAAGAAGAAAGCACCATTCAATACCATGAATCACGGAACAAGCTGATGACTTACGAAGGTCAGGGAAGGACCTGCCAGCATCTTTTCAATTCATGTGTGCAGGCATTCCACAGATTACTAAGTGCACTGTCACTTTTACAGGGAAGTGTCAGATATTAGCCTCAGCTAAGGAGGCAGAAGCTCATTGTAGCAGATTGATCTTTGGAGACAAATCTGTGCTTATCTAATTCATTTCAGAAAGCTCTCCAATATTCCAAAAAGCACAAATCAGGTCAAGGAAAATGTGAATTGACTCTGAAGGAAAAGCACAAAGAGAGTAGAGCTTTACAAGTGAAAGGAGTGGTGAGGTTTCTGTATCCCCAAAACATAGGAGTAAAGGAGCTTATGGGTGTTTTGTAGGCATAAGTGTAGAAGCATTACAGAGAGAGACTAAGAGCCCGTACCTATGCCTGCACAGGCCAAATGTGCCTCGGGTGGCCCTAAGCAGAAAACAAAGTTACCATTTCTCCCTTTTAAGGGCTTGCCATTGCATCATCAGTTGGGCCTGGCTCTCTTTCCTCCTCCTTTCTGAGGCTTGAGGGAGAGGAAAGTCCTTCCTGCCTGGGGCGCCCAGAGCTGTCACTTTGGCTCTGGTTCAGTGAAACCTGGCCATTGACAGGACAGATGGCTATGGCAGCAGCCCATCCCATCAGCCCTAGAAGCCCTGTTTCTATTCAGATCATGTTCTCAAGTGATCTTTAGCGGATCCATGCTTAAGCATAGAAACAGAAAGCTTTGGCCAGCTTCTAGTTCCCATTAGCTTGTCTCTGAGACACCATGCTTAGTTGTGTGTGTATCTGAATTGAGGCAGTCAGTGATGTACTAGGGCTGAAATAGTAATAATAATAACAATTCTGACAGCTTTGAAGGTAGACCCTCCTGCTCATTTTAAATCACAGGCGCTGTTCTCTGCTTAGCTCTATGGAGCAATAAAAAGAAAAAAATACAAAAAGGCAGGCTGGGGAGAAGTGTGTTGCTCCTGTGTGGGGGCGGGATCATCTGAGGAGTGTTTCCAGGGAACTCTGGCAGGAGGGTTCTTGTTCATGAAGGATTTCCCCGGCACTGCGCTGTGGCAGGATAACAGATGGGCTTCTCTGTATTACAGAAGGGAAAATACCTTTTGTCTTCGCCAATGCCCTTCACTGCAGGCAAGCAAATAGGAGGGCCTTGTAAGCACCACTTCTGCTCCTCGATGCAGCCTCTGTCATGAGCCATCAGATTTTTCTCTGTAAGAATAGAAAGTCTTTTCACAGTATTCTCCTCCTGAAAGCTGTCAGCCATGAAGAGTGCCATGTCCTTGTTTAGAGACGCAGCTTCTGGAATGCTTGAGTGAAAAGCCAAAGGCATTTCATTTCTGAGGTTGTCAAAAATATTCACAGTCTTCCTGCTTGTGCCGAGGATGCTGACCTCATTCTCTCCAGATTTGTACCATATGTGGAGACTGGAGACTCCAGGACATAGGATTACAGTTTGGAAAGGTCTCCCTTGTTGGAATGGACTCAGCACACTTAGGATAAAGCTTAAGGAAAACTCAGCCACTCATGCAATTTTGTAAAGGAGTCTGTACCTTTGCTTGCAATTTTATAATTGTCTTGATTTCTTTTATTTGTAACCTTACACACCATTTGCCAGAAAAATTCAATAAAACGGAACAACGAGGAATTCTTACTATGACTTGGTGAGTTTAGTTTCCCAATTTTAGAGGGGAGAAACTGAGACGCAGAAAAGCTTAAGTTCTCTGAAGAGGCCAAACCAAGAGCAATTGATTAGTCTATTTCAGAAAATGCAGAAGCTGCTTTGTTTTCCAGCACATTATGAACTTATGGGGAGCATGGGCCTGCCTTTGCCTTCATTTCCAGTGTACCTCTAGCTTGGTGGCAGGGTGGTGCCTTTCTCCCCACTTGTTGATGGCTCTTGATCTGTTCTCCTGAGTAGACTAGGGAGGAATTCAAGCTGAACCTGGTTATTTATAGTGCAGAATTTAGGCTTAGAAGTGTATAATATATACACAACTTCTGTAGCTGCTCTCTTTCTCTATGAGTTGATTATCCTTTTATACCTACCAGCCTTTCCTCCTCTGGATCTTTCTCCCCTTCCTGTTCTTTTTCTTCCTCTCCCTCCTGCTCTTTCTTTTATTGTCTTATTGTGGGAACAGGGGACTATTTACAATTCACCTATGGGCTTATAAACCGACAAATGACCTACTGCTGTTGTTATTTCTGAGATAGATGTTTTGGGGAATCTGGCCAAAAGATGCTAGGCTGGATACTTAAACTACCTAATCATGAGTCTTCAAACGTATGTGGAAAGTATTTGGTCTTGAAACAGGTGATAAAACAGTTTCCCAGTGTAATCCTTTGTTACTCATGATTTTATGTGTTTGTGCTTTTGTCAACATTGGGCAAAACATCTAATTATCTGTACTCTCCTATCCTGAATGCCACTTGGTGGCAAGGGTGCTCTCATTTTTGAATCCTCTCTGGTGTCTGGTAGACATATTGGTATTTCAGCTAATTTAATTTAATTCTTATAAAACATGTGTATGTATCAGAGAGCTGAGGGAAATGACTCATGTACAATTGGGAAGGGCAAAACCTTTCATTTATGGATTTCTAGCTGCTAAACTGTTGATTTAATATATTAATCTTTCCAGATACTTATAAACCAGATATAGAACTGAATCCAGGGAATAATTCCAAGATTCTGTTATTTCCAAAAAGCTGCCAGGAATATTTGGAGAACTTTTAAAAACACTTGGAAATTCATTAGCTTATGAAAGAAAATGTCCAGAAAAAATGTTTTATAAGGTTTTCGTTTAAATTTTATTGATTTTCATAAAGCTTAGATAGAAAAATAAATGTGTTTACTGCACAGATTTTTGCTGGGGACTGTGATAACAAAAAAAATGTTAGTTTTTTAAGAGGAACAAAACTAAGAATTAGTTTTCGTGAAATGTTGTCATTTGTTTGGAGTCTTTTGATGAAGTGGTGGACTTCTTTCTTTTTCCTAACCTCTCTAGTAGTCAAGATATTGAAGACTTTGAAGAGAGGCACAAACAATGATTCATAGCTGTTGTGATTTTATTATTATAATTTTTGTTTACTTAGCAGGAGATTTCTTTCTAGGAAGAGTTGTGTTGGTTGAGTGAATATGCTGATAAACTACTCTGACAAGAGTGTAAGACATCAAAAGCATGCTGAAGGACTGGCAGCTTTTTGTCAAATTAATGTTGAGAAGACAGGAGGTTTGGGTAACTACAGGGATTTGCTTTTGCTGACTAAAATTTGCAGACTTGGTGCCAGAACTGAGTTGCTTATGACAAAAGAGAGAATTTCGGAATAAAGGAGGGAAGGGTGATGAAGTGTTGAGTAACTACAGCAGAACTGAAGGAGGAGGAAAGCATTGTCTCATGGGGAGCTATTTTAAATAAAACTTGCTGCATGTTGTAAATTCTCTTTTTCCACCCCTCGTCTTCCCCTTCACCTCCTCTGTCTTCAATACAGTTTATATTACTCATAAATAAAATCAGTTTGTTTGGTTAGGGATGTGACAAAAGGCTGTGTGGCCTCAAGATGGGCTCATGAGCCCAGACTGCTTATGGGAGATGCGATGTATCTGAATATTGAAGGACATGAGTCTCCTCAATCCTCTCCCATCTGTTGAAGATCAGGAGAAAACACAAGTTTGATCTATTTAACGGACACATTGTTAGCTTGGACTCTCCAGAATACTCTTAATTTACTTAAACTTCTGCAGAGAAGATGTGGTAGGCTGGATAATGTCCGGCAAAGATATCAGATTCTAGCCCTTGGAGCCTAGAACTGTGGCCTTACATGAAAAAAGTGTCTTTGCAGCTGTGATTAACTTAAGGATCTTGGGGTGGGGGATTATCTTGGATTAACCAGGTGGGTCCTAAATGCTGTTGAATGTGTCCTTATAAAACAGAGCCAGAGAGAGAGATTACAGAGCCATAGAGAGAGACACAGATGAGAAGGTGATGTGAAGACAAGGCAGGGAGAGAGGCGAAGATGCTAGCCTTGAAGACTGAGGTGATGTAGCCATAAACCAAGCCTGCCAGCAGCCACCATAAGCTGGGAGAGGCAAGGACTGGATTCTCCCCTAGCGCCTCCGGAAGGAGCACAGATTTGCTGTTATTTTAATTTTGGCCCAGTGGTATTGATTTTGGACTTCTGGTCTCCAGAGCTGTGAGAGAATAAATATCTGCTGCTTAAAGCCACTGCATTTGTGGTAATTTGTTACCACAGCCAGACTTTTGTATTTTGATGGTTGGCTGGAGATTAGTGATTTTTGCAATTTTTAAAATATCTAAATGTTACACAACTCAGAATGGTGTCAATAATATTAATTACAAAGATTCAAACCTATACTATCTCACCAATTTGGTCTCTAAATTGATTGCAGATGGCTCTGTTCAGTTCAAATTTTTAGAAGAATAGATGTTAGTTGGAAGTGGCCCCCTTAGGGAAATGAAATGTGTGAAGGAAGTGGCAGGAGAAAAAGAATAAAGATTAACTGAAGGAGAATTTGAACTATACTACCTAGCTGTTTGATACTGAAAAACGGTAGTGGAAACCTGTTAACTCCATTGAAAATTAATCAATACTTGTTTCACTTGGGGTAAAGGTTCTCAGAATTCTTGGTGGGAAGAGCCATAACTACCAACCAGAACCTGCACTAGAGTGAATGCGTAGGCTGTAGTTCTCTTCCGTTCAGCTCAATATCACACTCACTGATTAAATACCTATGACATACTAGACGTTCTTCCAGGCACAGAGGATAAAAGATGGGTAACACAAGGTTCTATTTTTCAGAAATTCAAAAAAGAGTCACGTATTATGTCAATGTTAAGTTCTAAGTTTAGTGATTAAGGTGAAATAATATGAGGTAAAAATTACTCTTGAGAATTCCTGAGAGAGGTCTTATATTCAAAGTCAATACATCTTTCAATCCAATAGCATACCTTTTTCTTCCAGCATTGAATCAGGCAACTATTTCATTAGTTAAGCACGTGAATAAGTATTTGGTTTACATTTAGGGACCATGTTATAAACTGATGCTTTTTAACATTAAGGTCATCCCTGCTGAGATTTGCAGAAATGGAGACAGACTGAAAAAATAGAACAACCATGTATCTCATGTTCTGTTCACTTCTAGGGATCTACTCTGTGTGAATGATGGGTGGGACCTCCCTGCCACGTCTCTTATGATCTGTCTCTCCACTTTTTGTCAAGTATGTTGGGTGAATTTGAGTTAAGTGCTTTGTGATGAGACTACATTTATTGCCATTTTATTTGTGTATTCACTCAACATCTATAGACAGTTAGTAAGGTAGAACAGTAGGTATTGTTGAGAAAGTGGAAATGGATAGGATGTGAGTTCTGCTTTTAAGGAGATTACTGTTTAGTGGGGAGATAAGACATGTATGTATTTTAGTATATGACACATTGGAAGTTAAACATTGTCAACAGAATTCAGAAAAGGGAGATTATTTCTGGTGGGGGATGCAGGAAAGACTTCATAGGGGAAGTGGTATTCTAGTTGGATTTTATATAAAGGGTAGGAGTTGAAGTTGTAAATAATGATAGGAAATAACTTTCTATACAGAGATGAAGAGTAAGTAAAGCACCAATCACAGGTAATCTTCAGGTTTGTTTGGGTAATAACAGTTTAGAAAGAGAATAAGAAATGTCCACTTGTAGTCAAGGTAGATATCTTGGTTTGTTTGGACTGCTATAACAAAATACCATAGACTGAGTGGTTTATAAACAACAGCAATTATTTTTCTCACAGTGCTGGAGGCTAGGAAGTTCAAGATCAAGGCACTAGCAGATCAAGGTGCTAGCAGATTCAGTGTCTGGTGAGGGCTCACTTCCTGGTTCCTAGATGGTGACTTCCTACTGTGTCCTGGAACAAATCCCATTGACCAGGGCTCCACTCTCCTGAACTAATCACCTCCCTGTGGCCCTACTTCCTAATACCATCACCTTGGGAGTTAATATTTCAACATATAAGTTTTAGGGGACACAAATATTCAGTCTGTAGCAGTAAAGGACAAGGTTCACATTTCTGCCTGAAACAACAAATAAACATGACAAAATATCTAAAACAGTGATTATCAAGACAATGAACATCAGGCAGTGATGGAGAGTGATCCTTGAAGGACGAGAAACAAATGAGATTGTCTTCACAATTGTCTCAGCTCACTGCCTAGGAGAGTTTCTAGGCTGTAGTACGAAGAAATATACCCATGCTGAGCCTCACAGTCTCCCTAAGTTTAGGAGACAGAGCTGTGAGTTCAGGGAGGTTAAGAGGGGTAGAGTTCCCAGGGAAGTGCACTGGAATAGAGAGAATTGCACAGAGAAAAAACTGGAGCTCTGTAGAAATTATCCTAGGGTATACAACATAGTGCTGATCAGCACATGGTTGTGAGGAAAGAACCATCCTAAAGGACCAAAGGGAACAATAGTAAGGGCTCATGCTAGGCAGGCAATAGTGCCTATTTCCAACTGCCATGCTGGAAAACCTCATAAATCATGGAGCTTTGGGTCATTTTGCCCATAATAGGGCAAAATGAACTTCAGATCACATGTTGCTCTGGTTTGCCAAACAAAGTTTAATTTAGGAAAAGAATAAAAATGCTATGAGGAAACTTAACTACATCCCAGAATAAAGCTCAATAATATTTACAGAAATCCAAAAATGTTCAGCATCCAACAAAGTGAAGTTGACTCCTTGTCCTTTGTATTATCAGATGTGTCTCCTTCTTTCCTCTCCTCTGTCCAACTCAGAAAGGTTCTAGCTTAAAGGATCTGTGGGCACCTGCTCCAAGGAAGCCCCAGACTGATGTAAATAGCTTACTTTTAGAAATGGTGACATAGATGATTTCTGTTGTAGACACATTTCCTAGTTCATAAAACGGATTAACAGTCTCTTTATTTGTTCTTGGCTTCTACCACCATGCAGAATTTTATAAGAACTTGGCTCATGGAGGTGGTGTACTCTGATAATGATCCAGAAAGGAACATTTAATTTAGTAATTTATTGGTACTGGGGAAGAAAGATGCTCTGGTATAGCATTCTCATTTCCTTTTATTATTCCAATTTTACAAGCATGCAGA
Organism: Homo sapiens; assembly: GCF_000001405.40. Classification (NCBI taxonomy): domain Eukaryota; kingdom Metazoa; phylum Chordata; class Mammalia; order Primates; family Hominidae; genus Homo; species Homo sapiens. Next base: position 113,813,629 of record NC_000005.10, read on the forward strand.
CCATCTGTCTTCACAAGAAAAACTTAATGTAGAAGGCTGAACAATTATGAAGTAATGAAGATCTTGTAAAACAGCTATCAGTAAAGCACAAGAGAGGCAGCACTTGTAAAACTGGAATGAATATGAATCAGCAAAGCCTGCAGATGTGTGCTCTTCAATCCTAAGAATGCTGCTTAGCTAATTTATAGACTTCTTGGCAAAGTATTTTGAAAATATTATGGAAGAGAGAGCAGTTTGAGATATTTTTATATAGAATAGTTCTTGGCAGGTAGGCTCTGGTAAATCCAATTCCATTGATTGCGAAGACACTGGCAATTGACTATGAAGATGTTGAGATTAAAAAAAAGAGATAAGGAAGTATAGAACAGTGGTTAGAGCACAGATAACAAATAAATCCAAGCTGGTTTGAGTACTTGTACTGTTATTTGCTGTGTGATCTAGGCCAATTTATTTAATTTTGCTGAGCCTCAGTCTTCTCATCTGAAAAATGGAGACAATAGTCAGAATATTGTTGTTGTGAAGATTCAATGAGATATACTACACATAAAGCACTTATCCTGAGCCCTTTAATAAATGTTATCTAAGAATAATTATGAAAGGAAAAATCTTCAAGTCCACATTAATTGGTATTTTTGGATGGAATTAAAATAATAAAACATAAAGGGCTTCAATAGTGTCTCATGTAATTTCACTGACACTGCACAATCCAAATTTTCTTGGAACCTGTTACATGCACCATCATAAACAAACCAGAAGGGGTACGCTTGGAGAAAATGCTTTTCTTAAATCTTTTTTGCTTTGCTTTAAAATTTTTTCTTAAATTACATCCTAATGCTGGGTAGAGCAGGTGTATGGCCCATGCTGATAGCCTACTAGAGGTTTAGAAACTCTCAATGTTTCTTAGGGCTTTTCATCTAAGAGAAACATTTGGTTAAGACAGTGGTTCATCATGGGTGATGGACTGATTTTACAATTGTGATTCTAAGTCGGATCAAAACGATGAAAAAGTGATAACATGAAATTTAAACTGGACAAACAAACCTGGACTACTGCCACTACAAAGATTCATAATCTATGCTTTCATCAGAGATTACCGAAAAAAACAAATGGATTCAAGACTGGACATAAGGAGTAGCAGCCAGAGTATCAGATTTAAATGCCATGTGGCATGGAGGCATGTATGTTTTGCTTGGTTGGATCTCAATATGATTTTTGGAAGCTAGTGTAAAAACCCCTAAAAATAAGGCCAATTAAGTAATTGATGTGCCTGGTCATACTTTCTTTCCTGTGTAATATGAAATGACATAGGTGGAAGTTGAAGGAAGAAGATCCTTCCACATTTCCATATTTGTGATTTAAAAAAAAGTTCCAATGTGCTCACCTTAGAATGGAACTAAAAGTGACTACTTGGCACTTTGCTTCCAAAACTTTGCCTTGGCTGCAAAATGCTTCTGAGAAAAGCAATGAGACTATCTGGGGAATTAGAAAGGTTGCTTGAGAGAACCAATGAAAAGGATGATATATTTATAAGTTGCTAACAAAAGATTTATAACTTCTCAAAGTGAGGGGAAGACACAATTTATCACGCCAAGAACCAGAATGTAAGTATAGCATCCAAGAAGGAGTGTGGCTGAGGACAAGAGCCCTGGGAATGTATGAATTAGAGTAAGATGTGAACTTTTAGGTAACAGGACAGGTTTGGCCAGATGGGGTTTGTCAGCTATTTAGTGATCCAGAGATATTAGTTTTGTCAGAGAGAAGCAGGCAAAAGAGGAAGCTTGAGTTAACGTTCAGAGGCTGGGGTCAGAGAGATTTCAGGAGGGGAGGGCTGGGCGGTAGGTGATGCTGAGATAAAGAGCTACTCTGAAAGCAGAGGCGATTCATTCTCTGGGCCTGTTTATTACTTCCATCGATTGTGGAGGCTCTGAGCCCACTGATGTTAACTGGCTTATTTTTCTCTGCACCTAATAAGCCATCTGTGGTGAGATACTTTTAAGATCATGCAAATATTCTGCTCTTCATCAAAGTTTACTCCCCAAATGCAAATTAAGACTACCGTGAAATGTACTACTATGCACCCGTTAGAATGGCTAAAATTAAAAATACTAACAGTACCAAGAATGTAGAGCAACTAGAATTTCCATACATTACTGGGGAAATGTAAAATGGCATAGCCTCTTTGGAAAATATCTGGTGGTTTCTTATAAAGTTAAATATGCACTTCCCATATGACCTAGGAATTTACTCTTAGTTATTTACCCAAGATAAATGAGAGCGGACGACTTTCATTTCTGATACGAAGACTTGTGCACAAATGTACCTGGCAGCTTTAGTCATAATAGATTCAGACTGGAAACAACCCAAATGTCCATCAACAGGTGAGGATTTATGGTATACCCACGTCATGGAATATGACTCAGTAATAAAAAGGAACAATGTTCTGATACAACAGAATGGATGAGTATCAAATATGTTCTGCTCTGTTAGAGAAGCCAGACACAAAAGAATATATACTGTATGATTCCACTGATGTGAAATTCTAGAAAAAATAAAGCTAATATCTGGAGACAGAAAGCAGATCAGTGGCTGCCTGAGACTCAAGGTGGGGCTGGGGATTGGGGGAGTTGTTGACTGCAAAGCGGCAGGTGGGAATTTTTAGAGTAATGGAAATGTTTTAGGCCTTGATTTTAGTGATGGCTGCACAGGTGTATAAATTTGTCAAAACTCATCAAACTGTACACATTATGGTTCCATTTTATCATTTTTTGCCTCTATAAAGTTGGTAATTTCCTCCCTTTAGTTAGCATCCATTTATGATTCTTCCCTGAATGGCTATTTATAATTCCACAAGCTTCTACATAGGATTAGCAAGGCAGTTTGGCCAAGGGTATTTGAATACTACAATGTGTTTCTCAGAGATTTTCTTTTTGTTATTAAAAACAAACATCAGAGCTGGATGGGGGGGCTCATGCCTGTAATTGCAGCACTTTGGGAGGCTAAGGCAGTAGGATTGCTTGAGTCCAGGAGTTTGAGGTTACAGTTAGCTATGATTGCACCATTGCACTCCAGCCTGGGCAACAGATTTAGACCCTTTCTCAAAAGGAAAGGAAAGGGAAGTGAAGGGGAGGAGAGGGGAGGGGAGGGGAGGAGAGGGGAGGGGAGGGGAGGGGAGGTAAGGAACAAACATCAATGAGTTAAATTTATGGTATTACAGATGTTTAATCAGAATCCAGTGAATTGTGGCTTGGCTGGAAGATCTTCAGGCAAGACCCTATCAGAACTCAATAATGAGACAAAGATGAATTTTCCTAACATTTTAGTGCATTTATTACCCTATAGAGGCAAGAGGATGGCTGGTTTCTACAACAGAAAATAGATGAACCCCAACACATGGGGAGTCATTTAATACTAAACTAAAAGAATCCTGCAGAATATACTACAGGAAACATTGCTGGGAGATGAGGAGGGCTTCTCCAGCTCTACTTTTTATTATTGAATAAGAGGAAGACAGGGATGCCCATTAAATAATTGGAATGGCTGTCTCAGCTTGCATTTCCATTGTGAAATCAAATTTACAGAATGGAAACTTCATATAGTATTTTCTATGACTCATGCAACAACCACACTGAACACATTTTAATAGAAACTCATCATGATAATACTATTTTTTCTCTTTTTCTTTGCATTTCCCCAATTCTTATTTTTAATTTTGCAAGACAATGGATTTTACTGGTTTTGTAAAAAGGATATAAACTTTATAAGAAGTTTAAATAGTAAAGAAAAGGAAAGGAAATGGAATCACTCAAAGACTGTTCAGTTGCAAATAATGTTCTTAATATTTGGTGAACTTTATTCTAGAAGTATTTTAACAGGTATATTTAGAAAGGATAGATATACATTATTTATTTATTTATTATTTTTCTTTTTGAGACAAGATCTCACTCTGTCACCCAGGCTGGTGCAGTGGCGTGATCACGGCTCACTGCAGCCTCAACTTCCTGGGCTCAAGCAATCCTCCCACCTTAGCCTTCTGAGTAGCTGGGACTACAGGTGTGCACCACCATGCCTGGCTGATTTTTGTAATTTTTCTAGAGATAGGGTTTTACCATGTTGCCCAGACTGGTCTTGAACTCCTGACCTCAAGCAATCTGCCCATCTCGGCCTCCCAAAGTGCTGGGATTACAGGTATGAGCCACTGCGCCCTGCAGTTAGATAGAAATAATTTAGAAAATTGAGATCACGTGATACATGCTAGTTTATTTTTTATTTTTTTGCATGAAATCTAAATACTGTACAAGATACATGTCAGTTTAGGTCAAATATACCAAATAAAAGTTTTCTTGAGTTCACTTGACTTTACAAAAGAGATACTAAATTTAAACTGAAGGAATTGCAGAAATCCAGTAAATATTTTTTATACTGTAAGAGATCTTTTTTCCTGAGAGATCAGCTACAGTTAAGAAAAAAGATATAGAAAAATTACGATGTGAATGCGTGTGCCTGCCTATGTGTGTGTGTACATGCCTGTGGTGTGTATGACGTTGTTTGCATGTGTGTCCATTTTGCATGTGTGTTTATGTGCCAGTGCACATCTGTTTTCCTTTGTGTGCATGTGCATGTGTGTATGCAGGCGTGTGTGCAGGTGTGATTATTTGTAAAAATGACTCTTTGGAGCTGGAATTTTAAAAAATTTACATAAATTGCCAATGTCTATCTTGCTAGAGGAAGTCTTGAGTCAAAGTTTATTTCCCTTGGAAATCTGTAGACATCATTAGAATTTCTTTCTGATGATTGCTTTGAAGAAATCTGGGAGTAATCTGATTTTTTTCACTTTATATGACTTTATTGATGTAAATGTCTGTATGGTTTTGAAGTATATTTTGTGCTTAGTAACTTCATCGATATATATTTCAATGTTGATCATTTAGTCTTTTCTACAGCATATGACATAAACTTTTGAGTTGCAGATTCTAATCTTTTTTGATTTTAGGAAAAATACTAACATATATTTGATGTGTCAGTATTGACTTTGGTAGATAGTCTTGGTTATATTACAGGAGTTTTCTCCTATACTGTTTTACATGAAATTTTTATTTAAAATGACTATAGGGTTTAATAAATTTTTTTCTTTAATTTCATAGTGTCTTATATTGATAAATTTCCTAAAGAAACTGTCTTTGCATTCCTCTAAGAAAATACTAGTTGGTCATACTGTATTATTATTTCTATATACTGGTGGATTTAATTTGTTAATACCTTGTTTTAAGTTTTTGTAACTATATTAATAAGTGAAATTTGCATATGTTAATCAATACTGGTAGTGACATTGTAATAACTTTAAAAATAACTGTCCCTTCTTGAAATAGAGACACAAAAAACCCCTCAAAAAATCAATGAATCCGGGAGCTGGTTTTATGAAACGATCAACAAAATTGATAGACCGCTAGCAAGACTAATAAAGAAGAAAAGAGAGAAGAATCAAATAGATGCAATAAAAAAATGACAAAGGGGATGTCACCACCGATCCCACAGAAATACAAACTACCATCAGAGAATACTATAAACACCTCTACGCAAATAAAGTAGAAAATCTAGAAAAAATGGATAAATTCCTTGACACATACACCCTCCCAAGACTGAACCAGGAAGAAGTTGAATCTCTGAATAGACCAATAACAGGCTCTGAAATTAAGGCAATAATTAAAAGCTTACCAACCAAAAAAAGTCCAGGACCAGATGGATTCACAGCCGAATTCTACCAGAGGTACAAGGAGGAACTGGTACCATTACTTCAGAAACTATCCCAATCAATAGAAAAAGAGGGAATCCTTCCTAACTCATTTTATGAGGCCAGCATCATCCTGATACCAAAGCCTGGCACAGACACAACAAAAAAGGAGAATTTTAAAGCAATATCCTTGATGAACATTGACGCAAAAATCCTCAATAAAATACTGGCAAACCGATTCTAGCAGCACATCAAAAGGCGTATCCACCATGACCAAGTGGACTTCATCCCTGGGATGCAAGTCTGGTTCAATATATGCAAATCAATAAATGTAATCCAACATATAAACAGAACCAAAGACAAAAACCACATGATTATCTCAATAGATGTAGAAAAAGCCTTTGACAAAATTCAACAACCCTTCATGCTAAAAACTCTCAATAAATTAGGCATTGATGAGATGTATCTCAAAATAATAAGAGCTATCTATGACAAACCCACAGCCAATATCATACTGAATGGGCAAAAACTGGAAGCATTCCCTTAGAAAACGGGCACAAGACAGGGATGCCCTCTCTCACCACTCCTATTCAACATAGTGTTGGAAGTTCTGGCCAGGGCAATCAGGCAGGAGAAGGAAATAAAGGGTATTCAATTAGGAAAAGAGGAAGTCAAATTGTCCCTATTTGCAGATGACATGATTGTATACCTAGAAAACCCCATCGTCTCAGCCCAAAATTTTCTCAAGCTGATAAGCAACTTCAGCAAAGTCTCAGGATACAAAATCAATGTGCAAAAATCACAAGCGTTCTTATACACCAATAACAGACAAACAGAGAGCCAAATCATGAGTGAAATCCCATTCACAATTGCTTCAAAGAGAATAAAATACCTAGGAATCCAACTTACAAGGGATGTGAAGGACCTCTTCAAGGAGAAATACAAACCACTGCTCAATGAATTAAAAGAGGATACAAACAAATGGAAGAACATTCCATGCTCATGGGTAGGAAGAATCAATATCGTGAAAATGGCCATACTGCCCAAAGTAATTTATAGATTCAATGCCATCCCCATCAAGCTACCAATGACTTTCTTCACAGAATTGGAAAGAACTACTTTAAAGTTCATATGGAACCAAAAAAGAGCCCACATCACCAACTCAATCCTAAGCCAAAAGAACAAAGCTGGAGGCATCACGCTACCTGACTTCAAACTATACTACAAGGCTACAGTAACCAAAACAGCATGGTACTGGTACCAACACAGAGATATAGACCAATGGAACAGAACAGAATCCTCAGAAATAATGCCGCATATCTACAACTATCTGATCTTTGACAAACCTGACAAAAATAAGCAATGGGGAAAAGATTCCCTATTTAATAAATGGTGCTGGGAAAACTGGCTAGCCATATGTAGAAAGCTGAAACTTGATCCCTTCCTTACATGTTATACAAAAATTAATTCACGATGGATTAAAGACTTAAATATTAGACCTAAAACCATAAAAACCCTAGAAGAAAACCTAGGCAATACCATTCAGGGCATAGGCATGGGCAAGGACTTCATGTCTAAAACACCAAAAGCAATGGCAACAAAAGCCAAAATTGACAAATGGGATCTCATTAAACTAAAGAGCTTCTGCACAGCAAAAGAAACTACCATCAGAGTGAACAGGCAACCTACAGAATGGGAGAAAATTTTTGCAACCTACTCATCTGACAAAGGGTTAATATCCAGAATCCACAATGAACTCAAACAAATTTACAAGAAAAAAACAAACAACCCCATCAAAAAGTGGGCAAAGGATATGAACAGACACTTCTTAAAAGAAGACATTTATGCAGCCAAAAAACACATGAAAAAATGCTCATCTTCACTGGCCATCAGACAAATGCAAATCAAAACCACAATGAGATACCATCTCACACCAGTTAGAATGGCAATCATTAAAAAGTCAGGAAACAATAGGTGCTGGAGAGGATGTGGAGAAATAGGAACACTTTTACACTGTTGGTGGGACTGTAAACTAGTTCAACCATTGTGGAAGTTGGTGTGGCGATTCCTCAGGGATCTAGAACTAGAAATACCATTTGACCCAGCCATCCCATTACTGGGTATATACCCAAAGGATTATAAATCATGCTGCTATAAAGACACATACACACGTATGTTTATTGTGGCACTATTCACAATAGCAAAGACTTGGAACCAACCTAAATGTCTAACAACGATAGACTGGATTAAGAAAATGTGGCACATATACACCATGGAATACTATGCAGCCATAAAAAATGATGAGTTCATGTCCTTTGTAGGGACATGGATGAAACTGGAAACCATCATTCTCAGCAAACTATCGCAAGGACAAAAAACCAAACACCATGTGTTCTCACTCATAGGTGGGAGTTGAACAATGAGAACACATGGACATAGGAAGGGGAACATCACACACCGGGGACTGTTGTGGGGTGGGGGGAGGGGGAAAGGATAGCATTAGGAGATATACCTAATGCTAAATGATGAGTTAATGGGTGCAGCACACCAACATGGCACATGTATACATATGTAACAAACCTGCACATTGTGCACATGTACCCTAAAACTTAAAGTATAATAATAATAAAATTTAAAAAAAAGAAACTATAAATACATGAAAAAAAATAACTGTCCCTTCTTTACTGTGGTCTGAAATTATTATACTAAAAGCTTAATTATTATAGAAATGATCTGTTTTGTAAAGTTTTAACATACCTACAAAGCCCATCCAGAAACCTATGTAGGACAAGTGTCTTTTTAATATTGTAGATTTTAAAAATTGCTTTTAAAATACCTAGTATGTTTATTGGTCCTTTCAGATTTTCCACCTTTTCTTGAACCAATATTGGCCCCTTATATTGTGCTAGAAATTCATCTATTTCTTCCAGCTTTCCAAAAAATATTGATATAGAATTGCAGATGATATTCTCTTAGAAGTCTTTTAATCTCTTCTATACTTTATGTCACCCTTTTCATACCTAATATTGCTACCTTTTGTTTTTCCCTTTTTGTTAATCAGGATTCCCAGGGTTGATCTATTTTACCTTCCTTTTTAGGAGCATGTTTTATTTATTTATCATTTCTATTTGTATTTTCTCTTTCATTAAGTTTAGATTTTGGCTTAATTTCCTCCTACTTCTTTGCTTTCTTTTTGCTTATGTTATTTCTCTAACTTCAATGTATTATTTTACATATTAAAATTATACCTATTTTTAATACATTTTTTCTTATCTATTCTAGTCTCTCACTTGAATAATAAACAGAAGTTATGATTATGTTAGATATGGTTTATGTGTAGCTTTTCTTTGTAATATTTTTACTTTTGTCTTTTTTTTTCAAATTCTACAGGCTAAATTTTCATCCACTCATCATAACTCATAATTTCTCATTTGAACACCTGAATAATCTCTTTTGTGAGCTTTTAAAAAAGAATTAGTAAGCTTTCTGTATTTTTTAAGGCTATACATAACTATTTGGATTCTTTTAGCATTTCTTTTTCCTCTTTCAGTACCCCTTCCCCTATTTCCCTTTTTCTATGGTGTTGAAATGGGTCTCTATAGGAACATTCTTCATTTCTCCAGGATGTTGTTCATATCCTTAGATCTCAGCAATTAATGACACATTCAGTAGCAGGGTGCTTGATGGCTGTAAACTTATCTTTGAGGAAATCTGTATCCCATTCTAGGGATGGATGGGAGAGGGGTTTGCCCACTCCCTTGTCTCACTCAAGACTGCATAGGATTTTGCTGGTAAATGTTGGAGTTTTTAGTGAGTGAGTCTGTGGTCTTTCCCACTGAACCTCTAGAGAGCAATGGAAAAAGCAATTGAATGAGCTTTCACTGTTTCCTTTCTAGTGGAAATGCTGAAAAGAAAGTATTTGTGGGGAGAAGGGAGAGAAGCTTGAGATCTGCCAACCAGTTCATCAGTCCTTGAATTACTGAGAAATCTGGATTCACTGCAGAATAAAAAGACAGACCATTTATACTGGAAGAAAATAACTTATTGGGATAGATTTTGTTATACTTTGAAGTCTCTGAAAGCTATGGCCCAATTTATATTTATATTTTTGTCAGTTAAATATTTCTTCATATGATCAAGGTTGTGTTTATTCATCTTTGGCATCTGGCTCATTGCTTCTGCTAGTGGAGATTTAGTGGGTGACTTGCGTGATCTGTTTCAACATAAATAACTAAAAGTCCATATTTGTTTCCAGAGGTAAACAAGTTGAATTCTTCAACTGAGTAGCCTTGAGTAGCCACCGAGCTGCAGCAAAGTGAACACATAGCTGATCCCTGAGACCAAGTGGGAGGGGGGTGGGTGTGCTATTGTCACTCGGCTCCAAATCCACTTGTCTATACTCTGCTTCCTAATGCTGGGGCTGTGATTCTGCAAAAACATGTTTCTCTTTTGCCTGCTAGTTTTCTGTTAGGTCTGCTGATAGGAGGTGCTAGAGAAAAGACTAGAAGGCTGGAGGAGGGCTGTTCAGTTTGTTTCCTGTTGCTAACAGCATGGTCCTAGCAATGCCCCTTCATCTTAGCAGTGCGGTTGGTTCAAGTCTCCAGCTTTTATTTTCACATTCTCAGAACCAGCCTCATTGCATCCCCTCAGATGTAGCAGCACCAGCCAGGGAGCACTGAGGTCTGAGTTGTAAGAAGTAAACTTGGCGTTATTCATACACACATGACATGTATTTTAAGTAAAGTTTATCACAGTTTGAGTTCAATAATTTATCTTACATGGAAGTAAGTAGAAAACTCTAAAACAAGAATTACTTTAGTAAATATTAACGGAAAAGGGGGAAAGAGGGTTGTGGGTTTCTGATATTAACATTCCTCTCTTTGGAAGTTGTTCAGCTGGTTGTGGAACACACACAATCAACCCAAGCTTTTAATACATTTGTTTGCTGATAGCTGCTAACAACTGTACTGTTAGATTTCTTGGGTGATATTTTATTATACTATGAAACAAATGCAACATTATAGCTGAAAATGAGTACAACATACAGAGTGAGAGGAAGAGGTGGATCTAGATTCAGAAACAAAATGCTCATACAGCTAAAAAAATGAACAGCATCAGTAATTCCACAGGCCAACCTCTAGGTGGGAAATACCTGAATGAGGCACTAAGGTCCTTTAGGACCGCAAATCCTTCCCAGGAAGCATCTGGATAGCAGGGCCTTGCCTTTGAAGATAAAGCACTGGCCATCCTGTAACCCACATCCACGATGCCAGTGAGAGATCAGCAGAGGCACATAAACCTCAGTCCCTCATGTGCTTGGGAATTTACATTATTACTGTTATTTAAAAAATAGTTTAAGCATTATTCTTTACAAATCAATTCTTTTTTACATCTTTCTTTATGTGTGAATACGGCAAGTCCACAAACTTGGACTTTGCCTAGTGCTTTTCCCTAATGACTGGGTACAGCTTATAATCACAGTGACGTTTGTCAGATGACAGCTTAAGGTTTTTATGTAACTGGTGCATCTTGTTCTTCAGTATCTAGACTACTGTTGTGTTGAAGTGTTGCAACTTCAAAATTCTTCAGTTTTGTACATCAACAAACATAAGTATACATATATGTTTATTTAATAACCATTTGATGACTTTTCCAATTACCTTCCTTTCTTAATACATTACTATAATCTCACTTTCCCATAGGACATGGTATTTGCAGGATTCTTTAGAATAATTTCAATTTTATTTCTTTGTAAATTAAACGTGGTGAAATTGACTATAAAATGTTCACTTTAACAAAAAACATCCAAATTCAATCTATGCCATCATAGAAAGGACCATTCTGTGTTAGTTTCTTGGATCAACTTGAAGAGTACAAACTGACTGCCATCATTTGGCTAACTGGGTTATTTGTGTGGCTTATTCAGTGGTGTCAGTATATCAGCTTATCTCTAGGTCTTGCTCCATTTCAGAGCCTGGGGAGTGATACCTCTGTTTCTGCATACTGACTCATCTAAGTAGCTCAGGCCATGTGATTACACTTGACATTTTTGGAAGATATATTTTGACTAATCCCTGCTTGTGGAGAATGTCTTGCTTATATGGATTTATTTGTCAACTAATGCAACAAATATGGTCAATTACTGCCATGTGCCAGGCACTAGGTGTGGTTCTGAACAGCAGTCAACACTATAGATAGAACTCCTGTGCCCATGGAGCTAATATTCTAGTGGAGAGGGATAAACGAGAAAGTAGTAAAAAGCATACTAAAAAGATGAATGATAATTGTAATACGTGCTTGGAAGGAAAATAGGGTCATGTGATAAAAACTGTGTGAGGGCAAGAAGTGGTCTGGGACATCTCTTTGAAGAGGTGTCATTTGAGCTGATGCCTGAAAATAAGGAATCAGTCATGCTGAAAACCCTGAAGGAAGAATGCTCTCATGTAGGCTGAAGAAAGAGCAAGCACTAAGGCACGGAGGCAGGATAGGAGCTTGGGATGCTCTGACAACAGGAAGTAGGATAGGAAGGTGGAGTAGAGGGAGAACAGTAAATCACAGTAAATAATAAATGTGAAGATTGTTTAGAAAGATATTGAATGTTATCTGTGGTAACCGTGAGGTGAGAGCAAAGATACCGTCGAGCGAATGAGGCAGGGAACAATCCTTTTCATCTTATGATATAGAGCTAATATTTCGTTATATAATTCCTTATGTAATTTCTCAGGGTGAATAGGATCAAAATTTTATTTTCTTAGACTTCAGTTCTATCAAATGAGAGAAGGTGAGAATAACTTGAAATGTGGTAATTTAATGTTCCAAAATAATGTTGGTAAAACTGACTTTATCTTCTTAATTTCAAAACAACAAAAATTGTTCTATGAATACATTGAGAAATAAATGCCATTGAATTGATGATATTAAATGATATTTGGGGATATTCTGGAATGGTGAAATGGTGAAAACTTGACGTGGCACTTACTTAGTAGCTGGGTGACCTTGGACTTTAATTCTTCAATTTAGGGGAAAAAGTCACTCATTCGTATAAATATGCACAATACCTTCTATGTGGATAACCATTTTTTAAAGGCCCTTAGTGGAAGTTATATATGTCACCTTATTTCATAACTCATGAATATATATATATATATAAGATGGAGAGAAATAGTCTCTCTGTATTTCAGGAGGAGGAATTAAAGGATTTAGTGTCTTATTGACTTAACCAAGTTAAAGACACTATGGTAGACATAGATCTTATTGTATCAGCCCAATCTTATCAAACTTCAGTTTTATCACTAAATTTTAACTTACTTAATTATTTTAATGTGTGCAGAGATTTAGCTGATAAAAAATCCAGGTGAGAAATTAAAATTTTTGCTTTGTTTTAACCTTGATAACAAAGTTTAAATAATGACACTAGATGATTGCTATTTCTGAGGTACTTACTTTACTCAAAAACTTAATATTTTCTTTCTTAACAGGATAATTAGATTTGTAGATATAAAATATGAGATATCCTTTAGTCTACTCAAGTTCAAGTTTTTCCGTTTCTAGTTGTTGTCTTATGGGAAACTTGGTTTCCCAGTATGGCAACACCTCTTTCTGAAGTCAATGAAATCAAATGGTAACTTGACCTCCTGTTGGCTTGTCCATTCTGCTGTTGGCCTTTAAGAAACATCCCCACTGGCACTGCATAGCCTTCAGTGCCAGAGCCTTGCCTTACTCTGCGTAGATCTCTCTCTGTCTATGCTATTCCTCTCAACTCCTTTGGCTTCCCAACTGTGGCTTGTTTTATGAATGCATTCATAGTTATTCAGTGCCCTGTTACCTTGACAGATGCTCCAGTCTGCCACGCAGCTATGACTTGGCTTTGCTTCTACCATACTGTTACCACCTGCCCCAGCTCTCATCCTTTTCTTTCCTCAGATCTAATGGTAATCTCATGGCGGCTTCCAGTGATTGGGTAAAGGGAGCAGGAATTCTCAGTACAGTAGCAAAGCTAGTCATTCATTCATTAAGTACTTATATGTTCTTACCATATATTAAACATTCTGGGTCATTTAATGGCACATAAAACAAATATAGTCTTTGCTCTCCGAGAGCCTGTAGATAATTGGGAAACCATAAATTGAACAAGCACACAAGTAACATATATCATTACAAAGTACATGGGTGGGTAGAGGAGAGGATTACTCCAGAAGGCATAGCACAGATAACAGCCCTGAAGTGGGGTAGAATAAGACTTGGCCTACAACAAGGACAGAGGCCAAGAAAGTGTGCAATGGTGAGCAGGGGAGAGAGAGCTGTGTTGTGCTATAGATTGTCCCCTGTATCCATTTCACCTCACTGTCAGTGAAGAAAACATGGAGTCTGTAAGCAAGGAGGTAGTGAAGAAGGGCCAAGTACCCTGTCCAATATAGTGTGGCATTCTTGGTGAGCCCTTACCTGTGGCCCTACCATGCTTTTGTTTTTTTCTGTGTGTATGTGAGGCTTAACACAAATCTCCTCCATGGGTATGTCTGGTTTGTTTTGTACCTCAAGCACCAGTTCCGTCTCTCCACTGCCTTGTTTACCAGCTTGATAGCCCATTCTCCAAGTGTTGCTCTATCAGCGCAACCCACTTTCTAGAATTTCTTGGCTATGGCCTTGTTTTTCTAGACTCCTCCCACATATTTGTGTCTTTCTTCTCTAGCTTGGCACCCTCATGAGCTGCCCTCAGAAGAGTATCACTCTCCCTCTAGATTGCTTCAAATGGCATTTTGATTTGTCAGGAGAACCCTGACACTAACCTGACTCCAACTTTCCTGACATGTTACAAAGATAAACTCTATCTATCTATCTATGTATCATCTATCTATCTATCTTTTTTTCTATACATCCAGCTATCTGTCTCCTACTGAGAACTTAGGCAGGTTACTTAACCTGTCTGGGCCTCAATTCTGCCATCTATAAAAAAGTGATAATTGTCATACCTCACAAAGCTTTTAGAAGTCAGAAAAAAACATGTTATCTATTTAGTATATTGAAGGTACATGATAGGCATTTATTAAGGTATTTTTTTAAGGACTGGTCATTTTATAGGTTGTGTTTTGATTCCTACTTTCTTTGCTCAACCTATTTTTTTAAATAAGATTTAGTTAAAATAAGATTTTTATTTGTATTTTTTAAACTTTTATTTTAGGCTCGGGATAAATGTGCAGATTTGTTATATAGGTAAATTGAGTGTCATGAGGGTTTAGTGTACAGATTATTTCATCATCCAAGTGATAAGCATACCACCTGATAGGTAGTTTTTAAATCCTCACTATCTTCCTTCCCTCCATCTTCGAGTAGGCCACAGTGTCTATTGTTCCCTTCTTTGTGTCCATGTGTGCCCAATGTTTAGCTCCCACTTATAGGTAAGAATATGTGGTATTTGGTTTTCTATTTCTGTGTTTGCTTGCTTAGGACAATGGCCTCTAACTCCATACATGTTGGAGTTTCAAAGGACATTATCTCATTCTTTTTTATGGCTGTGTAGTATTCCCTGGTGTATATGTACCATATTTTCTTTATCTAGTCTACCACTGATGGGCATTTAGATTGATTCCATGTCTTTGCTATTGTGAATAGTGCTGCAGTGAACATTTGTGTGCATGTGTCCTTATGGTAGAGTAATTTATATTCCTTTGGGTATATGCCCAATAATGGGATTGTTGGGTTGAATGGCAGTTCTGTTTCTCAAGTTTCTTGAGAAATTGCCAAACTGCTTTCCAGGATGGCTGAAGTAATTTACATTCTCACCAGCAGTGTATAAGTGTTACCTTTTTCTCTGCAACCTTACCAGCATCTGTTTTTTTTTTTTTGACTTTTTAATACTAGCCATTCTGACTGGTATGAGATGGCATCTCATTGTGATTTTTATTTGCATTTCTCTGATTAGTGATGTTGAGTATTCTTTCACGGTTTTTTGGCCACTTGTACATCTTCTTTTGAATAGTGTCTGTTCAGGTCCTTTGCTCACTTTTTAATGTGGTTGTTTTTTGCTTGTTAATTTGTTTAAGTTCCTTATAGATTCTTAGTATTAGACCTTTGATGAATACATAGTTTGCAAATATTTTCTTCCATTCTGTAGGTTGTTTGTTCACTCTGTTAATAGTTTCTTTTGCTGTGCAGAAGCTCTTTAGTTTAATTAGGTTCCATTTGTCAATTTTTTGTTTTGTTGTATTTGCTTTTGGTGTCTTTATCATGAAATCTTTGTCAGGTCCTATGTCTAGAATGGTATTTTCTAGGTTATCTTCCAGGGTTTTTATAGTTTAGGTTTACATTTAAGTCTTCAATCCATCTGGAGTTGAATTTTGTATATAGTGTAAGGAAAGGGTCTAGTTTCAATCTTCTGCATGTGGTTATCAGTTATCCCAGCACCATGGGGAGTCCTTTCCCCATTGCTTCTTTATGTCAACCTTGTCAAAGGTCAGATGTCAACCAGCTATTTTAAAAGCCATATTTCCTTACTATAATTTGTATGACTGCCTTATACATTCCTTGACGTAATCTGTTTGTATATAGACAATAATTTGTATTATTGTTTCATTCTTTTAAAGGACAATTTTATATGATATTGATTTAGACCTATTCTGGAAAGTATTTTGTGACAGCAAGTTGTAGTTCACTAAGCACTCCAGCATTAAAATTGAACTGTTGTTCTCTATAGTATTACCTAGAAGAATTACAGGATGTGGTCCAAAATAACTAAACAAAATATGATTTACATTATATGTAGGTATAATTGAGGACTTATGGTTTATTCTTCAACACATAAATAGTTTGCAAGTCATCAGTTCTACCTTCACAGCAAGAAAAAAGCTACACACTGAAAATCAAAACATCATGAGAAAATTGAGGTCTCAGGATAAACTGCTACTGGATAAATTGGAGAGACAGGCAAGTGAAGATTGCGATTGGTTTTGCTAAAGCATAAGTCGCTGGAGCCAGTAGCTGGTAGGAACACTTAAACAGCAGCTTCAAGGAACTGCTAGAGGCTGTGTGTAGAATAGCCTGAGAATTTAAAACTGCAGCTTGTGTGGGTTTGTACCTTAAGCAGTCCTACCAGGTTCTCATGGCGAAAATCAGAGAAAAAAACCCCTGTGTTTGGGCAGGGGGTGAGGAAAAATAATTATTTGGGGATAAACCCAGAGCATTCTCTATTAACAAAGGCCTATCCAGAAGGAGAATACGTTCAGCAGAGTCTTATTTGATGTGGGGGAAGAAAAATTACCCAAAGTAAAAGCACCAGAACACAGGCTCACCAAAGCCTGAGACCTAACCACAGGAGAATAGAACGCTTTTCCTCCCTACATACTTTACTATCACATCAACAGGGCTCCTGGATAATAATGAGATTACAGCTGAATGTACTGCAAAGCTCAGACTCTAGTTAAGAAGAAGTTTTTAGAGAAAGCCAAAGACAACAGTAACATCAAAAACAAGGACACTAGAGAAAATTTTAGCCTCTGACACCTACAGCTATAGCAAACATGAAACAGCCTAACTCCTAGCCTGATAAACATAACACCTCACACTGAAGATCTACCCACCTTAGCTCCTATTACCAGATACCTTATGTACAACTTTCAACAGAAAAACTACAAATTATACTAAAAGGCCAGAAAAATCACAACCTGAAGAGAAAAAGCAAGTACTGGAACTAGACTCAGCTATGGCAGAACTTTTGGAATCATCAGATCATAAATTTAAAATAACTGTAATTAATATGCTAAAGAATTTAATGGAAAAAATAAACAACATGCAAGAACAGATGAACAATAAACTAAGAATCAAAAGGAAATGCCAAAATAAAAAACACTGTGACAAAAATGAAGAATGCTTTTGATGGGCTCATGAGCAGACTGGACATTCTGAGGAAAGAATAAATGAGATTGAAAATAATTCAGTAGAAACTTCCCAAACTGAAAAACAAACAGAAAAAAGAATGAAAAAATATGCAGGCTATCCAAGAACTATGGGACAATTACAAAAGGTTTAGCATAGGCATCATAGGAACACCAGAGGAAAAGAAAATGAGAAAGGAACAGAAAAAATATTTGAAGTAGTAGTAGCTGCGGATTTTCTAAAATTAATGACAGAAACCAAACCATACAGTCAGGAAGCTCAAGGAACAAGAAGAAGGACAAATCCTTAAAAAATGAAATCTATATCTGGACATTTTATATTTAGGTTGCAGAAAACCAAAGACAAAGAGAAAATTTTGAATGAGCCCTAGCGTATATGCAGAGGAACCTTATCTTTAGAGGAGCAAAGATATGAATTACATCAGATTTCTCCTCAGAAACTATGCAATGAAAATCAGGGAATGAAATATTTAAAGTGTTGAAAGAAAAAGCTATCAACCTAGAATTTTGTATCTAGTGAAATTATTCTTCACATGTGAAGGAGAAATCGAGGCTTTCTTGGACAAAAACTGAGGAAATGTGTCAGTAGTATACATGCCTTGCAAGAAATATCTAAATAAATTTTTTTGAAAAAAAGAAAATGATATAAGTCAGAAATGTGGATCTCTATAAAGAAATGAAGAGTTTTAGAGAGGGAATAAATGAAGGTAAAATAAAATCTTTATTTTTCTTAATCATATCTGAGCTAGTAGATAACTGTCCAAAATAATTATAGCAATAATGTATTGGGTAGGTATAGCTGATGGGTAAGGGAAAGAATGACAGCCATGTTACAAGGGATTGGAGGATGGAATTGTGAATACTCTGTTATAAGGTACCACCCATGCAGTAATATTTGAAAGTGAACTTAGGTTAGTTGCAAAAAAAAAAGTGTATAATGCAAACTCTTGGGCAACCACTAGAACCAAACCAAGCCAAACAAAAAAGAAAGAAAAAGCAGTAAACATAATTCAGATGATTTAATTTTATTTGATACTCATACATGAAAAGTAGTTTTAAATTTAAGCTTGAGCCCTTATAAGAGTGAGTCTACATTGGGCTGTGGGAATATGAGGCACCCAGCTTTGGAGGGCTGGGGTCTTGTCTGCACAATTCTCTTAGTGTGCTGTGCTGATGTCACTTAACCCAGCTGGGCTGTGTTTCCTCATTCACCCATACGGACACAGCATTACCTGCTTCACAGTGCTGTTGTCTGGCTTAAGTGAAATAACAGATATTTAAGGGTTTTGGAATTCTAGTACTCATTTCAATTCCCTTTTTCATTTTATAACCTTTTTTTAAAAAAAACCATTTTTTCAGGCAATGGAAAAACCTTAATAAATAAGCACTAAACTTTATAAGTGTGCTAAGCAAATGTTAGTTTTTACCCTTAGAAAGCTAAATATGGAAGCAATTTTAATGGAAGAAATGGAATATTTTGTCTGGAGGGTTTTTGCCATCCTTTACTCCCTGAGTTTTAGGTTATAAATATTAAGGGTCCTGTGGTCTAATATGCTACTTGTTGGCTTTACTTTAAAAGTGTTGCTTCTCATTTCCTCATGAAATACGTGATGAGAGTTCAAATGGGATCTAAAATATGTATTCACTGAGATTTCAAAGGTAAATTCTTCACTTCTCAAAGTGAATCGGTAATAACTATACTAGTTGTTTGGTTTGGTTTTGTTTCAACTGTTAATGGAAATAAAATCTTCCAAAGAGTACGTGTTAGTCATAAACACATAGTCATCCTACCCCGTTAGAAATGTACTTTGTTTCTTGATTATGGTGATGATATCACAAAGACATTTGGCTCCTTGCAGAGGATTCAAATTTGCATTTCCAAGCACTGACTATAAGCAGAAGGGACATTCATTGAGAAGTTCACAGACTACACCTAGAAGGCAGTGCATTGAGAGGGTGAAGGAGGACATGGTATGGTAGGTAGGTTAAACTTGCTGCTTATCTAGTCAGTTTTAAAGTCAGAGCTCATGCTGCCCGAAGCCATTACATTACTTTCATCTCTGTCTTTTCAGTGAAGAAAATTAGGTAGGGAATGACCTGGAGCAGGGCAGAGCTGCTCTGCTGTTGCTATCAGATGTGAGCACACAGAGAACTGCCAAAGGAGGAAAGTCTAGAGATACCAGGAGATGATGCCAGGTACTTTAGTCATAGTGTCAATGAAGGAATTTGATATTATATAAAGGAAATGTGTATATAAAGCTGGCCCCACTCAACACCAGGGGGTATTAAGGTATACTGAGCGAAATATTGTGAAGAATTGGGGAAAGTCTATGGCCAATCTCATGGCTTTGAACTCTCACAGAGTTCAAAATGAGCACAGATATGGAGTTTGTGAGAGTGAAAAGAGAGGGAAGATTTTAAATAATTCTATTTTGTAATTTTAAAGTTAAGAAGCTGTTGATGTTATTTTTAACTACACAGACACCTCATTTTATAAAATGCTAGTGTGACTGAATTAAGTCCATGGTTTTTCATATGGTTTTGTTTTGTTTTGAGATGGAGTCTCACTCTGTCACCCAGGCTGGAGTACACTGGCATGATTTTGGCTCACTGCAAGCTCCACCTCCTGGGTTCACACCATTCTCCTGCCTCAGCCTCCCACGTAGCTGGGACTACAGGCACCTGCCACCACACCTGGCTAATATTTTGTATTTTTAGTAGAGACAGGGTTCCACTGTGTTAGCTAGGGTGGCCTCCATATCCTGACCTCGTGATCCACCCGCCTCGGCCTCCCAAAGTGCTGGGATTACAGGTGTGAGCCACCGTGCCCAGCCAAGTCCATGGTTTTTAATGTTCAATGACTTAAAGTTATAGGCATTGATTATAGGATAAACTAACAGCCAGAGTCAGGTACTTAGGAAATAATTATAAAGCCCTTTTTAGGATAGTTTCTAAAATCAGTGCATGGAAACATGGTGTTCATGGGATGCACTCAACTTTTTGTTAACAGAGAAAGCATCCCATGTCATAAATGCAGATCTAAATGCTGGAGCATGGTGTAGTTAAAACTCTGCCCAAGGGCTGCAGGTCTGTAACGATTACAAAATCCTCTGGATCCACACCATGATCCTACATGCTAGCTTCCTGATAAGATAATCTCCACAGTTTTTAAAGCAGCCTCCCACACAACAGGAGAATTATCTGGACACAAGACGTAATCAGACTCAAGACATAGTCTCCTCTATTGACAATACATCAACTTCCAAGGTGCAGAGTTCTTCTCTAGGCTTCAATGACAAGATTCCTTTCTAGGGGCAAAGAGGAGTTCAAGGTCAGCTTATGTAGTTAGGCTCTTGTTGCTTCTTTACATCTGGATACTTGAAATATAAAATGGATTCAAGCAGCCAGTGGTGGGCAGCTGGTGCCTGTCCTCTTCCATGTGGTTTTCTCTTGGTGTGCTCTGATTCCGTGGGGAGGAGGGGGCAGCTTGCGCAGTGGCTTCTCTGGGGCTTTCCTTCTCACTCCTCCCAGGAAATCATAATACTTCTGTCAATTAAAGGTAGTTTCAAAACCTCCTTAAAACCTATTCTGCTATTTTTTTTTTTTTCACCAAGACCCGAATAACCTCAAGTTGTCAAGCTGGCCAATGATTTGTCATCCTCCTCTCATAATGTCTTCTTGCTTTCCTGTTTCTCCTCTTATTTTAATCTCTTGTCAAAACTCAGGTCTGCCAATCAATTCCTCTTGAACTTATTCTGTCAGTCAGCTTTCTTCTTTAGTCTGGATGAAATCTAATTTGTGTTTGAATGTACATCTTGTAGAACTTGTATTTTTATACCCTCCTCACTATTCTATTATAAACCAGATCTTGGAAAAGCCAATTATCTATACCTACTCAGTTTTCTATATACAGCCTAAATTAATATGAACCAATATGCTGAATCATAATTGTTTTAAAAAAAATGATGTATCAGTAGTTTGATGGAATATTTTCTTCCATCATGCCAGTTCAGGCTTCTAATGAAGGTTTGGAT
Source organism: Homo sapiens (assembly GCF_000001405.40). NCBI lineage: Eukaryota > Metazoa > Chordata > Mammalia > Primates > Hominidae > Homo > Homo sapiens. The sequence goes on from NC_000005.10 coordinate 113,835,279, forward strand.
TTATTTTTCCTGAACTGTAGTCTACAGCCTTAATTACAAGTGATTGCTGTATCATTTTCTTTCGCCTTGCTTGTGGCAGAGTGATGTTTGCTGTCTGCAGCAGTAAAATCACAGGGGAATTTTTCTCTGCTTTGAACAGCAGCAAGATTAGGAAAGGAACCCACATGCTTCCCATATTTCAGGAAAAAGGAAGAGGGACATTTTACCAGACCAAGTTTTTATATCAACATTGGTACAGTGTTCATTATAAAGAATTTTTGTAGTATTTTAAAGTTATTTTCTTTCTCAAATAATGTTAGAGAATATATCACGCACTCAGGAAGCTGCCCTCTGTCTTCTCTGGCTTTATGAGCTGTGTTGGTTGCTCAGCTGTTCCCAACAACAGGTGATCACTCTCAGGTGATTTTAACAACATTCCCTTGCATATAAAGTCTTCGGTGGCATGGGAAATTGGCAACTAAGAGACTATTTGTGGCTTAACCTTTCTGGTCATAGAGTGGAAAGAGCAAAAGACTGAGAAGGTAGGAAATGGAGTCTTTTATTACACCTGTCACTAAAAAACTGTGTGACCTTGGGCAAGGCATTCAGCTTTTTTTGAGCCACGGGTTTCATATCTGTAAGAGATTCAGAATTCTCTAGAATTCCAAAATTGTTATGACATTCATTAGAAAGGGTTGATTTTGTTCTTCAGATCGTGTACGGAGGATCTGTTGTTGAGTAGAGAACTTTAAAATGGCCTCATCTACTTTCCAATAGAAATGGCTTTCTAAATATATACTGCCCAAATTTTGGTGAACTCTTTCTCTGTGTCAGACTGCTCCATTCTTTAAATCTTATTGAGAATGAAATTTATTTCTTAATAAGTGCAATGTCTAAACAGTATTTAAATATTACCACATTGCTTTCAGCCTCTATCTCAAGTGGAGGGTTTCAATGCTCCCAGCCTGTAGCTCGGCCTCTACAGGCGATTTTCTGATTATGGATCCTGGTGGTCTCTTTTTATGATCTTTTCTGGGCATGAGAAGGCAGAATTGGTAGTTTAAAGTAGAAGTCTGTTTCCCTTCCCCTGCACTTAAACCCTTTAGGCAAACACCATCCAAGACAGCCTTTATTGACAAGCAAGGGAATTCACCTCTCTCAAAATAGAGTAAGGGGAAAAATACTCACTAGGGCAATAATTTCAAAATTTTTTTTCTCACATATTCAGTAAAAGAATTATAAACATTTATGTAACTCCTTTCCCACCAACATTTTTAAGTTGGTAACTCTTTTCTTTGATCTATTTATATAGTTGAAAAGAATTAGAATTTCTGGTGCACTGTAAATGTTACATTGCTCTCTTAAATCTTTTTAGTGAAATCTAAATGCCTTGGAGATTTGATACTCTTCTTACAAGATATATAAGAATTTTTCTTGTAAAGAAATTTTATATCACTCCATTTTTTTTCTCAGACTTGTGTTTTTATTTCATTTCCTTCAGAAAACTTTATCCCAATGTAATGTATTTTATGCTTTTATTGGTCACTCAACTACACGTCTCTGCAATAAAAATATTTATATAATATTAAATTGTTATTATAGTTTGCTCTTGCCATGATATTGTTTTTAAATGATTAAAAATACACTCTTCTGGACTGAGTTACTGTGATATTTGTCTCTACATAATTAATCAAAATAGAATATATGTTTAACAATTTTGATGAGTGACTTTAAACATAAAAGGTAAAATATTTTTAAGAAAATTTATCTCCTAATAAAATGAATGGGACCTTTTTGTTCAGTTAGTTTATGAATCCATAGACAAATACTGCTCATTACTAGAATAAAATAGGGCTATCACTTTTATTTATATTTTTATTTTCTCTATATAAGCCTCAAAATCCATGTTTTCATAAATAACTATGTAGGAATGAAAAGAGTTTTGTTATAGCAATGACACTGAATTTTTGAACTCCTAAATTATGAATCCAAATTACATAGTTATATATTATCAATAATCATTTTTAATAACATATCAGCTGATAACCTGGTTAGGTCCTCCTTCCACTTCGTTGAATTAAGGGAATGGAAAACCACCTAATTTCCCAGTGTTTTTGTTATTGAGCCTTTAGAGCTTTCCTCTCGGAGCTTCTGTTTCAGAGCTCTGGGGTCTCCAGGACTAAGTGATTATGATGCATTCTTTTAAATGTAAATTTGATCATATCACACACTTGACATCCTTAAGCTTCTCAGTGTCCCTTTAAAGTGTGTGCTCAGACCAACAGTTCTAGCTTCACCTGGGAACTTGTTAGAAATGCAAGTTATCAGCCAGGCGAGGTGGCTCACGCCTGTAATCCCAGCACTTTGGGAGGCTGAGCCGGGTGGATCACGAGGTCAGGAGTTTGAGACCACCCTGGCTAACATGGTGAAACCCCGTCTCATCTAAAAATACAAAAAATTAGCCGTGCATGGTGGCAGGCGCCTGTAGTCCCAGCTACTCGGGAGGCTGAGGCAGGAGAATGGCGCGAACCCGGGAGGCGGAGCTTGCAGGGAGCCGAAATCGCGCCACTGCACTCCAGCCCTGGCAACAGAGCGAGACTCCGTCTCAAAAAAAAAAAAAAAAAAAAAGAAATGCAAGTTATCATAAACAATGCTACAGTGAACATGGGAGTGCAGCTATCTCTTTGACATACCTATTTCAACTTCTTTAGATATATACCCAGAAGTGGGATTGCTGAATCACATAGTAGTTCTATTTTCAAATTTTTGAATAACTTCTGTACTGTTTTCCGTGGTAGCTGTACTAATTTGCATGCCCACCAACAGTGTACCAGAGTTTTTTTCTCTACATCCTTACCAACATTTGTTATCTTTTGTTTTTCTGATAAAAGCCATACTTACAGGTGGGAGGTAATATCTCATTATGATTTTAATTTGCATTTCCCTGATGACTAGTGATGATGATCATCTTTTCATATACCTGCTGGCCATTTGTTTGTCTTCTTTTGAGAAATGTCTATTCAAGTCCTTTACCTATTTTTAAATTGAATTATTTGTTTTCTTGCTATTGAGTTATTTGAGCTTCTTATATATTTTGGACATTAACTGTCTGTGGGATGTATGATTTGCAAATATTTTCTCCCATTCCATAGGTTGTCTCTTCATTCTGTTGATTATTTCCCTAGCTGTGCAGAAGCTTTGTAGTTTGATAAAATCTAATTTATCTATTTTTGATTCTGTTGCCTGTGCTTTTGGGGTCATATCCAAGAAATATTTGCCCAGCCCCATATCAAGAAGTTTTTCCACTATATTTTCTTCTAGTAGTTTTATAGTTTGAAGTTTAGATTTAAGTCTTTAATCCATCCATTTTGAGTTGATTATGGTATATGAGGTGAGATAAAGGCCCAATTTCATTTTTATGCATGCAGATACTTAGTTTTCCCAGTGCTATTTATTAAAGAGACTGTCCTTTTCCTATTGTGTGATCTTGGCACACTTGTTGAAGAACAGCTGACTATAAATGTGTAGATTCATTTCTGGGCCCTCTATTTTGTTCCATTGATCTATGTGTCTGTTTTTGTGCCAGTATCATGCTGTTTTTGTTACTATAGCTTTGTAGTATAGTTTGTAGTCAGGTTGTGTGATACATCCAGATTTGTTCTTTTTGCTCAAAATTGTTTTGGCTATTTGGGATGTTTTGTGGTTCCATAAGAATTTTAGGATTGTTTTTTCTATTTCTGTAAAAAATGTCATTGGAATTTTGATAGCAGTTACATTGAAGCTATAGATCACTTTGAGTAGTATTCACAATAGCCAAGATACGAAACCAAACTAAGTGTCCATTAACGAATGAACAAATAAAGAAAAAGTAGTATCTGTACATAATGGAATGTTATTCAGCCTTATAAAATAAGGAAATCCTGTCATTTGTGGCAACACAGATGAACCTGGAGGACTTACTAAAATAATCCAAACACAGAAAAACAAATACTGCATGATCTCACTTGTATGTAGAATGTAAAATAATTAAACTGATAGAAACCCAGAGTAGAATAGCAGTTACCAGCGGCTGGGGTGGGGAATGGGAAGATGTTGATCAAGGGCACAAAGTTTCAGTTAGAAAGACTAAGCTCTGGAGATCTAGTGTACAACATGGTGACTATAATTAATAATAATATATAGTATAATAGAATATTGCTAAGGGACTTGATTTTAAAAGTTCTCTTTACAAAAATGGTAAGTATGTGAGGTGTAGAATGTTAATTAGTTTGATTTAATCATTGCATAATGTATACATACATCAAAACATCACATTATACACCATAAATATATGAAATTTATTATTTAATCAATTAAAAAATAAATAACTAGAGATGAAAATTATTTAGCTCAACCCCAGGTTTATTAAATCAGAATGTCTGGGAGTGGGACCCAGCAATTTGTGTTTAATAAGCCCTCGAGGTGATTCTAATGCACAGGTATGCCTGAGAACCACTGACTTTCAAGATAGAGTTCAAACTTGGGAACCGGATATATAAGAATTTTCCCTGTCTGAATGTTGCCAGTCTCCCTATGAATGAATTCATTACTTTAGTCATACCAATAGAGTATCCACTCTCCAGTCTCTCTTTTACAACAATAAGATTTTAGGTTTGTTACAAAATTATGCAAAGTCAGACTTTTTCCATGTTATTACAGTTTATTATACCCACTCTTCTAGTGGTTTTCAAACTATATTAAGAGTCTTTTGGAAAAACTGATTTTAAATGCAAATTCCTGAAGCCAGCTCCCGAGATTCTGATTAAGTCTGGGTGAAGCTCAGAAATGTATTTTAAAAACAACCACAGCTGGTTTCTGACTGAAGGCAAAACCACCACTCAGAATCACCACTTAAAACCAATGAAGGGTGGAGAAAATTTAGCTCCTCTTTCTTGATGACCACGTTGGCACCTCTGTGAGTTAGTTTAAGAGACAACATCTGTGTATCACTCTCTCCTTACGTAGACAAAATACTAAGCCTAAAAAGACATCCTTCAGTATTCTAACAATCTGTGAAAATGCATGGTTATTCAAGAATATTGTCTGAACTTTATTTTATATGCATTATCTTAAAGCAACAGGGGAAAACATGAAAAATACATTAAATGTCAAGTAAGGTAACGTCTAGTTTAAATTTTTTTTAAAGGTAAAAAAGGTCTTTCTATTAAACTGTGTGAGAATTAAGTTTAGGTAATTAGAATTGGTTCTTAAAGTCAACACTGGCTTGTTTTGGAAAGAAATCAATGAGGTTGTGGTAAGGATTAAAGCTCTTTATTTTTATTTTTGGCATATACACTTGTCCCAGCATGCCTTCTCCACTGAATTACCCTCTAATCTCAGTCAAAACGAATTATTCATGTAGGTCTATTTCTGAACTCTGTTCAATTGATCTATGTGCCAAATGTTTCCCAATGCCAAACTATCTTGATTAATGTAGCTTTTTCACAATTCAGATAGTGTAAGTCCTTCAACTGTGTGTGTTTGTGTGTTTTATTTTTCCAAAATTGTTTTGGCTATTCTAAGTCCTTTACATTTTACATACATTTTGGAATCAACTTTTAAATATTCACAAAAACAGCTTCCTGGGACCTGGATTGAAACTTTGAATCCACAGATCCATTTGTGGAGAATTGACCACTACGCTGAATCTTTCAATTCATGAACATAATATCTCTCTCCATTTATTTAGGTCTTTAAAATTTCTTACAAAAATCTTTGCTTTTTGGTATAAAGTTTTCATATATTTTGTTAAATTGAATCTCAACTATTTCTTGTTTAGTTTTTAAAAATGATCTTGCTTGTATTATAACCAGTATTTAAAAATTTTCCATTTTAAATCAATTTTTGCTCATGTATAGAAATACTATTGATTTTTTGTATTGGTTTAGCATCTTGTGACTTTGCTAAACTCCCATAATAGATGGACGGAAAGTTTTTATAGACTTGTTGGTATTTTCTATATGTCTTTATTTTTTCTTGCCTTATTACATTGACTGGAACCTCTAATACAATGTTAAATAGAAATAGTAAAAGCAGACATCATCTTCTTCCTGCTCTTAGGGAAAGCATGTTCAGTCTTTCACCATTAATTATGTTATTAACTGTAGTTTTTAAAAGTCAGTCTTTATGAAATAGAGGCAGTTCCTTTCTATTCCTAGTTTGCTGAGAGATTTTTTTACCACAATGGGTATAAAATTTTGCCAAATACTTTTTCTGCATCTATTGAGAGGTTTCCATTGGTTTTACATTGCATATATATTTTATATTGGTGTTGATGATCTAGCAGCTTTGTTCTGGTAGGAGAAATCACTTTCTGATATGAAGGGAAATTTTAAAAACTGAGCTATCATTTATGATCTAAAAAAAGACCTTTGTGTTACATAGTATTTCTCTCTGATATGCTTCATGGCTTTGAATTATTATAATAAACAGGTCAATTCTTGAGTTTTTTCTTTTATTTATGCTAATGCTTCGCATTAGGAATCAATGAGATTGGCTTATCTAAATTTAGTACTGGCATTCTTCTAGGCAAAGTAATGAACGGTAGTCTTTCTTTGCAGGAAAGGAAAAGAGAATTTATCTTGATTGAGAATTCGCTGTTCTCAGGTAGTCTCTTTGCATACAGTGTATCATTTAAATTTGTTCATACAACATACCTGGTATCTAAGAGACATCATTCAGTTTTCAAATGAGGAGGCACACTAAGAAATGTACTTACTCATACAATGAATCAAATTTATGCATTTTTTTAATTTTAAAAACAATGTTAAAACATGACACATTATTTGACAAATGAAGAATTGAATCCCTTGTCATCTCAGCACTCTTATGCAGTCACTATTTTTAGAAACTGATGTTGATTTTTCTGTCTAAACATCTACAGTACCAATATGCAGAGCCATTTTTAAGTGCTTATATATAATTTTTTAATACTTACCATTTAATTAAGTGTGTGTAGGGAAGAAGTGTAGGTAAAACATCTGGTACAATATGCACCAATAAATGACAGCTATCATTATCATTATTATTGCCATTTTGTGTCTTGATCATAATATGGTCTTCTCAAGGATGTAGACAATGTTCTCTACATCTTTTGTAATCTCCAATAGTAGTCATTGCAATGCTGAACACAAGGAGGTAAGGGTTGTTTTTTTGTTTTTTGAGACAGAGTCTTGCTCTGTCTCCCAGGCTGGAGTGCAGTGGCACAATCTTGGCTCACTGTAACCTCAGCCTCCCAGGTTCAAGCGATTCTCCTGCTTCAGCCTCCCACCACAACCGGCTAATATTTTGTATTTTTTTTTAGTAGAGACGGGGTTTTACCATGTTGGCCAGGCTGGTCTTGAACTCCTGACCTCAAATGATCCTCCTGCCTCGGCCTCCTAAAGTGCTGGGATTACAGGCGTGAGCCACTGCTCCCAGCCTGAGGTAAGGGTTTTAAGAAATACTTTTTGGCTCATTGGCTGGTTGATGAACTAGCCCAGGACCTTTGTTTGGCAGAGCAGGAGCACTATCTGTCCAGGCTTGGCATGAAGGAGAAATGAGAAAGACTGAAATACTCTGGTGATGGCAACAAACAGAATTTTGGAGCACATAATATTGCCTCTTGCTTAGAATATTTAGTTGCAGGACAGAGGAAATGCCCAGTTACTTGTAGGAACAGAGCATTATAGTTTGTGGCTTAGTGCAGAATATTGGGTGCATAATATATTCTAAAGGTTTAATTGACAATTTAAAAACATTCTCCATTTTAAAAACATCATTTAGAGATAAAAGAGAAAAGTACTTGTTAAAAAATCAGTTATTCTAGATTGTTATATTCTTCTTTCCTTACCTTTTCCAAAGTATTGATTCATTTATTAGCACTTTTGCAAATAAATTTAAAATACATTTAGTTCTTCCATGATTTTAATGGCTCTGTAAAATTTCCATTAAGATCAATGATAAACTACATGATGGATATTAGGATCAGTAGTCCAAAAAACGATTAGGTTCAGGGTCTAAGTATATCATATTATATGTTATGCAACCTCTTTAACATTTTGATTTTGGTAAAACCGTGGTTAATGATAAATATTATAAACATTTTTACTGGATACCTTGCACTGGAGGGAAAATGAGCTTATATGGGTAATGCAGCAGGCTGCAGAATGTATGCAGACAGAGTCGTGGAAATTATTCTGTTTCTTGTTTTCAGAAAATTTATGACCTTATCTCTTGAGCTTTTTATATCAGCTGAAAGAGACACCTCTCTTCCCTATCCTCTAAATTATTGTTCTAGTCCAGGCTAACTACCCCATTTCACATTTTCTCAGCTCTGGATCCTTTAAAAATATGTAAATTATTCTTAGCCTGGTGTTATATTTAATTTTGTGGCTATTTCATAGTACTTCCTAAGTTACTAGGCACAGGTAATAATAACTACAACCATACTTAATTGAGCACCTATGCCAGGTTTGATGTTCAATGTTTAATTCATCTTAAAACGGTTTTCAAGTGAACTTATTCCCATTTTATAAATGAGGACACTGAGGCTGAGAGACTTTAAATAACTTCCTCAAGCCAAGTGGTAGATGAAGAATTTGAACCCAGGCTTTAATGTGGCTACTCTCATTCAAGTATATTCATTTGAGTATATTTCAGATGAGATCTTGATGGTTCTCTGTGTTCTTGTATGTTAAATTAAAGTTGAACAATATAATTTCCAAGATTTTTCCATGTCTTGATAATTTATAAATTTTATGAATTCTAAGATTAATCACAATCTTGCAAAGAAATATGATTTTTGGCATCCATACTCTTGATTTAGATACACTCCATCCAGGTGGGTTATCTTTAAAACAAAAAGGGCTTTACTCACATGTGAATATGTATATATGTGTACATACAAACATAGGTAGTTGTGATATCTTCTTTAGTGTTCAGTATTTACAAGCTTAATGAAGATTTTAGAAATTGTGAGGTATAAAAACCCCTAGAAATATGCCACTAACAGGTTTCTTTGAAAATATAGAAAATGTTTTGATTATTGTTTGGTAATTGACATTACAGAGATTAGGTATTTTTCCCAAGTGGTTGAACAAATAGATGTACTGTCATTAATGATTAGTTCTATTAACTGGATTGATAGTCTTTTCTAAGGGCCCACATTTAAATACTCTAATTAAAAAAAACTAATTTATTTCAACAAATCACTATTAAGTGAATCTCAAGTTGTCTAGAATTTGTGTTAAATAGAATCACGAACTGTTGAGTTTACTTTGGTGGAGGAAGGCAGTGTATCCTGGGAACTGAAGACCTTATTAATTTTGAGAAGTAGGTTGGTGAGCAAAGCCACATTTAATCTGGAATAACTTCTGTAGTCAATGAAACAGAAAATACAAATCCTGTTTCTGAGGAAAGTATATTCAGTGATGACTCAGACGAATGCTGGGGCCTGATAAGAGGGCTCCTTCAGGTTTTTAATTGAAATGTGACTACAACAAGGAGTTGACAGAAATCATCTCTGATTTCCAGATAAATGCACAAATCCAATGTCATTGAAAGGCGATAAGACAGATTTCCAGAATAGGGATTTGAAAAGTTCCTCCCATCCTGCTTATTCTGAAATAGGGCACCTCCAATGCAACCTCATTTATCTGACAACCGAATTTGTAATGGGTATCCGGGTGTCTTTGGCAGTAAAGTGGGATTATTTCCATTTCCTCAGACTTTTTAAAGCCCCTTTTCTCCCTGTAGCTATATAAATGCAAAGTAATAAGATAATAATATCAATAGCTAGTATAAGGGCTTTCATGTTAGTTACTAGAGCAGAACACTCACCTCTAAGGTTGTTTGGTTTCCTGATGTGCTAAGCAATGTGTCTTTCTAAGCAAGATCGTAATATTGACAATCATCTCATATTTACCCATAACGCCTCAGGGCAGATGTTGCACAGCATGATATGTGCATGGGGAAGGAAGTAGAATGGGTGTCCCTACTACTTCATTCCCCAGAAATCAAGCTTCTTAAATTTGATGCAAATCAGAACTAAATGTTTGTGTAGTATAATGTCACCTCCTCTCTTCAGTGTGGCTTAAACATTTGTTCCTCTTCTGATCAGTCATTGTATGCAGGCTGCCCCAGAAAGGAGCCCCAGGTGAGGAGCTCTTTCCAGCTGAAGCAATTTCTGGAGAGAGTTGATAGTTGGGAGTTGTGAGCTACAGTGCTTCCTCAGAGGTTCCCATCCTTCAGCCCTGTGCCTTTGAGGATCTGGGGAGCACACCCTAGCGTTCAGTTCCCCATGTGATGGTGGTGCTCCAGAGCCATTATTTGGGCTGAGCCTCGAGATGGGAGCAGTAGGTGACAAGGATTTATTTTTTTTCCTGCAATTTTACAAGAAAAATCTGGAGGGACTTATATATACTAATGTGTTTCAGTCCTATCTTGAGGTAAAATGGTAGAGCTGCTTTTCTATGTTTCCTGAATGTCTGATTGCATATTGTCCTTTTATGACTTATAAGTCTAACACTGATGTTTGTTTTAACCTAGGTTTACCTGTATGAATACCTTGAGAAAATACAGACATTTGTCTTGGACATCCCTCCATCCCCAGGGATATTCTGAGGCCTTTATGAAGATACTTGGAAGATCCTAGAACAATTTCTCATAGATTTATCATTAAGCCATCTGCAGCAGAAACTCCTAAAGGAGTTTGTTGATTCTCAGGACCACTTCATCACTAAAATATAATGAGTGGCGGACCAATAGATACAGTTTCTAGGCCAGAGAATTGGCATTTAACAGATTTTCTGGGTGAATCCTATATGCAATAAAGTTTAAAAATATCAGGCCTAGAGAGATAATTATGTTCTTCAGGTATTCCTGGCTGGGCACAGTGACTCATGCCTATAATCCCAGGACTGTGGAAGGCTGAGATGGGAGCATCACTTGAGCCCAGGAGTGCAAGCCTGCAGTGAGCAGTGATTGCCACTGCATTCCAGCCTGGATGACAACAACAAAAAAAGATATTCATGAAATATGCACAATTAATACTGATGAAAGTGTTTTAGTCTACCCTTTCCAAGGGCCTAGACAATTTTTCATAGATCATGCAAACTTGGCTTTTTATCACTGACTTCTTTTTAAGGGTTTAGTAAGTAATTGTTTAAGTAAGTGAAGATATTAATTAGATGGTTTTATCTAAAGCATTTTTGAAACTTTGCTATCTTGAGCAAACTTGTAGTAAAATCTCCATCTTTAATTATTGAAATATTTGTGGAGGTGAACTGGGAAAATATCAAAGAAAACACACAGCAAAAATAATTCTACACCCTCCATTAAAATTTTCCCACTTATAGGGTTTCAAATTTTGTAACTGTAGACTAGTGACATGTGTCTCATCAAGAGTATAATGGTATAATATTTTTTAAATTACTTATTGTAAATATGCCAGATTGCACATTAGAATTGCATTTAGACAGCTGATTCCTTAAGTCATAGTCTCTAGAGGATGAATATTGGAGATCACTGCTTTTATCCTTGTGGAAGTCAAAATAAAATGTAGAGATGAATTTATAAATGTAACATTTTATTTGGGAAGAAAAAAATTGCCATTTGGGGCATACACTCAGGCTGGGTGGTCTTTAGTATGTCTGAAAAACAAAGAGGAGTTTGGAAGTTTTATAAAAAAGAGAAATATTACCTACTGTTTTTCCAGAAAGTTCATTGGCCTTAGTGAAGTGTTGAGGAGGTGGCAAGCTCTGATTGATGAGTGATAGCAGTGGGTAAAACTAGTCTTACAGGTAACTGCAGGTAGTTTCAGAAGCCATTAGATGGACACAACTGGTTTCAGGTTACAGCAAACAGTTTTTTTTTTTTTTGCAAGGAGGCTTGCAGAGGATTACATTCTTGGAGCAATGTTACCTGCCTTGAGTGCTCTTCCCCCGGCTTCTCGACTGTGTTTCAGTTGGGTATGACAAGAGTGACCCGATTTCTATCATCAACTTTCACAGCCTCGTTCTACCTGATTTACAAGATTTTGTCACGGTTGAGGAGCCATTTTAGTTAATTCTACCAATATACAAAGTTCATATGAGAACCTTTTCTAACAATGCTGAAAAATGTATCAGGGAGTTGGGTTCAAGCACAAAGATGGAAAAGTGCATTTATATTAGCCCTTCCATCTCTGTCAGTTTAAAATATTTCCATTTGGCAAAGAGATGATACAGGAGATAGAATTAAATTATTTAGGCAGATAGTGAGGGCAAAAGAGTCCTTGGCAGAACTTCCCTTCTAATAAAAAGCAGCCCAAGAAATCACTTTTTTTCTAACAAAGAACAGCCTGGAAGATCAGGCTTCAAACATAGATGAAGAAGCTGGAAGCTTGCACGCAGGGGTATGCCGGCAGCTGCACAGATATAAAGGGCTACCCGGGGGCTACCCGGGGCTAGGCATGTTCACCATGGAGGCTCCACCTTCCCTTTTTTGTTAGCACATGCACAGTAGGAAAGAGATAAGCAACATGGAGTAGTTCAGGCAGAGGACCCACCTGCATAATAAAAGACTGGGGGGGGCGCTGTCAGAGATTCAGATCCTCTGCAGATGTCACATCTGGTTCTAACCGGTTTTTCGTGCCCTATGTAGATCAGGTTCCGCCTTCCCACTAGCTGTCTATAAAAACCCTTACATGTCACCGCAGATTGGCAACCCATTTTTCCGGGACCTCTCTCTGTGGCACAGAGCTATTCTCTTTCTTTCGCCTATTACATTTCTGCTCTAAACTTCACCCTTTGTGTGTGTCCACGTCCTTGACCTCCATGACTGTGAGACCCAGAACCTCGGCTGTCACCCCTGACAACGAGGCTGCTTCATAGATGACTTTAATTCATTGTAAGCTTCAAAAATGGAGCATTTTCTACAGTTGTCACCATGATTTATACCATATAAAATTATTATTATTGTTTATTGTGACCAGACCTTCATGTATGGTAGGTTTGTCTTCGTTAACGGTTAAGGAACACATTTTAGATGAGTATTTGTCAAAGTTGGGCCAGAAAGGCTTTCTTTTTAAGAAAGTAATATAGTGCTTCTGAACCTTGCATTCCCATGAATTACAGAATTCATACAAATCCACGATTAGGTGCCTTTCTTGAATGCCACCATTCATTTGCTAACCTCTTATCCTTTGTCTCTATTTGCCAATATAATATCTACTCTTGGAGTCACAGAGTCTTAACTGTCCAGCTAGTTGATTATGTTTTCACTGTATAGTTTGTAGGGAGTATAGGATTACATAGCACAATTTTTTCTTGTAGGGTTTTGGAAACCCACTCTATATTTGGAGCTGCTCTGGGAAAAATTAAATCAATTTCACAGCACTTATTAATGAAATTATCAAGATTTTATAAGCTTCATGATTTTGGTTGCTATACTTTTGCCATTTTATTGCTTGGCATTACTTAGTTACAAGGGAAGATAAAAATGTTGAAATTTAAACCAATTATGAATGCTGGTTTAAAAAAACATGAAAAGCACTTACAAGGGTGGATTTAACATCATGACAAATTTTCTGTATATTAAAACTTTTGTGTTATCTCTGCCATTGATTATTGTGGGTGGAGTGCTGGCTACAGTAACTATTCAAAATCTTTAAAATATTGTGGGATCTATAGATCCTACAACTTCTCAAGTTCCACAGTTTTAACTTTATGTGATTTCTCACCTTACAATAAATTATGAGGGAGCCCTTTGGAAATGCTTTTTACTTTATTTAAATATTTAATCGACAAATAAAAATTGTATATGTTTATGGAGTATAGCATGATTTTTGATACATGTGTACATTGTGGAATGGCTAAATCAATCTAATTAACATAGCCACTACCTCATATACTTTTTTGTGTGTATGAGAACATTTAAAATCTACTCTCTTGGCAATTTTCAAGTATATAACACATTGTTTTTTTAAAACCGCTGTTAAGTGTATATTTCAGCAGCATTCAGTACATTCCCATCATTGTTTAACCATCATCACTATCCAGACATTTTTCACCATACCATACTGAAACTCTACCCATTAAACAATAACTCCCCATTTCGATCTCCCCTGCAACCCCTAGTAATCTCTTCTATTTTGTTCTATGAATTTGACCGTCTAGGCATTTCAGATAAGTGAAATCATATAGTATTTGTTTTTTTGCTTCTTGCTATTTCACTTAGCATAAGTTTTCAAGGTTGATCCACATCGTAGCACAATAGGTGTACAATACGTTATTAACTGTAGTCACTATTGTATACTGTAGATCTCAACTTATTCCTCATAACTGAAATTTGACCAATACCTCCCCAATTCTTGCCACTTCCCCCAAGTCCCAGGTGCCCACTGTCCTACTCTCAGCTGCTAGAAGTTCAACTTTTTAAATTCCCCATATAAGAAAGATTATGTAGCCTTTGTCTTTCTGTGCATTTGATTTTGAGAATTCAATGAATATTCACTGTTATTTCCTTTGCCCTTTGCTGCTGTTGAATATGTTTACTGGCCTCCATTATTAAAATAGAATTTATAGTGCTTAAAAATTAATATGACTATTATGATTTTTCTTTCTTTGATATTTTCTGCATGTAGAATATGACTTAAATTTGAATGTTGAAGCATGCTGAATTGGTTAATCACTATGAACCTATTAACCCACTGATTCAACAAATACTTGTTGAGCACTTAATATTGTATGCTTTGGGTACTTTAGGTATGCAAAGATGAAATATTAAAGGATGCAATACAGTGTGCAAAGGCAGAATAATAATCCATGTTGGGAGAAGTTATACCCCAGGGAAAAGAAGAATTTCCATGGAGAATGCCTCCTGCAAAGGCACAAAAGATAATGTAAATCTAAAAAGCAAAAGATCAAATGTAATGTAACAGGTAACGGAAAGAGAGGAAAGGGGAGATGATGGTGCCAGAGAAACAAATTGAGGATAATAGCTACATCACTTACAAACTAAACAATTAATTAAGAATGTGGGCAGGGTGCAGTGGCTCACACCTGTAATCCCAACACTTTGGGAGGCTAAGGCAGGTGGATCAGCTGAGGTCAGGGGTTCAAGGCCAGCCTGGCCAACATGGTGAAACCTTCTCTACAAAAAATGCAAAAGTTAGCCAGGCATGATGGCAAGTGCCTGTAATCCCAGCTACTCGGGAGGCTGAGGTGGGAGAATTGCTTTAACACAGGAGGCGGAGGTTGCAGTGAGCCGAGATTGTACCACTGCACTCCAGTCTGGGCAACAGAGCAAAACTCCATTGCCAAAAAAAAAAATAAATAAAAAACAAAAACAAAACAAACAACAACAACAACAACAACAAAAAACAAACAGAAAACAGTATGCAAAAGAAGAGAACTGATGTAGCAGAAAACAGTCATTATCAGGGAGGCCAGCTTTGAAAAATTGTGTAGTATTATATTAGTCCATTTTCACATCGCTACAAAGAAATATCAGAGATGGGATTTTTATTTGTAAAAATAAGTTTAATTGTCTCATGGTTCTGCAGGCTGTACAGGAAATATGATGCTGGCATCTGCTAGGCTTCTGTGGAGGCCTCAGGAAACTTACAGTCATGGCAAAGAGGGAGCAGGCACGTATGTCACATAGCAAGAGCAAGAGAGTGAGGGGAGAGGTGCTACACACTTTAAAATGATCAGATATCACAAGAACTCATTCATTTTCGTGAAGACCAAGAAAAGATAGTGCTAAACCATTGATGAAAAATCTGCCCCCGTGATTGAGTCACCGTCCACCAGTCCCACCTCCAACATTTGGGACTACATTTCAATATGAGATTTGGGTGGGGATACACATCCTAACTATATCAAGTATTGAAAATGAAAAGAAACAAAAAAAAAAGTTGCGGAATGCTGCAATAACAATCTCACATACGAAAAACTGTTCCTGAATCAAATAACAGACCAAATGGAAAAACAAACACTCAAAGATGTATTTGAATAAATCTTTTCTGAAATGAAGGAAGACTTGTATTATTGTATTGAGGTTTTTAATTTAATTTAAAATTTATCAGCATAGACAATATGGAGTTATTTATGTACCTGTTGCCTGTCAGTGCCCCAATGAATGATGTATATAGTCCAGACGTTATGTCAGAAGGATCTCACTCCAGAGGCATCTATTGCCAGTGCTTCAGCTAATCACAACTTGATTAACACCTGGAACTTTTCTAATTAGCATATTGAATGTCAGAAAAAGGTTTTCATGGAGCACTTAGTAGTTAATTAGTTAACATGTGGAAGGTTAAAAATGGGCTCTCATTAGTGAAATTAAAAATATTCAAGGTATGTGGGATGGTTAAAATATTTTAAAACACTCTACACTTAGGTGAACAGCATATAAGACTCTAGCAAGTCCTGTATTCTCTACCTTTGAGGATAACACACAAAGCTTTATCTGTAAACATTCCGGTGTTCAGGTATTGAAAGAAGATTCCTCATTGCCTGATGATAACCATATGGATAAAAGGATCCCATCTCTCAAATATTGTACTATCTTCTTTAAGTAAATTGTCTATGTGTGATTGGGTCACCTAAAAGTACAGAGCACTGGGACTTCATGTACTTCAAAAGACTGAAATGCTGACTGAAATGTTTTATGCTGGCTTGTTATTTAAACACTGTAAGTGTGGCCTGAACCTTACCTTTGTTAAAATCTGGTAGTGAGGTTGTAGGGGAATAGCTAATTATTGCTCACTCCAAATATGTGGGAGGCTACTGTTATATATCAAAATAGGCTAAAAATTGTCATGACAAACTTGACTTAGACCAACACACAACAATTTAAAACTATAAATTAAAAAGTTATATTCTATTCCAGAAAAAAATGATCCAGGATGATCAGCTTCTGAATGTGTCCTAATGAAATTGCTGAGCTACAAGAATAAATAATTCCTTGGGAATCTTGGAAAAAAAATCCAGAAGGCAATATATGAGAATGGCAATAGTCATGAGAAGAAAAAATGAAAGCAATGTCTGCAGAATTAAAAAAAAAAATAGAAAGATACAATACTTTTATACATGGTATAATACTTTTTAGTACAATATTTTTTATACTCAGCCAAGTTGTCATTTATGTAGAAATGAAACAGAAAGACATTCTTGTATATGCTAAGAATTCAGGGAGTAGTTACCGTAAGACTGGGGGGCAAAAAGCTTTATGATTTTTCTGGTGATCTAGAGAGGTATCAAAATAAGAATTATCTCAGAAAATGGAAAACCATTGTAGAAAAGGGTTGGTATTGGATATCAAATTTATTTAAATTTATACCTAGTACTAAACATCAGTTATAATGGTAGCAGAAATTAGTTTAAGTGTCATAAATATTGAAAGAAAGACTGCACAATGGGTTCGGACAAATATACCTGAAGTTTTTAATAAAAGTAACGTGCAAAGGACAAATTAAGAGATAATTATATTAAATAGAAAGAAAAAATTATATGATGAATACTTCTTACATATGTATAAATTAAATATTACAGAAAAAGCTATAAAAACAAAGCAGGCAGAAGTAGTAGACAGGAAATTGATGGGCACTGAAGTTGATTCCATATTTTACCTGTTGTGAATAGTACTGCAGTAAAAACAAGAATGCAGGTGTCTCGTTGGTACATTGATTGCCTTTCTTTTGGGTATATAGCCAATAGTAGAATTGCAGGATCATATGGTAATTCTATTTTTAGTTTTCTGAGGAACTACCATTCTGTTTTCCATAGTAGCTGTACTAATTTTCTTTTTCTTAAGATTTTTTTTTTTTTGGCCACAATCTCAAAATAACTACATTGTGTTTTTCTGTGTGCCAACTCCTGTCTAAGAGCTTTGCAATTATTAACTTACTTATTTCTTGCTATAATTATTTGAGTTAGGTTGTTCTTATTTTCTTTTTTTTTTGGTTTGCTTTTAATGTTGAACTTTTTTTTATTATACTTTAAGTTTTAGGGTACATGTGCACAATGTGCAGGTTTGTTACATATGTATACCTGTGCCATGTTGGTGTGCTGCACCCATTAACTCGTCATTTAGCATTAGGTATATCTCCTAATATTATCCCTCCCCACTCCCCCCACCCCACAACAGGCCCCAGTGTGTGATGTTCCCCTTCCTGTGTCCATGTGTTCTCATTGTTCAATTCCCACCTATGAGTGAGAACATGCAGTGTTTGGTTTTTTGTCCTTGCGATAGTTTGCTGAGAATGATGGTTTCCAGCTTCATCCATGTCCCTACAAAGGACATGAACTCATCGTTTTTTGTGGCTGCATAGTATTCCATGGTGTATATGTGCCACATTTTCTTAATCCAGTCTATCATTGTTGGACATTTGGGTTGGTTCCAAGTCTTTGCTATTGTGAATAGTGCCACAATAAACATACGTGTGCATGTGTCTTTATAGCAGCATGATTTATAATCCTTTGGGTATATACCCAGTAATGGGATGACTGGGTCAAATGGTATTTCTAGTTCTAGATCCCTGAGGAATCACCACACCGACTTCCACAATGGTTGAACTAGTTTACAGTCCCACCAAAAGTGTAAAAGTGTTCCTGTTTCTCCACATCCTCTCCAGCACTTGTTGTTTCCTGACTTTTTAATGATCGCCATTCTAACTGGTGTGAGATGGTATCTCATTGTGGTTTTGATTTGCATTTCTCTGATGGCCAGTGATGATGAGCATTTTTTCATGTGTTTTTTGGCTGCATAAATGTCTTCTTTTGAGAAGTGTCTGTTCATATCCTTTGCCCACTTTTTGATGGGGTTGTTTGTTTTTTTCTTGTAAATTTGTTTGAGTTCATTGTAGATTCTGGATATTAGCCCTTTGTCAGATGAGTAGGTTGCAAAAATTTTCTCCCATTCTGTAGGTTGCCTGTTCACTCTGATGGTAGTTTCTTTTGCTGTGCAGAAGCTCTTTAGTTTAATTAGATTCCATTTGTGAATTTTGGCTTTTGTTGCCATTGCTTTTGGTGTTTTAGACATGAAGCCCTTGCCCATGCCTATGTCCTGAATGGTATTGCCTAGGTTTTCTTCTAGGGTTTTTATGGGTTTAGGTCTTATGTTTAAGTCTTTAAGCCATCTTGAATTAATTTTTGTATAAAGTGTAAGGAAGGGGTGCTTTCCTTGTATAAGGTGTAAGGAAGTTTCAGCTTTCTGCATATGGCTCCATGCGGAGTCTCACTCTTTCACCCAGGCTGGAGTGCAGTGGCACGATCTCGGCTCACTGCAACCCTACCTCCTGGGTTCAAGTGATTCTCCTGCCTCAGCCTCCCGAGTAGTTGGGATTACAGGCACCCACCACCATGCTGGCTAATTTTTTGTGTTTTTAGTAGAGATGGGGCTTCACCATGTTAGCCAGGATGGTCTTGATCTCCTGACCTCGTGATCTGCCCACCTTGGTCTCCCAAAGTGCTAAGATTACAGGCGTGAGCCACCACACCCGGCCTTAGCTGTACTAATTTCCATTCCCACCGTGTATGAGGGTTCCCCTGATGGGAGCAAGCCCCCCCGGAAATCTGGCCATAAACTGGCCCCAAAACTGGCCATAAAGAAAATCTCTGCAGCACTGTAACATGTTCATAATGGCCCTAACGCCCAAGCTGGAAGGTTGTGGGTTTACGGGAATGAGGGCAAGGAACACTTGGCCCGCCAAGGGCGGAAAACTGCTTAAAGGCATTCTTAAGCCACAAACAATAGCGTGAGCAATCTGTGCCTTAAGGACATGCTCCTGCTGCAGTTAACTAGCCCAACCTTTTCCTTTAATTTGGTCCATCCCTTTGTTTCCCATAAGGGATACTTTTAGTTAATCGAATATCTATAGAAACAGTGCTAATGACTGGTTTGCTGTTAATAAATATGTGGGTAAATCTCTGTTCGGGACTCTCAGCTCTGAAGGCTGTGAGACCCCTGATTTCCCACTTCACACCTCTATATTTCTGTGTGTGTGTCTTTAATTCCTCTAGTGCCGCTAGGTTAGGGTCTGCCCTACCAAGCTGGTCTCGGCATTACCCTTTCTCTACATCCTTACAGCAACCATTTTCTCTTTTCAATAAAAGCCATTTTAACAGGAGTAAAATGGTACCTCATTGTAGTTTTGATTTACATTTTTCCGATGATTCATGCTATTGAGCTTTTTTTCAAATACCTGTTGGCCATTTGTATGTCTTCTTTGGAGAAATGTTTATTCAGATATTTGTTCATTTTTCAATGGGATTAAAATTTTTTTTTTGCTATTGAGTTGTTTGAGCTCCTTATATATTCTGGTTATTAATCCCTTGTCACCTGAGTTGTTTGGAAATATTTTCTTCCATTCTGTGGGTTGTCTCTTCACTTTATTGATTGTTTCCTTTGCTGTGCAGAAGTTTTTTTAGTTTCATATTATCCAATTTGCCCATTTTTACTTTGGTTGTTTGTGCTTTTGAGGTCTTACTCAAGAAATCTTTGCCCAGGCCAATGTCCTGGAATATTTTTCCAATGTTTCCTTTTAGTAGTTTCATGGTTTCAGGGCTTACATTTAAGTCCATAATCTTTTTTGATTTGATTGTTGTATATGATGAGAGATGAAGTCTAGTTTCATCCTTCTGCATATGATTATCCAATTTTTCCAGCACCATTAATTGAAAAGACTACCCTTTACCCTATTGTATGTTCTTGGCAACTTTGCCAAAAATGACACTTGCACTGCAAATGCCTGGATTTATATCTGAGTTCTCTTTGCTGTTCCATTGGTCTATATGTCTGTTTATATGCCAGTACCATGCTGATTTGGTTACTATAATTTTGTGGTATGTTTTGAAGTCAGGTAATGTAATGCCTCCAGCTTTGTTCCTTTTGCTTAGGATCACTTTGACTGTCCAAGGTCTTTTGTGATTCCATTTAAATTTTAGAATTTTTTTTCTATTTCTGTGAAGTATGTCATTGGTATTTTGATAGAGATTGCGTGGAATCTATACTATAGATTGCTTTGGGTAGTATAGACAGTATAAAAATATTCTTACAATTCATGGGCATGGAGTACCCTCTCATTTTTTGTGTCTTCTTCAGGTTCTTTCATCAGTGTTACGCAAATAAACTAGAAAATCTAGAAGAAATGGATAAATTCCTTGACACATACACCCTCCCAAGACTAAACCAGGAAGAAGTTGAATCTCTGAATAGACCAATAACAGGCTCTGAAATTGTGGCAATAATCAGTAGCTTACCAACCAAAAAGAGTCCAGGACCAAACCAAACACCGTATATTCTCACTCATAGGTGGGAATTGAACAATGAGGATACATGGACACAGGAAGGGGAACATCACACTCTGGGGACTGTTGTGGGGTGGGCGGAGAGGGGAGGGATAGCTTTAGGAGATATACCTAATGCTAATTGACGAGTAATGGGTGCAGCACACCAACATGGCACATGTATACGTACGTAACTAACCTGCACATTGTGCACATGTACCCAAAAACTTAAAGTATAATAATAATAAAAACATTTCACTTCTTTAAATGTATTCCTAGGTATTTTATATTCTTTATAGCTATTGCAAATGAGATAGCTTTCTTGACTTCTTTTTCGGATTGTTTGCTGTTGGCATATATAAATTCTACTAATGTATATTGATCTTGTATCCTGCAAATTTACTGAATTTGGTTATCAGTTCTAACAGTTTTTTTGGTGGAATCTTTTGTTTTTTCTAAATATAAAATCACATCATCCGTGAATAACGCCAGTCTGACTTCTTCCTTTCTAATGTGAGGAACTGTTATTTATTGCTCCTCCTTAATTGCTCTGTCCAGGACTTGCAGCATTATGTTGATTAAAAGTGGTGAAAGTGGGCATCCTTGTCTTGTTCCATATCTTACGGGAAAGGATTTCGATTTTTCCCCATTCAGTTCATTATTGGCTGTGGATTTGGCATATATGGTATTTATTATTTTGAGGTATCTTCTCTGTATACATAGTTTGTTCAGGGGTTTTTAAAATCATAAATGGATGGTAAATTTTGTCAGATGTTTTTCACCATCTATTGAGATCATCATATGGTTTCTGTTCTTGGTTCTGTTAATGTAATGTATCATGTTTATTGATTTGCATGTGTTGAACTATCCTTGCATCTCTGGAATCAATCCCATTTAATCATGGTGAATTATCTTTTTTATGTGTTATTGAATTTGGTTTGCTAGTATTTTGTTGAGGATTTTTGCATTTGTGTCCATCAGTGTTATGACCTGTAGTATTCTTTTTCTGTTGTGTCCTTGTCCGGTTTTGGAATCAGAATAATGCTGGACTTGTAGAATAAGTCTGGAAATATTCCCTCCTCTTCAATTTTTTTTGACAAGTTTGAGTAGAATTGGTGTTAGTTCCTCTAAATGTTACTAATGTTACTATTTGTCACTATCAATTCAGCAGTGAATTCCTCAGGTCCTGGGCTTTTCTTTGGTGGGAGAATTTTTATTATGGCTTTGATCTTGTTACTTGTTCAGGTTTTCTATTTATTCATGGTTCAATCTTGGTAGATTTTAAGTGTCCAAGAATTTATTTATTCTAGGTTTTCCAATTTGTTTGCACACAGTCTCTAGTTATTTTTTTGTATATCTAACAATTCTTAGTTGTCTTAGTTGTTATGTCTCCTTTTTTGTTTCTGAGTTTCTTTATTTGGGTCTTCTCCCATTTTTTTTAACTTAGTCTAGCTAAAGATTTGTTGATTTTATTTTTTCAAAAAATCATTTTTTGTTTCATCATTTGTATTTTTATGTAATTAAATTAATTAATTAATTAATTTATTATGTTTTGTAGAGATGGACTCCCACTTTCTTGCTCAGCCTGTTCTTGATCTCCTGGACTCAAGTGATCCTCCTGTCTCAGCCTCCCAAAGTGCTGGGATTACAGGCATGAGCCATTGCATGTGGCCCCTGTATTTTTTGTAGTCTCAATTTTATTATTTTTGCTCCAATCTTTATTATTTCTTTCCTTCTACTAATTTTGAATTTGGTTGTTCTTGTTTTTCTATTTCCTGAGAAGCATCATCGGGTTGCTTATTTGAGGTCTTCCTACTTTTCTGATGTAGGCATTTGTTTCTATAAACTTCCCTCTTTGGCTTGTATCCTATTGATTTTGGTGTGTTATATTTCCATTTTCATTTGTTTCAAGAAATTTTTAAATTTCCTTCTTAATTTTTTCAATGACCTATTGGTCATTCAGGAGCAAGTTGTTTAATTTCCATGTGTTTGTGTAGTTTCCAAGGTTCCTCTTGTTATTGATTTCTAGTTTTATTATATTGTGGTTAGAAAAGATACTTGATATAATTTCTAATTTTTAAAATTTGTTGATACTTGTTTTGTGGCCTAACATATAGTCTATGCTGGACAATGTCTCATGTGCTGATGAAAAGAATGTGTATTTTCAGGCCTGTATCGTTTTCATTGAAAAGTCTGATGCCAGACAAATTAGAGCTTCTTTATATGCTATTTGCTTCTTTTCTCTTGTTGCTTTTAGGATCCTCTCTTTGTCCTTCACTTTTAAGAGTTTAATTATTATGTACCTTGGGGTAGCCTTATTTGGATCAAATCTGTTTGGTTTTCTCTGACCTCCCTGTACCTGCATATTCATATGTTTTTCAAGTTTATAAAAGTTTTCTGTTATTTGAATAAGCTTCCTACCCTTGTTCTTGCTCAATTATCTCTTGCATACTAAGAATACTTAGGTTTGGTGTTTTGAAGTAATTTTCTATAAATTGTGGGTGATTTTCATTTCTTTTCCTTTTTTTCTTCTCCCCTGACTCTGCATTTTCAAATAGCCTGTCTTATAGCTCACTGATTCTGTTTTCTGCTTGATTTATTATGCTGTTGAGAGCCTCTAATGTATTTTCAGGTCAGCAAATGTATTTCTCAGTTCTAAGATTTCTGTTTGATTTTTAAAAATTATTTCAATTTCTTTGTTGAATTTCTCTGATAAGTTCCTGAATTGGCTTTCTGTGTTATCTTGGAGATCACCAAGTTTCCTTAAAACTACTATTTTAAATTACTGGTCAGAGAGCTTATATATTGCTGTGTCATTAGGATCAGTCACTAGTTCCTGGCTTTGTCTGTTTGGGAAGGTCATAGTTCTCAGTTTGTTGGTGTTTCTTGTGGATGTACATCTATGTCTTTATTTTGAAGGATTATTTATTCCAGTCTTTTGCTTCTGGCTTCTTTTGGTTTTCGTTAAGTATCTTCACTTAGAGATTCTTTGTGATTTATTTGCTGAATTTCTTTCTTTTCCCCCTGCTGCTTCTTTTCTTTTCTTTTTTTTCTTTTTTTCTTTTTTTTTTTTTTTTTGACAAAGTCTCCCTCTGTTGCCCAGGCTGGAGTGCAATGGTGTGATCTCAGATCACTGCAACCTCCACCTCCCGGGTTCAAGCAATTCTCCTGCCTCAGCCTCACAAATGGCTGGGATTACAGGCACCCGCCACCACAGCTAGCTAATTTTTTGTATTTTTAGTAGAGACGGGGTTTCACCATTTTGGCCAGGCTGGTCTTGAACTCCTGACCTCAGGTAATCCACCCACCTCGGCCCCCCAGAATGCTGGGATTACCAGCATGAGCTACTGTACCCAGTTCCTGCTGCTTCCTTTTGGGCACTAGATGGTGCCTTATGCCCAGGTTTGCCTCAACTCTATTAAAAGATCAGAGTGCTACCTGTCCCAAATGAGGGAGGTCCCAAAGGGGATATCTGGGCAGTGTGGGAAGGCTGGCTAGGGGTTTGTGCCCAGCGGACCCGTGGGACATACCTCCTATAGCACGGTGGTACTGAGCAGGTACTTTGATTTGGCAACTCCTTTGGTTGAGCTACAGTGCAGAGTTTCCAGGGCAGGGGAATGATATTCCAGCATCCCTCCATTGTCTCTGGCTGTTCTCAGAGATATTTCTCCTTTCAGGTACTCATGATGCTTCCAGTGGGTTGATGCAGGGACAGGTCTCCTGCTAGGGAACCCTAGATGGTCAGAAAGCTGGTTGTCCACCTCGACCTTATTTTTTCTAGTGTAGAAACCATGAGTTGAGGGAAATTTTCTGTGTGTTTCGTCCTGGGAAGATTGGGAGGAGGGGTGTCACATATATGGAAGTCGAATTTTTTTAGTATCTTCTCAGAGTTTTTTTCATTTTTCTGTGCCCACCAGGAACTGTCTCATCCTTATATTTGAGTTCCAGGATATTGCTAGTGGTAATCTTGGTGCTGTGTATTTGTTTCTGGTTTTCTGGGGTTGGGGGAGAGGAGGGAAGCCAGCTTGTTTCTTGGCCACCATTTTGGAAACAGAAACAATTTTTAAAACAAGGTGGAGAACTTGACCTACCATTTGTCAACACTGAAAGTAGAACATAGTGATTAAGGCAGTGTAATAAGATAAATAGGGCACTGAAAAGAATATAGAGTATAGAAACAGCTATATGCAAATATGAAAACTTGGTAGTCTATATGGCATTGCCGAATGATTCAAGAGATAATATTCAGACAATTGGCTACTTATGGGAAGAAAAGACCTATATCTTTATCTTACATGCTACCAATAAATAGATATATTTCAGATAGATTGAAGCCTAAATGAGTAAAAGAAAACAATACACATTTGTAAGAATATACAGGAGGATAATTTTATATCAAGTCAATTACTTTTTAACAAGATGCTAATATCATAAATTATGAAGAAAAAGATTAACATTTTTGGCTGTACTAAGAGTCAAATTTCTTACAACAAAGAAAATCACGAAGTGAAATTTTAAATTATTTGCTAAGGCTTATCATCCACAATATGTAAATAACTATTTTAAATGAAGAAAAAGACAATTCAGTAACGAAAGGGCAGTATAAGAAAGAGCAAATCCCCAAAAGACTGACTCAATGAATCATAAACCTATCAAAAATGCTTAACCTCACTACACTACTCTAGGGAATAGAAATTAAAACAACTAACAAATGTAATTTCACACATATTGAGTTGGCAAAAAATATGAAAATCATGACAAAACCTAATGTGAGTGATAGTATGAAGAAATAATTTGCTGACACTGCTGGTGGAAATGTAAATTGTTAAAATTGTTTTGATGAGGAATTTGTCGAAATCCAATGAAGTTAATATCTATACATCCTATAATGCAGCCATTCTTTGTTTAACTAAATGCCTCAAGAAAGATGGGTACATGTAACTACTGGATATTATAAGAATGTTTATTGCTATATTATTTGTAACAGCAAAAGAATTAGAAACTACTTAAATGTTTGTCAGTAGGATAAATAAATGGTCATATATTACAAGAGTGGAGCACTGAAATAAACAAACCACAGCTACTTGTATCGACATGGGTAAAACTCTAAAAATGTAGTACGGTATAAAAAGCAAGTTATTGGAGAATTATATTACTGTACTATTTACTTAAAGTTAAAAACCCCACATATAAAGGGTGTATAAATAATACTACATGTTTATGGATATACATATAAAGCAAAAATATAGAAACATGGACTGGAGGGATACATACAAACTTCAGTATAGTGATTAATTTTAGAAAGAGAAGAAATGGAATAGGGTAAGGGAGGGTTAATAGGCTTTAGATATGGCTTTTTTTCCAGCCAATTTTTTAAAAAGCTTTAAAAATCCCTAGCACTTTTGTCCCTTTACTAGAATTTGGGTGGTGGGTGTATGAATGTTTATTCTATTTTTTGTTTATGATGAAATACTTTTTTATCAGCTATTAAAACACATAAAAAAGAATAAATACTCTTGCAAATGTTGATATTACAGAATAATTACATGCTGAAGGAAATGTCCAAAGCATCTTTTTCTCCCAAAAAATATCAAACTGCCTCAACATTGTATATTAATGCTTTTCCTACTGAGTTGACGTGCCACCTATTTTGCATATTTTATTCTTATCTATATTCTCTATTTGTTTTATTGTTATCTTTGTTGCTATGCCAACATCACAATTTCAATGACTATAGGCTAATAGTATAGGTCGATTTTTGGTAGAAGAAGTCATGCCCTGTTCCCATCACTTTTCTTTTCAAAAATCTAACATTTCTTGCATACTTGCTTTGCCAGTTGACCTTTTAAAATAACTTCCCTATATTATCACCAATATACATGTACTGGAAGGAAGATTTTGATGGCAGACTTGAGTTTTTATATATAATTTTGGGAATTTTTTATTTTTACAATAATGAATTTTGTCACTTAGCAATCTTGTTCAGGCATGCTTAGATACATGTCTATTTAGGTTATGAGAGTTCAACTTTATGAGGTATTTTAATAACCCAATTTTGGCTTGTGAGATGTTTCTTCACATTTATGAAGAATAATTTGGATTTTGTGCATATAGAAAGTGCTTATCTTCCCTAAGTGGGAACTTCCCTCTGGTGATCTTCACAGATGTATTATTGGCACCTGTTGCGTTAACTTTTTCTCCCAAAGTGTTGGTGGCTTATTTTCGCCATGTGCATTTTTTTTTTATTGATCTCTTCTGTTTTTATTTTTATGCTTGAAGGTGGCAGGAAAGTACAAAAGGTAAACATTGAGTATCTTATGTATGCTTTGGTAACTACTGAAATAATTTTGTGCAGTTAATTTCAGTGTTAATTATACCTATTGGTTTATGAGAGTTTGCCTACAATAGATTTTTCAGAAATGAATAATTCTCCTAAGGTAGAGGAGGACTGTATATCTCTGCATTTTTGCATTTTTCATTACATATCATTCATTACATTTTATGAATATTCTTGCATAGATTTGTGCTGCATTTATTATTAGTTTATTTTTATCCCTTTTCATTTAAAACGTTTCTAGGGGCACCACAGTACAGCAGTTATGAATTTGGGCTTGAGTAAGATGGACCTGGGCCCAAATCAGCCTTGCCACTTTCTAACCATTGATAAGCACATTGTTTAATCTTTCCAAACCTTCTTTATCACATATGTAAGAAAAACCAACTTCCTACAGTTGTTGTGAGATTCATTGATTAAAATGGATATAAGACAGCAGAATGTCTGAAGAATAGTAACTATTTTACTCTCTTTGGCTGCTATAATAATATTATTATTTTGTTGATATTATTCCAGATTTAATTAAGAGGGAAAGACTGAAAATACAACCGAGGGGTAGGCAAATATTTGATAAAACAATTTTTTTAGGCTCTTTCAGGGAATAATGGGGTGAAAGAGTTATCCTTGAAAATAAAGAGGCATATATTTTCTTTTGAGGATGAAAGGAGGAGAACAAGATATGAGAAATAGGAAAAGGAAGAAGTCTAAATGTAAAGATAGTCATATCAGATAATGTTGATGTTCTTTCATTTTTCATCATGAAAGAAACAAGTAATCCACTAACAAAGAATGTGTAAGTGTGGAATTTGGGGAGCAAGTAGGTTCCTTTATTCATCCATCTGTCCATCCATCTATCCATCCATCCATCCATCCATCCATCCATCCATCCATTTGTTTACTCAATTTCTTATTCTTTGTAGCAACATGTTTTATATGTTTGTGTGGTAGATAAAGTATGAAGTGCTTTATATTATTGTATAATTAATATTTTGAAGCTTCAAACTATCCTTATGAAGTAGTTTTTTTTTTAAGGCTAGCTCAAATCAGGGATAACCCCTTTCTTTGTGCCATGACTACATTTTCGTTCTTATAAAATTATCAATGAAATGGAAGTTGCAGGACATCACATCCTAGGGAGAAATTTAAGAATTGTTCTATCACACCGTGTTAAATGTTATCACATCAGTTTCATCCCTCTGTTTGTAAAATGTCTTATTTTTTGTCTCTATTTCTGAAGAGATGAAAACTTTTCAGATTTTGGGAGGTTGAACACAGAAGCTTTTAATGGAAATTAGATATTGTGATTTAAAAGGGGGAAATGTTCTGACCCCACTTTATAATATCTCTTAAAGCAAAAATAATAGACAGTTGTTTGTTCAATTATTAATATTTTCTTATTTGAGCTAGATTCAATGGGCTGGTCACTCTTTGTTCTTTAGAAACTATGTAAAATAAGGATATAATACAGATTTGGCACATATGTTTCTCATTGAAACTTTGTATAATTACATGTTCTTTTTGTTTCAATAATGTGGAATTTATCTTTTAAGAAAGTTGTACCTAGGTCTTGGAGGTGACTTAAGGAAAATATCTCACTGTTGAAAACTTTAGATTTCATATTTTTCCAAAAGAGAATGGAAGCCATAGAAACAGGGGCTTTAGTCCTAGAAAGAGAATTTGATGAAGTGTCTTCCAGACCTGGCAGGAACTATTATCACCCACATTTAACAGGTGCTTGTAAATATTGCTTATTAATCATTTTTTCCTGCCCTGCCATCCTTTCTTCCTTTACCAGAAAAACAATAGCTTTAAATCAATTGTTCTTTCCTAAAGTGCCATCTTTCTATAACACCCATAAAATCCATATCAGCTCCACTTTACTGTTGTTGGCCTTATCCTCAGAGTCACAACACTCAGTGCAATGAATGGCAAGAAAGCCCAACTTCCTAAGTTAGCACTAGTACTATGGGTAGAAATGTCATCAAACAGCTACTGGGTCAACCAGCAGGGGAACTCTGGGTTCTACCAGTTCCTCTAACTGAGGTATAGAGATGTAGTAAAAGCTCATATGGTTAGCAATTTAGGTGCAGCTATGTAACTCCTGTTACTCTGCTCTTAAGCTTTCTCCTAAACTGCCAAGAGTTAATTTTTAATTAGTCCGGTCTTTGAAATTTTTATTTTGTGCCTACTCTGCGCTAGCTTCTTCAGGTAGGAAAATGGGGAAAGTAAATAATATTGAGTGTTTAACTTGGACTAGGGACTTTTTCTAAGTGTGGCAGCTGGGAAGTTGTCAACTAATCAGCAGTAAAACAATGTGGGTGACAGGAGAGAGTTACAAGATTCATGGGGATATAATGCAGGGTGTTTTCAGAGTGACCTTCGAAGAAAAGATGCCTCTAAAGAGCATATTGGAAAAATGTTACTGAGAAGCAGTCAAGCCTTTTGATAACATGAATTGGTGATGGACTGAGTAGAGTAATTTACTGACTTTCTTCATCAGTATTCCAAATCTGCAGAGGGAGAAAATAGAGGTTTCAACAGAGGCAAGGATAGGGCAGTTCTTGGCACCAAAGAAGAAGTAGTTGACTTACGAGGTTGCTATTCCTGCACACATGCCTACAGAAATGCAAGCAGACCATCTACAAAGCAAGTGGTCTGTGAAACTAACAGAATAAATGGATATTTTGTCTAAAATTTGTCGAGTCTTCCTGAGTTCTTACAATAGCTGACTATCCTTAAGTATTGGACTCTCAAGCAGACCATTTTGAAAGAGACCCCTTACCTTTTGTCAATTGGGAAAAAGATGTTCATTGGGCTATCAGCAAGGGTTTCAAGTTGGAATAGATGGTACGTTAATATTAGCATAATTAAGGAGGGTTTTAAAAAGAGGTATATTTACAAGATATGGCCAAGGGTAGGTAAATCACAAGGGATTTGCAATACTCTGAAGCTAGTTCCCACCTCTATGACTAAAAGAACAAGAGAAAGGAGTTGCCACCGGAATCACAAAAAGAGACTCATAGAGACAGGTCTACCTGGAGAAGAGTTATGACTTTCAGTTCTATCCCACAGAGAAGAACAAAAATGATTATCCCAACCTCACCTTCCTCTTTATATATTATCTTCTGCTGGGACTCTCTAAACCAAACCTGACTAGGAGCAAAGAGTAAGGGAGACCATTAACTCAGCCTTCTAGAGCAGAAAATGGGATGGAGAAGGGTGGAGAAAGGATATGAAGGGGCAAACAAAAGATATACAGTGCAAAAGCAGGACCTCTGGAATATTGCTTGAATAGTCTTTATGTTTTTGTTTGCCACCTCAGGCAGTTTACTTGAAAGGAAGTGCTCAAGCAGACAGATTGAAATCAAAGACCCAAGAAACCTCCTTGGTTGGGTCACCTTTTTAGAGCTTCTTTTGGAAGGCTGGAACAATCCTGACTCAACTCAGCTGGTGAAGAGAGATGGTCAGTGTGCTGACCTGTATGGGGCCAAAAGGGATGAAATCAAGTCAACCTTTTTGAAGAAAAAACAGTTAACATTATTGTTATGCGAAAACCCTTTGTTCAAATGAAATCTCACCTCAAGCTTCAGGTCTTCACACATGAAGGTGCAGCTGCTCTGGATGAAGTGTCTGTGGAATGAAGGGGAAGGGGAATATGGAAGCCTCCAAGAACTCTTGAACTCTTGGGCTAGAGCTCTGATGGCACAGTTTTGGAATAGCTGGTCTTTTTTAAAGGCTCTTTTCATGTACCGAGGGAAACCAAGACCTGGTGAGCAGAAGTGTATTGTCCACAGTCACCCAGGAAGCTAGTGGCCACTCTACTGCCAAAGCCAGGTCTCTTCACTCTTAGTCTCATTGTTCTTTCCATCTTCTCCTGGTGGGTATCATAGCCTGGACATTTTTTTCCTTAAATTGCAAATATTCTGTGTGCACAGGCTGTTTCCTCCAGAATATTCTTATGGTGCTGAGGCAGGAGAGCTGCCCATGCTATTTGCTCATAGACATCAAGGGTGCAAAAATCCCCTGCTTTCTTGAAGTTGTGGCACTCTATGTGGGTGGTTAATGTGGGCATGGCAGCCTTTGATGTGGTATCCTTTCAGTCTGATGTGGCTTATACTTGCCACATTTTTCCTCATAGTAATTCTCTTAATTGTGTTTTCCAAGTCCTGACTATGACATTAGCTATCATTTTGTCATCTTAATTTTTCAGATTTTGTCTTTCAGGAAGCTGCTTCTGCAATTTTCTGATGCTACTCCAGAGGGCTGGATGGAGCCCTGATAATGTAGGTGCACAGCCAGGCTCTGCCCACCCTAAGATTTAGTGGGTGGCCTCCTAAATGTAGTGGAGGTGGCTTCTCTGTATCCTCACACTTAGAAATAATTCTTTCAAAAATAAAACCTCTAAAGTTCAAACAAACCAAACTTTAAACAAACTGAGATATTTTTAGAGTGACACTTTTGTAGTAAATTCTTATAATTTTATATTGCATCGGCATCCATTTTGAATATAAGTTGAACTTCATACCAGAAGCAGGGCCTAGTGACTTTTGACAGTTTCCATTTCACCACCTTCTCCCAGTTTCTCCAGATGTCTGTTTTAGACAACTGCCTCCTTGTGACCACCCTCCATGGGACAGCTAGCTGCAACCTACTTGACTCGCTCCACTAACCCCTGTAACGCACATGGACTGTGCAGGTATGCCACAGTGGGCATCTCTGAGACACAGCGAGACCTCACAGAACTTGTGCCTGCTTGCTTTAAACCCACCAATTAGTGCTCCCCTTGGGAAACCTGCTTGGGTAGCACTCTGAACCTCAATAAAGACTTTGGTCCACAGACTTCTCTTACTCTGTCTCTCTGACTGTCCACCCACTGGTGGAGTGTGCATGTCCCAGATAGCTTCCACTTCCTGCTGGCTCTTCTCTCTGGGATCTGTAAGTAATAAACTGCTCCCGCTATTTCATGTGTTTTGTTGAATTGCTTCTTCTGTGTCTCAGCTGACTGACACACCAAACCCAACTTCTTTCCCCGTCAGGGCTCTCCTAGAGGATGGCTATCTTAGTAGAAGTAAACTAGACACAGATCAAATAACAGCCTCAGGGTGTCTGCCAGTATAATCAAGTTTCTTGTAAGAGAAACCTCAAGACCAAATTAGAGAAAAGAAATATAACAACTTTATAAAAACTAAATTCTATGATACAATTATTTATACTTTGTACCATCTTCAAGCCTCAAAAAGATTTTTATTGTTTAAAAAATATTTTATTTTTAAGATATACTTTATTGAGATAATAACTTAATAAGTAAAATATTTAAAAAGATAATTTCTTTGATTCAAAGTCTTTTATATTTTTGTGTCTGTAGTTGAAAAATAAAGCTAATAGGTTTCTTTCTTACCCATAGAATCTCTCTCAGCATTGTATTAATCCAGCCAGGTCTCTGTGCAAAGATGACATAAAAAAGTCATTCCTGTGATGCCCTCCTTCTCTAACTTCTAAAAAGGGAATCCTCCAGTGAATTTTAACTTCTTACTTTTTTTGTATTTCATCCTCTCTTCCCTAGGAAGAGAAATAAAGTGGCTAAGGTCATATTGCAGGTCATATTTCTAACGTTCTGCAATTCTGATGGTTCTTTGAAGAAAAGATCAGAGTGCTACTGAATATATAGCAGGAAGTCCTAACCTTCTTCAGAGGAAGCAAATTTTCAGGTGTGTCTTCAAAGACAAATAGGAGTTCTGTGGAAGATTGAAGAAGAGAGATGTATAGATGTGTAAAGAACAGTCCAGGTAGGGATCAGTATTTGTGAAGACACTTGTAAATCATCATAGAAAACAGTCACACATTCTCTCTGGTGCGGAACCAATTCCCTGGTTCTCAACATACTTTCTTCCTTTGGCCTCCCCCTTTCTTGCTTCCTTTATTCCTCTCTCTTCCTATTCCCATTTCTTCTGCAAGTTCCCGTTTCTCTGCTCACTTCTTAATGGCTGCTTATTCTCAGGGCTTTGTCCTTGGACCTATTTGTTCCTCAATTTAACTTGTAGATTTTGCTCTCCACTCCATGGATTTAATCACTATTTGCTAACTGTATATAGAGAGTTGGTTTTTTTTAGTATATAGATAATAATAATAATTAAATCCATAGTCTTATTTATTTATTTATTTATTTATTTATTTATTTATTTATTTGAGACGGAGTCTCGCTTAGTCGCCCAGGCTGGAGTGCAGTGACGCGATCTTGGCTCACTGTAAGCTCTGCCTCCCGGGTTCATGCCATTCTTCTGCCTCAGCCTCCTGAGTAGCTGGGACTACAGGCACCTGCCACCACGCCTGGCTAATTTTTTTTGTATTTTTAGTAGAGACGGGGTTTCACCATGTTAGCCAGGATGGTCTCGATCTCCTGACCTTGTGATCCACCCATCTCAGCCTCCCAGAGTGCTGGAATTACAGGCGTGAGCCACCACACCCAGCCAAATCCATAGTCTTCTAAGAATCATATCAAAGAAGTTTACTTTGTTGTCTGAAATCTTTTTTATCTTTTTGAAATGATATTATTGTAAATTTGTACACTGTGGTATTTTACCCATTTATTTACTTTTTCAACAAATATTTTTTGAGTGCTAGATGTCCAACACTGTGGTAGGTGCCAAGGATATAATAGTACAAGGGGACAGGAGGTTGAATAGCAAAGGGCATCTGACAGGCAATTAGTCAAGATGAACTAAATTGTGTTCTGGTGAAAAGTACAAATCCCGAAGTTTCAGTGACTTAATGCAACAAGGGTTGATTTCTCATTCACGCTATAGTCTTACAACTCCACCATCATAATCATAAAATCATTTGCTTTCAGCCACAAGAACAAGAGAGAGACCATGGAGAATTCCCACCTAGTTGTCACTACTTCAGATAAGGGTGATGTCATCGCTGCCAGGCAGCAGAGCACAGCTAGTCACAAAGCCCTATCCTTCAGCAAGAGAGGCTGGAAAAATGTGGAGGAGACATGGGGTGGCACCACTGTCTAGCCCACATCCAGTGCAGGGATCAGGAGCTACTTCTCTGAGAAAGAGGTATTTATTTTAAGCTAAGACATTAAGTAAGAGTGAGGCTAGCTGACTAAGGAACATGTGGAAAAGCATTTCAGGCAGAGGGAACTGCATGGGGAGACTGTGAGGGGAGAGAGACTGGCACATTTGAGGGATTGCAAGATGACCAGTGTGGCTTAATGGGTGGGGAAAACTCAGGTTAGAATATGGGCAGAAGCCAGATTGTTCAGGACCAGGTCAGGCAGGGAATGTTAAAGATTTTTGGTTGTCTATACTAAATGTATAGAAATTCACTTAGAAATTTTAAGCAAGGGCATGACATTGAGCCCTTTGTGTTTTAAATGATTACTCTGACTATAAAGTGAAGAATTTATTGGAGAAGATATAAATAGGTCTGGGAGACCAGTTAGGAGGTTTTTGGAAATCCAGGAGAGAGGTGATGGCAGCTGGGATAAACAAAGGAACAATGAAAGTGGAGAGAAATAGATGTGTTTGAATAATTTAGGAAATAGAACTAACAGACAAGGGAGGGATTGGATATGGAGGGTGTAGGAATCAGGGTATTGATAACACGATTTTTCCTGGAAGAGCAACTCCTGAGCTAGGAAATAGGAAGCACAACAAGTAGGTTTGTTCAGCGTAGGGGTGAGCAGTGGGGGAGTGAGCAATCATGTATTTAGTCTTAGAGCAAGAACTGGGGTTGCTTGTTCGATATCTAAATGGAGATGTTGATGAGTGAGTTAGATATATTTTATGGAGCTTCAAATAAAAGCCTGGACTGGAATGATACATTGTAACTCCTTGATTTATAGATAGTAATTGAAACCATAGAAGGGACTGGGAGTGCCTCAAGTAGAAGAAAAGACAGCTCACCACAGATCCTGAGAAAAAGAGGGAGAGGTTAGGAAGAGTTGGAGAAGTGAGCAAAAGATTGGGAGAAATAACTAGAGAGGGAAAAGGAAAACCCAAAGAGTGTAAGGTCATGCTGGAGAAGGGTCTTCCCTTATGCTTCGAATAAAGATTTTTTTGGTGAAGTTTGATGAGGCATCAAGTAAGATGAGGGCAGAAAATGTCATTAGATCAGGCCCATGAAGGTTTTCAATGACCTGAACAGAACAAGAGTAGCTTTGGTAGACAACTCTGTTATCGACTTTGAAGTTAACTTTCAGCTGTGTTTGGTTTAATTGCTCTGAGTAACTTCTCTAACAACTGGATTTTGTTAAAAAAAAAAAAACAAACTAAATGTTTTAAAAAGTTTTCTATAGAGCAGAACACTGACTAACAGAATGGAAATTTAACTGTTTCAGCACACAGCAGACTGGTACAACTGATATAGGTTTTCAAAGTTGAATTTGGTGAACAACATTTTTTTTTAAAGTTTAAAGATCAGTATGCCATTGGAACAACTGTGATATAAAAGTGGAACTGTGTATCTTCTTAGTATGTTTTCATTGGTGCTAAACA
The DNA here is from genome assembly GCF_000001405.40 of Homo sapiens. Taxonomy (NCBI): domain Eukaryota; kingdom Metazoa; phylum Chordata; class Mammalia; order Primates; family Hominidae; genus Homo; species Homo sapiens. The sequence goes on from NC_000005.10 coordinate 113,871,386, forward strand.
ATTATTTCCAGTTTGCTTTTTATTCAAAATTAGAAAGTACAGAAAACCAGAGAGGCTAGAGCTATAGAAATTATCCAGGGGATGATTTAGAGAAATGGTTCTGTGAGGGAAAATTAATGATGCTGTCTAGCCTGTGAGAGAAAATGAGAAGGAGCACCCCATAATCTTTTAGTCAGGACTATAAGGAGGTACAGAGATAATGCTGACTAGTGGCTCTTCATATCATGGAGGGCCAAAGGGAAAGAATTGGGCTAGAATTTCTGTAAGAGATCAATGATTTGATAATAAGAGCCTTTTGAATGTAAATGATTAAAAAGCTGTAGAAGGTTATGAAGAGAAGTGGGAGATTTCCTATCTTACAACATACGTAGCAAAAGAGTTGGCAGTCATTTGGGATTCTGTCATTCTTAATGGGGTTTTCTGGGAATGGGAAGCCATCACACATCTTTCAGGGACCTCGCTGATAAGAGAAATAAGCCAGTGAGGCCCCTGAAAAGGGCAGCTGAGTGTTCCCCACCTTTTCCTCATAGTATTCCTCAGCCATGCCCTTATGATGTTTAAAGAACCAGAAGGACTTCCTGGTCTACTCTAAAACCTTTGGGAGGTCTGGGATTTGGCTGCTTTTGAGGCTTTACTTGTGTCCTATTTAGTGAAGTTAGTTAAAGATACACTGAATTGTATTAGGACCTTATCTTAAAAACCAACATATTTCCTTCTGTAAGAACCTCCCTAGTATACCCTGCTAATATACCTACCCTCCTTAATATCTTCAACTTTTCAAGCACTTTTGAGTGACCACTTCCCTTTACTATGCAAATAACAGTAATTTGAGCCTGCAGCTCATGTAAGCCTGGGAAATCTACTCCTGTTTCAATGATTTCTGAAGATCCCAGGGAATGCTCACATGTCTTCGTGCTTTGCTGGTTGCACCTCCCTTTGAACGACTGTGCTGAATGGGGCTCCGCTTGCCGTTTCTTTGGCTGCCTCCAGAAACCACCTCCATGTTATTGAGCTGCTTCCCTGCTGCCCTTCATGCTATGTATGGATACAGACCTTCCTTTAAATGTTACCCACTCAATGGACACAAAGTATTTTAAGCAGACTTTAGTAAGTTTTAGTGCAGCAAGGAGGAGAGGGACAGGTGACTTACACTGCAGAAAAAGAAAACAAACCTGGTTATAAACATTGCTTCTGAAGTCTATACATGCACAACATATGGGCCTCCTACTGACTCTTTCCTTCTTGACTCTGGCCTGCCACCATATTGCTGGAGGTCATTGATCTTCCCAGAATCCCCTTTCTCATTTCCACTTTCCTGAGTCAGGGCCCCAACCCTTTTCCTCACCACTTTTATGAGAACCAATAAACTTTTCACATTATTTTTGCAGAGTAATTTAAGTTTAGGCACTTGTTGACTTGACTCAATGCATAGCATGTGCTTTCTTTGCACAATGGCAAACAATTTTCTTTGCAAAGTTGAAGCACATTCAAGTTCTTTGTTTCGTATTTTTCATCAATAGGGCTCTGGCCTTTAAAATGACCTTATAATTTTGAGATGATAAGTCATTCTTACAGGCTTCTAAGGTCCCAAACAAAATTATTAAGCATATGCATGGTCAAAGTACTTGAACTTTCCTTTCCCAGAGTCTGTTGCTGCCAATTTCAGATAGTGGAAAATTTGTCTCTAAGAAAATATATGTGTGTGTGTGAACTCCCAGGGTTTAAATAAAGTCTATCCCCTTTACATTGATATTCTCAATATTGCATAATTTACCTTATAGTGGTACTTAGCAGAGGAGAATATGCAGACAGAAGCAAATTCATAGAAAGAATTTCTAGCAGAACTTGGGGAGAGGTTAAAGGGAGTGAACTTCACTCCCAATCTGCAACATCCATCAATCCTGAAGTCCTGTTAATGTTGCCTCTTTAATGTCTATCTGTTCTGCAGTTACCTGCTTAAAGTCAGTATGTGCTAGTTTTGTATTCCTAGCTCCTAACAAAGACTGATAAATAGAAGGTACTCCTCCAAAGGTTGTTGCATGACTGCATGGATGGAGGAATAAATGAGAAGGAACTAGTGATGCTGGAAATGTGAAGGTAGAATCCTAGGCAGGCAGGACCAGAGGAGTTGCCTTTTCCTCAGCAGAAAGCTGGAAGAGAGAAAGGAAAGTAAGTGTAGGGTCAAAAGAACATGATAAGATTGAAAAAGGTAAAATACAAAGCCTGTAATAGATTTTTACAGATCAGTTAGGCAGAGAAGGGGAAGTGTGACTTAAGTTGCTGTGTAAAGATAGAAGGTTTTTATTTATTTACAAGCTAATTTGAGCCATTGGCAGGGTGAGGGAATAAATAATAATCAGCACCATTGTTTATTAGACACTCACTTGTACCTAATTTAATACTAAGTGTGTCATGACCATGTTATTTAGTTTTTATATCAACTCTATATAGGTAGATTTATTTATCTTCATTTTATAATCAGAGAAATTGAGTCTTGGAGAAATTAATTAACTTGCCCAGGATTGCATGTAAAGTAAGGAGTCGGGATTTGAACTCAGATCTGTCTGACTCTAGATACTGACTCTTAGCCTCTGTGCTACTGTTGCATATAAATACTGATAATACATTGTATCTCCTTCATCTTAGTGTGGCTTGATTCTCATGTTTAGAAGGAGGAAACAGCAGGAAGGCAGGAGTGTAAGTTTAAAGAAAAATAAAAAATGCAGGAAGGACGGACTCTAGGCAGCCTCCACTTACTTCACAACTTTACCTAGAGTTGCTTTAATTATTCTGAGGAATAAGCTAAGTTTTAAAATGCTAACTGACACTAGGTAAACATTTAATTTTCTCCCAAATCTGTTTTGTAGTTGAAGGAGCTCTGGCTCTGAGAACAAACTAGTACTTTGTATAGATTTACAAAGCTAATACCTTAAAACTGGAGTCAACCCCAGACCTGTCAATCTCAAGACCATACTCTTGCCATAACTCCATAGCAACCCTTTGTGCAATAGCAAGCATTCATCATAGGTAGATTAATAATATTTTATAGTAAAAGAATCACATAGAGCTCAGGTAACTCAAATACTTCACTTGGTATTAAGAAAATGGGGTTTTAAAGAAGCAAATTGATGTGGCAGTGATCATACCAGTGGTCAGTGAAAACACTGCTTTTTGCTCAGCTTTCCTGGCTTTCATAATCTTTTTGCCACTAGAATTAACTGTCTTTTTAAATCTTAGATGCATTCTTTGACCAAGGTTAGATCCATATGTGTATACCAACAGAGCATGAGGGTGAGTCTGCTGTTTTCTTTGGGCAGCTCTCTTTTAGGGAAAGCGCTTCACAAATGTCTGTGCCTCGGGCTCTGATCCATTTTCTTTGGTGGTGCCCAGGTATGTAGAATTAGATATTAGTACTTGCTTGTTGGCTCTCTGTTAAAGCTTTTGAATGAAGTCTGCCTGTTAATTGTTTAAAAATGGGGCTAATTATTCTTCTTTCTGCAGCCACAGACTTCACAATGATGGTGTAATTGCATTCAAATATTGGACATGCACTATGTACTAAATATTTGAATTCACCGAAGCAAAGTGTGTGTCCCTGGGATAACGAATATCTTCTGAATTGTAAAATTCAGGGGTTTTATAAAGCAAAAGGAACACTGATGAAATTAAACTAACTTGGGAACAATAGGCTGCTTTTCAAGGTTAGTCTTCTGTGTCTAAATTATATATGTATTATTGTTCCTCACTTGCATGACCAATTATAGGGAAGTTCCTTATTGTGAGATGCGATAATTTTATATAATTGCAGCAGCTTCAGCAGTTTTGAAGGAGGTTTCCCTGGCAAAACATAGTCTCAGGGAAAACAAATTATGTTGATTTACTAGCAATTCTGCAAATGGGTTGTCTGGGGGAATCGGGGGAGTCTTTTTATGAAGCACAAAGAAACTGCTCACTATTTGACATTTTAAATTGCTTGCTCAGAATATGCAAAACTGCAGACATCTAATTGCATGTTGTCTCCTCTGAGGAGCCACTATTTTTATTTGGAGACTGTGTGATGATTAAGGGGGAGAAATGATATTCATTTTCCCAAGTCACAGAGGTCAGGGCAGGGGCTATAACATCCAGGAAAAAGCAAAGCACAGCAAATCGGTAGTGAATTCCTATTTAAAACTGCTCTAGTAGCTCCACGTTTTACTGAAATTAGATTATTTGAATGTTGTCACCACATGAGCAGCATGAGAAGGGAAGGCACTTGCCAACCTAAAAATGACAATGGCATTTCTCAGATGGCCAGTTGTGATGAGTCCCTGAAGCAGACCAGGGAGCTGCTCTCTTGACAAGTCACCTACATACTGTAGATGCCCACAGGAAGATGCAGAATGGCTAGGTCTTGTGGCTCCCAAGCATAAGAATGCTGTTTGTGCTAAAAATAAAAACGGAGGTATAAGGATGCGGGGCCATTGCGCGCGCTCTCTCTCTCTCTAACTAAATCTTTGAGAAAACTTGACTTTCTTCTGGGAATTTCTGAGCTGGGATTGTGGAGTACTTGTCATAAATTTGTGCTTTCTTTATTTCTTTAAACATAAACATGGCCAGGCTTTTTTTTTCTTTCTCTTTGCACTAAATGTTTTAAACTCTTTATGTGTGTCACTTATGTGGAACTTATGATACTTGCTGTTTTATCATACTTTTGTTTTATGCCAGGTTGCCAGGTGAGAAAATTATAGAAAGTAGAGTCATCATTTGAAATATCTTACATCTCCTGTCTTGCCTAGCATGGTGGTGCTTTTCATGCAGAAAGTTCGCAATAAACGTTGCTAAATGAATAAACAGATACATCTTGGACAACCTCTGGACTTTTTCTCCCCAGATGTTTCCCAGTGCCTATAGCATGTGTCGGGGGCATAAGCTCACAATTTCACTTCCTCCTAGATGTATTGGGTGATGGGCATGGAGACCTCTGCTTTGTTCCTTCCATCTCCTTACTGGTTTCTTCTCCCAGGACTTACAAAGTGAAGAGAAATGTCAAGGCTGTCTTCCAGACCTGGGGCTGTGTGCACAAAATTTTCTTATTTTTAAGTTCAGAAACTCAGTAAGAATTTTTTTTTTTCACTGCTCAGACAGTATAAACTATGTGTATTATATCTTTGGTGAGTTTTCTTAATGGGAAATGTAACTGCCCTCAGTTTCAAAGAATTAGGCCCCTTTTTCATGACCCTTTATTTATTTATTTTTTTCAGAAGAGTCTTGCTAGAACAATGAACTGTCTTTAGTTTTTCTGGAACTAATATTACTCTTTACCCCTAAAATTTTAAATATAGTGTGGCCATCATTGTTTTTGGCAATCTCTCCATGAGATAGATTTAAGGCTAATATTCAGAATGCCAATTTTCATTCATTTTTATTCTTAAGAAAATAGTCTTATATTTATAAATGAATCTTGTAATGAAATCACAACACTCTCAAATTCTACATGCAATCTGTGTGTACTCCTATTTGAGATCAGAGTCATTTTTACTTTAAATTCTAAAACAGAATTTTACTAAGTTTATGATAGTGCAGAAAGATCTCAATAAACATTGCTAAATGAATAAATGGATGTATTTATTGATTTCGATGTAGGAATAACTTGAACAATAGGCTATAGAGGTAGAGCTGAAGATCAGGCTGGGTAAACCTGCCACCAAAAAGAGGGAAATGAAGATAAAAGCTTAGGAAAGAAGAGAACTGAGGACTGAATAGAGAACAGGAGGTAGGATGATTATTTGTGGTAACTGATTCAGGCTGTGTGCTTAGGACAAATCAGGAATTTGCAGCAAGCGTAGGGTGTGTGATCTGAGAAAGGGGAGAAATTAGTTTGCCTATGTTAGATAACTCCTGAAGCATGCAGTTCCAATGGAACCTGGCATCCTGTCAGGTACATGGGTGTTAAAAATGGTCCAGAGTCATTGAAACTCTTCATTTTCCAAACATAAGCAACGGCTGAACACACTCTATTCTAATAATTTTATAAACTAAAGCACATAGAACTCCCCGAAAATAAATATTCATCCTTGAAGATGAGCTCATGTTTAAAAATTACAAATTACATAAGTGAGATCTAGCAGATGCAACAAATGGAATAATTAGTATTTTAAGATCTAAACATTTTTCCAATTTTTTTATTGTGTTAACATACACATAACATAAAATTTACATCTTAACTATATTTAAGTGTACAGTTCAGTGGTATTAAATACATTTATAATGTTTGTTGTGTAACCATCAACACCATCCGTCTCTATAACTTTCCATCTGATAAAATGAAACACTGTATTACCCTTTAAACAGTAACTCCCCATTTCCTCCTTGCCCCAACCTCTGGCCACCATCTTTCTACTGATTTTTGCTATGATTTTGATTACTATAAGTACCTCATGTGAGTGGAATCATACAGTATTTGTTTTTTGTGACTGACCTATTTCACTTGGCACAATGTCCTTAAGGCTTATCCATGTTGTAGCATATGTAAGAATTTCCTTCCTTTTTAAGATTAAATAAAATTCCATTGTGTGTAGATACTGCATTTTGCTTATCCATACATCTGTTGATGGACACTTATGTTGTTTCCACACTTTAGTATTGTGAATAATGGTATTTAAACATGGTTATACACATATTCCTTTGAGAGTCTGTTTTAAATATGGGGAGTATATACGCAGAAGAGGAACTACTGGATTATATGGTAACTCTGTTTTTAATTTTTTGAGGAACTTCCATACTGTTTTCTACAGCAGGTGTACCATTTTACATTCCCACCAAGAGTGTGCATGGGATTCAATTTCTCCACATCCTTGCCAACACTTGTTATTTTCTGTTTTCTTGATAGCAGCCATCCAGATAGGTGTCAGGTGGTATCTCATTGTAGTTTTGATTTGCATTTTCCTGATGATTAGTGATGTTGAGCAACTTTTCATGTGCTAATTGGCCATTTGTATACCTTCTTTAAAGAAATGTCTATTCAAGTCCTTTGCCCATTTTTGAATGGGGTTGCTATTGTTCTTTTTATAAATGTTTGATAGAATTCACCAGTGAAGCCATCTAATTCAGGGCTTTTCTTTGTTGGGAGATTTGTGATGAAGGAATCAATTACCTTACTAGTTATAGGTCTATCCAGATTTTCGATTTTTGTGATTTAGTCTTGGTAGGTTTTGCGTTTCTAGAAATTTACCCATTGTATTTAGGTTATACAATTTGTTGGTGTACAATTATTTATAGTACTCTTTGTAAATCCTTTATATTTCTGTAGACTTAGTAGTAATGTTTCCATTTCCCCATTTTCATTTTCTAATTTTAGTAATTTGAGTCTTTTCTCTTTTTTCTTGGTTAAACTAGCTAAAAATTTGTCAATTTTGTTGATCTTTATACAAAACCAACTTTTGATTGATTTTTCTGTGTTTTTTTAATTCCGTGTTTCATTTGTCTTTTGTCTAAATCTTTATTATTATTATGATTATTTAAATTTGTTTTGCTCTCCTTTTTCTAGTTTCTTCAGTTCTAAAGTAAGATTATTGATATGGTTTGGCTGTGTCCCCACCCAAATCTCATTTTGAATTGTAGTTTCCATAATCCTCATGTGTCATTGGAGTGACCCAGTAGGAGGTAATGTAACCATGGGGGTGGTTACTCTCATGCTGTTCTCAGGATAGTGAGTTCTCATGAGATCTGATGGTTTTATTATATAAGGGGTTTTCCCCCTTTTGCTCAGCACTTCTCCTTCCTGCTGCCATGTGAAGAAGGAGAGGTTTGCTTCCCCTTCCTCCATGATCGTAAGTCTCCTGAGGCTTCCCCAGTCCTGTGGAACTGTGAGCCAATTAAATCTCTTTCCAATATTAATTACCCAATAAATTGGTACCACAAAGAGTGGGGCGCTGCTGTAGAGGCCCAGAAATGTGGAGGTGACTTTGGAACCAGGTAACAGGCAGAGATTGGAGCCATTTCGAGGGCTCAGAAGAAGCAGGAAAATGTGGGAAAGTTTGCAACTTCCTAAAGACTTGTTAAATGGCTTTGACCAAAATGCTGATGGTGATATGGACAACAAAGTCCAGGTTGAGGTAGGCTCAGATGGAGATGAGGAACTTGTTGGGAACTGGAGTAAAGGTCACTCTTGCTATACAAAGTGACTGGTAGCATTTTACATCTGCCCTAGCGATCTGTGGAACTTTGAACTTGAGAGAGATGATTTAGGGTATCTGGTGGAAGAAATTTCTAAGCAGCAAAGTGTTCAAGAGTAAGCAGAGCATAAAAGTTTTGAAAATTTGCAGCCTGACAATGTGATAGAAAAGAAAACCCCATTTTCTGGGGAGAAATTCAAACTGGCTACAGAAATTTTCATATGTAATGAGGAGCCAAATGTTAATCACCAAGACAATGAAGAAACGTCTCCAGCGCATGTCAGAGACCTTCACAGCAGCCACTTCCATCACAGATCAGGAAGCCTAGGGGTTGAAAAGTGGTTTCCTGTGCCAGACTGAGAACCCCCTTGCTCTATGCAGCCTCGGGACATGGGGCCCTGCATTCTGGCTGCTTCAGCTCCAGCGTGGCTAAAAGGGGCCAACATACAGCTCAGACTGTTGCTTCAGAGTGTGCAAGCCCCAAGCCTTGGTAGCTTGCACCTGATGTTGAACTTGTGGATGCACAGAAGTTAAGAATTGAGGTTTGGGAGCCCCCGTCTAGATTACAGAGGATGTATGAAAACACCTGGATATCTAGGCAGAAGTTTGCTGCAGGGGTAGAGCCCTCATGGAAATCCTCTTCTAGGACAGTGCAGAAGGAAAATATGGTCAGAGCCCCCACACGGAGTACTCACTGAGACACTGCCTGGTAGAGCTCTGAGAAGAAGGCCACCATCCTTTGGATACCAGAATGGTAGATCCACTGACAGCTTGCACTGTGCACCTGGAAATCCACAGACACTCAATGCCAGTCCAAGAAATCAGCCAGGAGTGAGGCTGTACCCTGCAAAGCCACAGAGATGAAGCTGCCCAAGGCCATGGGATCCCACCTCTGGCATCAGCATGAGCTGTATGTGAGACATAGAGTTAAAAGAGATTATTTCGGAGATTTTAGATTTAAATACTGCCTCATTGGATTTTGGACTTGCATGGGACCTGTAGCCTCTTGTTTTGGCCAATTTCTCCTATTTGGAGTGGGTGTATTTACCCAATGCCTGAGCCCCCATTGTATCTAGGAAATAACTAACTCACTTTTGATTTTACAGGCTCATAGGTGGAAAGGACTTGACTTGTCTCAGATGAGACTTTGAACTTGGACTTTTGAGTTAATGCTGGAATGAGTTAAGACTTTGGGGGACTGTTGGAAGGGCATGATTGTGTTTTGAAATGTGAGGACATGAGATTTGTGGGGGGCCAGGGGAAGAATGGTATGGTTTGGCTGTGTCCCCATGCAAATCTCATCTCGAATTATGGTTCCCATAATCCCCACATATTGTGTGAGGGACCCAGTGGGAGGTAATTTCATCATTGGGGTGGTTACCCTCATGCTGTTCTTGTGTTAGTGTGTGAGTTGTGATGACATCTGATGGTGTTATTATACAAGGGGCTTTACCCCCTTTGCTCAGCACTTCTTCCGGCCGCCATATGAAGGACATGTTTGATTCCCCTTCTGCCATGATTGTAAGTTTCTTGATGCCTCCTCAGCCCTGCTGAACTGAGTCAATTAAACCTCTTTTATTTATAAATTACCCAGTCTCAGGCAGTTCTTTATAGCAGTATGACAACAGACTAATACAACTATTGATTTGAGATTGTTCTCATTTTATAAGTGTTCATAGCTATAAATTTCCCCCTTAGCACTACTTTTACTGTGTTTCATATTTGGTATGTTGTGTTTTCATTTTCATTTGTCTCTAACTACTTTCTAACTTCCATTGTGATATCCTGTTTGATCCATTGGTTCTTTAAGAGTGTGTTGTTTGATAGCCATAAATTTGTAAATTTTCCATTTTTTTTTCTGTCATTGATTTTGAACGTCATCCTGTTGTGGCTGAAGAATATACTTTGTATGATATCTATCTTTTCAAATCTATTGAGACTTAATTTGTGGCCTGACACATGATCCATCCTGGGACATGTCCCATGTACACTTGAGAAAAGTGTGTATTCTGTCATTATTGAATAGGTTGTTCTGTATATATCTGTCAGATCTAGTTAGTTTGTCATGTTATTTAAGTCCAATATGTCCTTATCTTCTGTCTGGTTATCTATTAAGAATGGGGTGATATGATTTGGCTCTGTGTCCCCACCCAAATCTCATCTCAAATTAGAATCCCCATGTGTTGAGGGAGGGACCTGTAATCCACATATGTCGAGGGAGGGAGGTGATTGAATCACAGGGGAAGTTTCCAACATGCAGTTCTAATAATAGTGAGTGAGTTCTCATGAGATCTGATGGTTTTATAAGTGTTTGGAAGTTCCTCCTTCTATCTCTTCCTCCTTCTATCTCTCTCTCCTGCTGCCTTATGAAGGTGCTTGCTTCCCCTTCATCTTCCACCATGACTGGAATTTTTCTGAGGCCTCCCCAGCCATGTGGAACTGTGAGTCAATTAAACAAAACTCTTTCCTATGTAAATAATCCTGTCTTGGGTATTTCTTCATAGCAGTATGAAAATGGACTAATACAGTAAATTGGTACCAGGAGTGGGGCAATAGTATAAAGATACTTGAAAATGTGGAAGCAGCTTTGGAACTGGGTAATGGGCAGAGGTTGGAATAGTTTGGAGGGCTCAGAAGAAGACAAGAAGATGTAGGAAAGTTTGGAGCTTCCTAGAGACTTGTTGAAATGGTTTTGTCCAAAGTGCTGATAGTGACATGGACAATGAATATCCTTCTTTGCCTCTTGTAATCTTTTTAAATTTAAAGTCTATTTTGTCTGATATTAGTATAGCTACCCTGCTTTCTTTCTTTCTTTCTTTCTTTCTTTCTTTCTTTCTTTCTTTCTTTCTTTCTTTCTTTCTTTCTTCCTTTCTTCCTTTCTTTCTTTCGACAGAGTCTTGCTCTGTCACCCAGGCTGAGGTGCAGTGGCATAATCTTGGCTCGCTGCAACCTCTGTTTCTCACATTCAGGCAATTCTCATGTCTCAGCCTCTCGAGTAGCTGGAATTACAAGCAAGTGCCAACATACCTGGCTAATTTTTGTATTTTTGGTAGAGATGGGGTTTGGCCAGGCTGGTCTCAAACTCCTGGCCTCAAGTAGGCCAGCCACCTTGGCCTCCCAAAGTGCTGGGATTACAGGTGTGAGCAACCATGCCCGGCCTTGCTTTCTTTTAAATATTATTAGCATGTGCTTTTTTTTAATCTTTGCATTTTCAACTTGTTTGCATCTTTGGATATAAAGTGAATCTTTTGTAGACAGCATGTAGTTGGATCCTCTATTTTTATCCATTCTGCTATTTGTCTTTTATTTATCTTTTGATTGCAGAGGTTAAGCCATTTACATTTTAAATAATTACTGATAAAATACTTACTTCTGTCATTCTGTTGTTTTTAATATGCTTTATAGTTTTTGTCCTTAATTTCCTGCATTGCTATCGTCTTTTGTGTTAAGTTGATTTTGTTTTTGTATTAAAATGTTTAAATTCTTTCTTATTTCCCTTTTTACATAATCTCTCACCATCTTTCTTTGCAGTTACCATGGATATTACATTTAACATCCTAAAGTTATAACACTCCAATTTAAATTTATCAGTTTAACTTCAATAACATACAGACTCTACTTCTTAATAGCTATGTTTCTACCCCTTTTAGTTGTTGATGTTACAAAATTAAATCCTTATACATATATATCCAAAGGCATAAACTAATAATTTTTTTAAGAGCATTAGTCTCTTAAATTACATGGAAAACAAAATGTGCATTACAAGCCAAAATTAAAATAACACTAGCTTTTAGACTAATAACTATTTTTAAAAAATGTATTAGTTTCTTAAATTATGGAGAAAACAAAAAATAGAGTTACAAACCATTGTTAAAATAATACTCACTTTTATAGTTGCTGGTGTATTTTTCTTTATTTCTTCATATGGCTTTGAATTGCTGTCTAGTGTCCTTTCATTTTGCCCTGCAAAATACCATTGAGCATTTATTGCAGAGCAGGTCTAGTGGTAATGAACTCCTTCAGCTTTTGTTTTTCTGGGGCAGTTTTAATTTCTCCCTGGCTTTTGAAGGACAGTGTTGCTGGATATAGGATTTTTGGTTGACAGGTTTTTGTTTGTTTTTGTTTTTTTTTCCTTTTAACACTGTGAACATATTGGCTCACTGCCTTCTGGTCTCCCAAGTTTCTGGTAAGAAATCTGCTAATTATCTTGTTAAGGATCCCTTGTATGTGATGAGTCACTTCTGTCTAGCTGCTTTCAGGACTCTCTGTCTTTGTCTTTCAAAAGTTTGATTATAATATATCTCAGTATGGCTCTCTTTGCATTCATCTTATTTAGAGTTTGTTAAGCTTCTTAAATGTTTATATGCATGCCTTCCATCAAACTTGGAAAGTTTTCAGCCATTATTTCTTCAAATAATAAGAAATATTATTTTTTCCCCATTTTCCCATTTCTCTCTTCTCCTTCTGGAATACCCAAAATGCATATGTTGTTTGGCTTGATGGTTTCCCACATGTTCTTTAGGTTTGTTCCCTTCCATTGTCCTATCTTCAGGTTTGCTGATTATTTCTTCTGACTGCTCAAATCTGCCTTTGAATCCCTCTAGTAAAATTTTTATTTGTTATTGTACTTTTCATCTTAGAATTTCTTTTTGGTTTCTTTTCAGATTTTTTATCTCTTTGTTGATATTTCCATTTTGTTTATACATAATTTTCTTGGCTTTCCCTGCATCTATCTTTAGTTACTGGAGCATCTTTAAGACAGTTATTTTAAAATCTTTGTCTAGTAGATCTACTATCATTTCTTTTTCAGGGACAATTTCTATCAATTTGCTTTTTCCCTTAAATGTGCCATACTTTCCTGTTTTTTTCTGTGCCTTGTAATGTTTGTTGAAACTGAGCAGTTAAATCTAATAATATAAAGTCATATTTTCCCCTCCTGTAAGGATTACTTTTCTCACTGTAGTTTTTGTTTATTTTTTGTTATTGTAGGCTATCCATATGCCAAAAATCAGCATGAGGTATAAATTAAGGTCTTCTTCGGTCTTTAATGAGTTTTCATCTTTCCCTGAGCATATACAGTTTTTAAATCTATAAATGCAAGTATTTTTGAATGTTCTAGTCTTTAATGTCTGGCTATGAAAAGTGGGAAAAGAGAAAAATAAAAGGAGGAAGGAAAAGGGCACTGGCCCTTTGTACCTCCTGGAAGTCACTTCAGCCAGAGTGGGAGGGGCTTACAACAATGTGAAAGGGAAGAAGCAGCAACAATGGCTGCCTACTTCTTTCTTTTTTTTCCCTCTGGTCAGAAGTAGCAATCAATGATGAGAACACAGATTCCCGATATTTATAGGACAGGATGCTTTTTGCCCACCGTGGCTCCCATAGGCTGTGTGCAAGCTGCTCCAAGAACATGTGCACAGCTGCCTGCTAAGGAACTAGGGATGGAGTTGCTACTGTGTAAAGAGCTGTAATTGATCTTAAAAATTTACTTTGGGTGGGCATGGTGACTCACGCCTGTAATCCCAGCATTTTGGGAGACTGAGGTTGGCAGATCATTTGAGGTCAGGAATTCGAGACTAGCCTGACCAACATGGTGAAACCCCATCTCTACTAAAAATAAAAAAATTAGTTGGCATGGTGGCACATCCCTGTAATCCCAGCTATTCAGGAGGCTGAGGCAGGACAATCACTTGAAAACAGGAGACAGAGGTTGCAGTGAGCCGAGATGGCGCCATTGCACTCCAGCCTGGGCAACAAGAGTGAAACTCCTTCTCAAAAAAAAAAAAAAATTGCTTTACTGTCTAAGCCTTCCCCTGAAAGTTTCAAGCGTTCAGTAGACTCCAGATTCCAAGATGGTTACACTAGACAGATTCTGACAGTGAAATTGTTGTTTTGCTGGGAAGACAGATCCCTGGTGCATTCTATCCTACCATTTTCCTAGAATACTCTCCTGAAACCAAACATTTTAAATTAGAAAGAATCTGTAATATGAGAATATTTAAAATTATTATAGAGATAAAAGAATAAGTAGAAAATAAAATGTAACAACAAAATAATGTGAAAAAGAGCAGAGCAGATTAGAAAAAAAGAACCAAATAGTCTTCTAGGAATGAAAAATGCAGTACTTCAAATTAACAGCATAAGAGATGGGTTAAATAGATGACTAGGTAGAGAAGAAGAGAGAATTTGTTGAACTCAATTATTGATTTAAGGAAAATTCCTAGGGTATCTGACAGATAAGATGGAAAGATTAAAGATCAGTTAATGGATAAAAGTGTTAGGATAAGCAGTATAACATATGCCATAAAGAGAATGGAGAAGAGGTAATATTTGAAGAAGTAATAATTTGTTATAAATGAAGATATATGTGGGTTTGCAGATTAAAGAAGCATCCCAATGTATTCCACATAGAATTTAAAAATCCAAAAAACCACTCCCTACTTGTTATCTAGTATTATCCTCTTTATCAGAAACCTCATATTTCTAACATATCCCTGGTATTATAAGTAATGTACTATGAATAAAATATGAACTAAAACAGACCCTATACTTGGGTAGTTCAGATTCATCATTATCATATTCACAATCTTCCTTAATGTTATCAGCAATAACATCTATCAAGGACAAGAAACTGAGCTAAGCATTTTGAGTGCATTACTTCATTTTCTATTGAACTCCTATTTTATAGTTTTGCTAGACCAAGTGGAAGACAGCATCCTATGTCTTCTTTTGAATAAAATAAGGGAACCAAAATTAATTTTTCCATAAAATTTTCTGTGTTTTCTGACATCCTAGGAGAATATCTTTTTTACAAATATGTTTATTGCAAGTCAAATAATAATTTGTAATGGATTATTTGTAATGGATGTACATTACATCTGTTTATTGCAAGTCAAATAATAATTTGTAATGGATTATTTGTAATAGGTGTACATTACATCCAATCTAGTAATGGATGATTATTACTAGATTAATTTGTTAATTCAGTAGACATTTATTGGTTGCCTACTCTATACTCTAAGGTATGTAAGCACTGTAATGTTTGAAGGCTGTACCACTTGTAGTTTGTGTGTACCAATACAACCTGACGTTTCGTGGCTCAAAATAATGTCTATCTACTCCTAATTCTGTGAGTTGGCAAGATATGTAATCTTGTAAATTGTCAAGATATATAATATGTAAATTGTCCCAACTTGGGACAGTTAATTCCTGCTCCACATTGTGATGGCTGGACTCACATATGAATTTGGACTTCAGGTGGGCTGTCTGGGATGGCTGGAACAGCAGAGACCTTATACTACATGCTCTTGTGTTCTTCACGAAGCCATCTGAACTTTTTCACATAGTGGTGGGAAAGTTCCCAGCAGCAAGAAAAGGTAAGCCCGAATGGGCAAGCACATTTCAAGCCTCTGTTGCATCACATTTGCTGATGTTATACTGGCCAAAGTGAGTCACATGGTCAAGCTCATAGTCTATGTGTATGTGGTTAGGGGGAGTAGCAGCTACCCAATGGTCATGGATGCAGGAAAACATGATTCACTGGGGTGTTTACTATAATGATTTACCTCAAGTATGATTAGAATTTTAACTGAAGTTCATGTCTTAATCAAAAATTATATGACAAAGAACATTTATGTCTCACTATCCCTTTAAAATTATAAGCCTCAGTCATTTTTTTAGATCATGATAGCCCATGTGATGTATTTACTAGGTAGATTTAGTTTCAATGGGTAGCCAACCTGAACTCTTCAGGTAAAAGCAGTCTTCCATGAAAATGACTTCTAAGAATCTGCCCATTTTATCTGGGTGAATGGGTCTCCTCCAGTCCCTCAATGTGCTCCTTTGGAGAGCTCGCCTGAGAGGCAGTGAATTATTACTTCTGCAGAAGGATCAAGTGATGAACCTTCCATTCATATCTCACTGCCACGGGCAAAGAATTTCTTGACCTCTTTAGAAGCTGGAAGAAAGATGATGCCCCCTAGTACTTTGGACAGTTCAGCCTGCAAAAATAGAATTAATCATTACTTTTAGGTCAACTCCTGAAACCGCTCCTTTATCATCATCCATCTTTTCCTAGAAGAGATTTTAAATTCCACTTTGTTAAAGAAAGAATACTGTTGCTCCTTTTTGTAAGGAGAGGGATAAGAGTTTTGAGAGGGCATTTTTTGAGGGGGAGGGTGGAGAGATTTTTAAACACCCACAGGTATAGTCGTGAAGGTCCTAAGGTTGTGAGGATTCTCGTGTCTTCAGAAAATTATCACTTGTACAGACTGTAGTGGACATTTGTTACCAACAATTATTGTTCCTTTACTTCTTCCCTACAATTCCAGATTTACATGTGGGAATTTATGTATTTTCTGGAAAGCTGGTTCTATCCCTGGCTTCAGAGCAAGAGCCTGAGACTGCAATCAGACAATCAGTGAATTTTTTTCTTCTTGCCTTAGTTCAGATGTGGGCAGGTAACCTAATCTAGTATAATTGAATTGAATTTGTAGGAATACAGGGGAAATTTTATTTCCCTTCCTGCAAGATGAGGAGGAAAAAGCCATCTTTCTCAGGACCACAAAAGGGGCCAGCCCTAGGTGAAGAAACCAAACCACAGGCGGAGCAGCAAGATGGGAAGAGATCAGGTCCAAGGTGACATCAGTGAGCTGCTGAATCAAACTTTACCTGAAGCAACTTTTCAGTTATATGAACCAATGAATTCCCTTTAAAAAAATCTAGTTAGACTATATTATGTGTAATCTAAAGCATCACTTTACATTTGCAAGGTCCAGAAAAGTTATAAACAGAACTAATAAACTCTTAAATAAATCTTGGGTTGACAAATATACTTTCATAGTGAAAAGTTAAAAGCTATGTGCAAAACAGCAGTTCATAAGAAATAACTATGGATAGTACAAATTCAAATTAATTTCTCATTTGCCAAAGACCATGATTTTTTCCAGGAAGGCTCATTGATCATGGCCACTGGCCTTGGACAGGAGGAAAGGAGGGGAAGGAATTTCTCTTTGCTTGTAGACTAGCCCATGCTCACTCCCAGACCCTCCTGGCTTTCTCTTCCTCCTTATGGGGGTAAAGACCCCTTTAACCCTCTCAAGGATTGACTGCATGCTCATCTATCCTCCTTTGATCCACCACCTGACTACCTTGTAAAGGTCCCTGTTGCAGCTTCAGGATTTTTTTTTCACCTTCCCAGTGCTACTCAGGTTACCACTTACCATAAATTGCCATCACCATTGCTACTCCCACTGGTATTAATCTTTTAAGTTCCTCAAAGAAACCTGAAGCTGGAAGGTCAGGCTTTCACATCCCCTCCAATCTATTGTCCATAGCCTGTCCTCCTTATCTTTCCATATTTTCTCTGTCCTAAGGCAGAGTCTCGTGTGAAAGCATGCAGACACTCCAGCATGTAGGTCCCAGCTTTATTCACACATGTTGCAGCAGCTGCCCTTTCCTGTTCCTTAGGCCAAAGAGTATACAGAGTGGTGGTTTCACAGAAAGCTGGATCGAAGGAGAGGTCCAAGCAGGACCTGGAATTGGAATTAGGATCATTTGAGCAGGAGTTTCAGAGACCCTGTACCCACAGGCATTATATAGAAGAGGAAGCACAGACTCCCCTTGGCTCCTGTCTCTGTGGGAAGGCATGTGGTTGAGGAAGATGAGTGGCCCTCTAAAGCACAGGGGCAAGCACAGGGGAGCTTCTTTTCTCTTCTCTTTTCTCTCCTCTTTTCTCTCCTCTCTCCTCCCTTCTCCTCCCCTCTCCTCCCCTCTCCTCTTCTTCCCTCCCCTCCCCTCTCCTCCCCTCTCCTCTTCTCCCCTCCCCTCCCCTCCCCTCCCCTCCCCTCCCCTCCCCTCCCCTCCCCTCCCCTCCCCTCCCCTCCTCTTCTCTTCTCTTCTCTTCTCTTCTCTTCTCTTCTCTTCTCTTCTCTTCTCTTCTCTTCTCTTCTCTTCTCTTCCTTTTTTAAAGTTCCAGGGTACATGTACAGGATGTGCAGGTCTGTTACATAGGTAAAGGTGTGCCATGGTGGTTTGCTGCACCTATCAACCCGTCACCTAGGTATTAAGTCCAGCATGCATTAGCTCTTTTCCCTAATGTTCTCACTGCCCCCACCTCCACCACCCTCCTGGACAAGCCCCAGTGAGTGCTGTTCCCCTCCCTGTGTCCATATGTTCACATTGCTCAGCTCCCACTTATGAGAACCTGCAGAGTTTTGTTCTCAGGTCTTAGAGGAATGCTAGTTTTAAGGTAAAATTTTGTGCACTACTCTTTTCCCTGTTACTCCAGTTTCCTTTTCGTTGCCCCCAGTTGTCTTTTTCCTCTTTGTTTTACCTTAGCAGTGTTTTTTCCTTTCTCCATGTCCCCTTGTCATTACTCTACTTTCCCTGCTTTTTTATACACCACAGATGGCTGGCTGCATATTCTCTTCCTTTTGGCCTTGCCAATGTGGGATTTCTAAAACAATTGATCATGTTTCATAGCATGTTCATAATAATCATTAAAATATCACTTTCCTTTACTCTCCATTCTACATGTAGCTGAGATAAATGCTATTTAACCTATGCCCCAGGAATTCAATCTAATTGCAATGCAGAGGGAGACATATAGCAGGTGTTCATTGCTGTGTTGTGTGCAATGGTGGGGAGGTGGAAGCAGTTTGAAAGTCTCTTACTGGCAGAATAGACAGCCAAATTGTGGTGGGTACACACCAGGGGATGCTATGCATTGTTTAAAAGTCATAGAATAGGCTGGATGTGGTGGCTCACACCTGTAATCCCAGCACTTTGGGAGGCCGAGGTGGGTGGATCACCTGAGGTCAGTGTTGGAGACCCGCCTGGCCAACACAGAGAAACCCCATCTCTACTAAAAAAATACAGAAATTAGCTGGATGTGGTGCATGCCTATAATCCTAGCTACTTGGGAGGCTGAAACATGAGAATCACTTGAACCCAGGAGGTGGAGGTTGCAGTGAGCTGACATTGTGCCACTGCACTCCAGCCTGGGTGACAGAGTGAGACTCTGTCTCAAAAAAAAAAAAAATTCATAGAATAGGTATACATATATCAACATGTATGGTTGTATAAAAGCATGTTGATGCATGACAAAAATTGCAAATGCATTAATACTGCTTATGTAAATAAAATCTCATTATAAAAACAATTTATGTTTTATAAAAACAAGAACAATAGAGAAACCTCATATGGATTTATGATAATATGCAATAGACTATAGCCATAATTAATTGAACTCTCAGCACTTGAAATACAAAAAAGAACATATTCTGTGGATGAGAATCTTCATGAGGTCATTGAATTCTTATGGCCTCAGCCTACCAGCCAGGGATGATAACTACAGTTTCTTGCTGAGTTCTCCTGAGGACTCCTGTGCCCTTGATCCTTCTCTACACCCTGGGTAAA
Organism: Homo sapiens; assembly: GCF_000001405.40. Classification (NCBI taxonomy): domain Eukaryota; kingdom Metazoa; phylum Chordata; class Mammalia; order Primates; family Hominidae; genus Homo; species Homo sapiens. The sequence continues at coordinate 113,890,957 of NC_000005.10, forward strand.
GTCATAAGGGAAATGGGCAGGATTATACCCTGCTGACCAATCAACTAGCTCTTTCTTGAGGGCTCTGGGATGGCTTTGCCATCCTTGCCTAAAATACAAAGTCAACTTGTAGATCTCATTTCTGCAAAGTGTCGGGGCCTCAGGTCATTGGCCCAGAGAGTTCCTTTTCTCACTTACTGGTTTGAAAATGAAAATACAAGTTGCTTTGGGCTTCCTTTCTTCCTCTCTCTTTTTCACTTTAGCAGTTCCCACACTAAAATTAAATTAAAATGGAATGACAAATGGAACTAAAGTAGCAGACAACTGACATAGACCAGAGCTGAATTATGGTTTTGGTCAATAATTACCAAGGTTGGGTGGGTGAGAGTGTCCATTGAATTGTCAAGATAAAGACATTTCTATTTACTTCTTATCCTTAATTTTTAAATTTTCTGAATGTTTTATACTAAGGGTACAAGCTAAGGGATAGTTGGAGACTACTACTTTGAGATGACATTTGTTTTACTGAAACTTAGGATTTTGAAATAGTCATCAAGCACTGGTCTAGCATAGAAGAAAAACTCATAGTTTTCCACAAGCCGTTTGGGCATGATTTATACTTTTTTGGGAGGTTCGTGGGAAAGAGTTACCTACTTGCTCAAAAACATTTAATGATTTTGTTATTGTCTGACATGTCAACTCTTAGTCCCAGAACATTTTCCCTTGATTCTGTAACATTTCTCAACAAGGGTAGGGGGTGCTGTTGGAGCTTTGGGATGGATAATTCTCCCTAACATGGGACTTCCTAGGTATGGTAGGAGATTTCGCATCCCTGACCTTCACCCACAAAAAGTCAAGGGTGGTTACCCATTCACAGCCGTAACTCCAAATTCCCTTAAGCATTTCCTTAGGCCCCTGGAGAGGTCATTACCTTCCCCTTTAATAACAATTTATCCTGATGCTTTGCCTGCCTTTTCACAATCATCCATTCTTCCTGCACCTCTACTGTGATACCTTCCCTGACTGTACCAACCCACAAAGAGCTCTCCCTCCTATGAATGTCCAATATCATTTTCTTGGCACTAATATATTATCTTGTGGTATCTATCATATTGTTATTATATAATAAAATATGCACTATGATATAATGTGTATGTATTATATTCACATATTATGTTGTTATATGTTATCTATTAAGTTATTATTTAGTATATATATACTTTTTAAACTTTTATGTTTCTATATGTTTCTACTTTCCCAATTAATTTATAAGCTAGAATAACTGAGAGTTGGGGGAGGGGAAACAGAAGGCTTCCATGGTGTTTCCTGATCAATGCCTCCCTCTTAATGGCCTTCTAAAAAAGCTTAGATTCTAGGAAAGCTTGGAATAATTGGCCCCAAGCAATTTAGGAAGGACAGTCAAAATTTCACTGTGGATTGAAAACTTTACATTTAGGAACTTGAGTTTAGTTTTGAACAATTTTGATAGAGTGAACTTCAATAAATAATTGTTGGATAAATGAATTAAAAGTTGTAGCAACCAGCTAGTTTGGAATTTGATAAAAACAGCTTCCCTTCCTTGCTATGGTAATGGGAAAATTTCCATTTCTCCATGACAAGTAAATAAGAGTATTCTCTGCTATAATGTCTATTTTTTAACACTGAAAATCACCCAGGACTTTGGCAGCATTTTTACTAATACCAAAAGCTCTTTTTCCTAATTTGATAACTGAGGAAAAAGAAAGAGATAATTTAAATAAGTGTGGTTTCTTTTTTTTTCTTTCAGGAGCATCCTGGAGGAACTTGGCCTTGCTTTAAATGATCTTTCTACCACTTTATCCTTGTTACTTTGATTCTAACAGCCAATTAAATTTGTATGTGGAAAAAGTCTATGGAGAGCTTCTCCATAGAACAGAAATGCTAGGGAACATTTAATAAGTTGTCAGCACATAAATCATCAGAGATCAGGCCATGGCAGCTTGTTAAGCTTAAAGAAGAATCAGCAAGATTTACCGAGTAAAGAGACCCTCACACCTGTATTTGAGTTGATAAAAGTACGGCAACACAGGCCTAGGGTTCTGGTTCCAATTCCACCAGCCTCTGGGGTTGAGGTGACAGGCCAATGAGAGGGAGAAAGTGCCAGGTTGCTAGGAGGACCCAGTAATTTTCTGGGTTAGTTCCAAACAGTGAAGACATATCAAAAGTCATGTATTTTAAGAAGCTGGCCCTTGATACAGATAAAGTCTCTTTGTAGTGAACTCCACAATGCATTTAATTTGTTCTGTAAAAATAGATGCATCAATAGTAGAAATCATGCTAACAACCTGGGCCAACTGAGCTGAAACTGAACTGGCAGCAAAATTCTCTGCAGTGTGTGTATGGGTGCAAAATGGTTTGAATTCAGGAAGCAAGGTGGTGTCAGGTATGCTCCATTCCCAGTTCTGTCCTTTTCCAATCTGTCGCAGCCACACTGACTGCTTTGCTGTTTCTCAGTGTCCCAGCTATGCCTTTGCACTTTATATTTTCTCTGCCTTGATGTCATTTCCCCGGATAATCACATGGCTCACCCACTCGCTTCCTTCTGGTCTTTACTCAACACTTTTTCAGTGAGGCCATCCTGGGACACTCCATCTAAAATTGCCATTCTCTCTCCCATTACTCCCTATCCTTCTTCCCTGCTTTACTTGTCTCTTAAGCTCTTATGATTATTTAACAGATTATGTAATGTACTCATTAATCTTTTTTCTCCATCCTAGGTTCTAAAACACAGAATATTAGTTCTGTTAAGGGATGTTTTATCTGCTTTGTTCATTGCTATGTCCTCAGTACCTGGAGTTGGGCATGTAGTAAGTTCTTAATAAATACTAGTTGAAAGAGTTGAATGACTGGCCTCCTTAGGCCCGGGCAGCTTGACCGTGGCCCAGTTTTTGCTCCACAGGTCTGGAGCTCAGCCCCCACTCTCCAGTGACATCCCTTCACCAAGTCCATCTCCTGGGCTTTCTGCTCACCAGCCTTTCCTCTTTGAAGTAAGATGCATGCTCTTCGAGTCTTCAGCCTCTCTCACCTCTGTCTCAAGTCAGCACACAGCCTTTCAAAGAATTTTTGCTGCCAGTAACTATGTAGAAACAGATAGAGTTAGCTAAAATAACAAACAGTGGGGAAATTACCAGTTACAATGAATCTCACAAAGTACAATATTTTGTTTTCAGCAAAATTTAAAGGATCTAGGGTTGCATCTGGTTTTCTGTCTTCCTATATTTCCTAATTAAAAGAGTCTACAAAGGATCTTTGTCTTTTTAGCTGTATTGTCTTTCTACTTTCTTCTTGCCTGAAGTCCTCCAAAGTCAGCTTCCCATTATTCTCCATTCTGCACAGTCCCTGGAAAAGTCCTGATCATCTTGTTAGGTGAGAACACTAGGGGGAATCATCTCTGGGAAAACTCCAGCTGATGGTCTCCAGAGTGAAACCCACCTCCTCACCCCGCCCTTCTGCCTCATCTTGTCTGAGCCAGTGATTTGATTTTGAAGAATTTAGTTTACAAATGCACTCAAACTTATGGATGTGGCTGATTTCACAAGGATTTTTATGGCAGAGTTACTTGCAGTAGGAAAAATCTAGAAATAATCTAAATGTCCATCAGGAGGAACTTAATAAATTATGGTACATTACAGAATTCAGCAGGCCTGTTTAAAATGATTGGATACATTTTCAAGAAATATTTAAATATCTACTCTTGTATAGGTAGGGAATAGCTCTGGAAAGACAGCATGCTGGTTGGAGGGTGCTGAGGGGCTGTTAGTTCACTGTATACTTCTTTTATTCAGGTTTTCTTTTGTGTGCTTCAAGATCCTTTTGTAAATTTCTTAATAGTGGTTTGTACATGCTTTGTTGGGTTTACTTTTAAGTGCCTGACTTTTTTCTTCTATTGTGATTATTATTTTTTTCCTTTATCTTTTTGTATTGACACATTAGTATGTAAGAATGCATTGCATAAATTCGGTTGATCTTGAATTCAGTACCTTTGCTAAGCCCCATTCTTAGTTCCAATAGATTAATTCTAATGGAATACATGATTTTCTTATATCCAGATTCTCTTGAATTTTCTACATAGCCGATCATATTGTTTGTAAATGACAATTTAGTCTCTTGTTGTTCAATCGTTCTTTTTCTTTGCTACATATTTATTTTCTTTTCCATTCTTTGGTTGAATTAATCAAGTGTTCTATGTCCCCATTCCCATTCCCCTTTTTTTCCTTTGCTGGCTTGAAAATAGTTATCTCTAAGTTATTAACATGCATGCTTCATTATATAATTTCTAATATAATCTAAAGTTATTCTGCCACAAACAGTAGGAATTCAGAGGCAGTAGCAGAAGGAAGGGAACCTCCATCAAAGAGATAGGCTTTATAGAATAAAAGTAATTTGGCTTTTCCACATAGGTTCTTCAGCAGCATTTAGGAGAATCAAAGTCTCTACTCTGGGGGGAAGATATTGCTAAAAAGAGAACTGGTCAGTGTAAAAGTGCATCTGGACATACAGAAGGAAGCCAGAAAAACAAATAAAGCAACTAAGAGCTCAAATTCCATTTCCTCCAACTCTTCCAGCCACACTGGAATCCCCTTATTTCAATTCCTATTTCACTCAGGCTTACAGTTAAGCCCTTAATTGACTTCTCATTGTTTTTAATATATACATTTTTCTCTGGAGCTTCTTGAAATTAGGAAACCTGTTCTGAACCTCTGTAATGTTCAGGATACAAAATCAGAATCCGTGGAATCAGGCAGTGTATATCTTTCCTTTGAGAAGAGAACTGTGAAATGAAATCGTATGAGTCTTTTCTTATTTAGCTCCAGGTGGAAGCCAATTACAGATATTGAGGTTTGCAAGAAAAGCAATCACCTTGAGCCAAAATCACTGTGTATTCAGGTACTGTGCTTTAAGTTATCTTCATGTACTCTGATAAGAATGGTGAAGGTTAAAGGGTGTTTTTGACTTGGTGAGCTCAACTTGAATTGTATTAATTGATTAATTAGGCTGAAGAGGTCCTAGATAAGATTAAATTTGTCACTTATCAGAAGTTTGAGACTTTCTCCGTGGTGTTTTCCTGACATTCAATGCAAAGAACACTCTTAAGGTCAAACTGTTTTATTACAGCAACAAGGCTCTCTTAACTAGAGAATTGTAGCCCCTTAACCCCAAAGGTTGTCTTAAACCCAAAAGTTTGTAGAACATATTATAGAGCTTTACTTGAAATAATAAAATTTGTTTATTAGAAGGACTAGTATCATTTCATAAAACATAGATGTCATATTACACTTAAGCGGCAAATGAGCTCCCTCACTAGTTTTTTTTCTCTTTCCTTTCTTTATTCTCCTAATATATAAATATGTTCCATGAAAATCCGGGAGGAGAGAAATTAGTTCTGTTTGTTCTTCTCTCCTGCAGCTGCTAGTATTGAAATAAAGATGCCCCTGGCTGTTTCTGATCCAAATCCAACTCCAAGCTTTGTTTCTTCCAAATCCTCATGGTAGGCACATGGCAGGTGTTCAATTCATACCTGTTGATTGACTGAATTGAAATTGATTAACTCTCTTTAATACGGAACCTGGATACCGGCAGACATTTTCCTCTGGTGTTTTACATGAAAATGTGCCTGCCCCCTGCATTTGGAGTAATCATCACTGCTGGACACAAATTCTGAAGCATGTGGTGAGGATACAGTTTCTTGCTCCAGAATGTACACTGGGTAAGGTTCCATGGTTCTAATTAAACTCTCTTTCTTAAGTTTAAATTAAAGTGAATTAAATGCAAGGTAGTGACAAGCATTGAGGAGTTAATACCTTACGGGCTTTTTTTGTTGTTTTTAACGTGAAGTTTTAGACAATGATCTTATGAAAAAGAATGTCACTGAAACAGAGGCGGTTGCCACCTCTGCTCTTCAGATTCTTGTTTGTTTCCTTCGGGGTGACATTTGGTGTGGCTCAGAGTCATTGCTGTCAGCAGGATCCTCCAGGCAGCAGGGTATTGTTTGACTTGTTTGTCCACAAGCTATCCTATGCCCCCCTCAGACTGACAGCAAATATACTTCTAGCTGAATAACAAGTGGGGGGCAGGTGACAGGCTGACATTCTTCAGAATTTCTACAGTAACCAGTCAAGCTGCTGTGCCTTGGGCTCTGTTCAACCTGGAGCAAAACATTTAAGAAGACTACAGAAGCCCAGATCCTGGTCCAAATGTATCAGAAAAGCTTGATTTTAGGGCAGGCAGGCAGTTTAAAGATTCTGCCCCAAAGAAGTTGCTTTTGTGAATTGTGTATACAACAGTAGCCAATGTCCACTACCGAAATGGAAATGTGAAGAAATCAATTTGTTTCTGTTTAGAAAATCTCGTCTTTAGATTTTTAAAATTAAGCTGGGAAATAAAAGGTATACTTATTTTTTCAAGCACTAGATTGAATTAGAGGGTTAGGTTATAAACCTAAGGAAAGATAATTCATTGATTTGGAGGGAATTAAATAGAATTTATCAATTCCTTAAAATCATCTATGAAATCATTATATGAATCATAGATATGATTACTCATATATATGGTTTTGATGGAAGAGGGATGGATAAAGAAGGCACCAGGTGAAGGGAGTGTGCCACTGGTTAAGGGAGGAGCAGCTGGTGATTAACGACACCTGCCTTACGCTGCAGCCTGGGAATGCATTTGACCCTCAAGCAACATGGGTTTGAATGGCATGGGTCCACTTATACATGGATCTTTTTCAATAAATACAGTTGGCTGATGTGGAATACTGGCAGATTTTACATCTGCAAACAAACATGTATTGAAAATACAGTATTTCTCGTATGCAAATCCTGTGTATATGGAAGGCCAAATTTTTTATTCACAGTTTCTTTAGGGCCGACTGCCAGGACTTGAATATGCATCGGTTGCGGTATCTGCAGAGGGGAGAGCGTGTCCTGGAACCAACCCCTGGCAGATACTGAGGGATGACTGTGCTATCCATCACATGGGAGGTGACTAGCCTGTGTCTCTTCCATTTCTTGGTGTTCTTTGTAAATTTTGGGTGGAGAGACTATGCAGCAAGAAGGCTCTGAGAGGTTCTTGGCAGGCTGATGGAGGATCAGAGGGGCCCCAGGAGAGGCCCCACAAGAGAAAGAAAGGGAAAATCATTGGCAACATCATGTATCCAGCAGAACTTCTTTGGAGTGAACAATAGTTTTTGTTTTGTTTTGTTTTGTTTCAGTTTTCTTTTTGTAAAATGGGTTTGTTTAAACAATACAGCCAGGCACACTGGCTTGCACCTGTAATCCCAGCTACTTGGGAGGCTGAGGTAGGAAGACAGCTTGAACCCAGGGATTTGAGACCTGACTGGGTGACATAGTGAGAGTCCACCTCTACTAATAAAAAAAAAAAAAAAAGAAAAAAAGAAAAAAAATTTTAAGCAATCCAGAAAAGAGAAAAACTTTTTAAAAAAACTCTTTTAAAAGTCTTATCCAGATAAAAGCCCTGTTTATCATTTTAAAGGATGGGAGATATTAAAGCATGTTTATCTGCTGGGACTTATCCAGTTGAGGAGAAGAAATTGATGATTCAAGAAAGGGGCAATCTTTAGAACTTTGCCCTTGAGTAGGATGTGATCTAGTGTACAGCTGGAAGAGCTTGCTTGAGATAGGAGTGTGGCCAGTTTATCTGTAGAGGCAGGAAGTGTACTAGTCAGGGTCATGCTTATTAGATGCTGTAAAATAATCAATAGTTTATGTTTTGCCCATTTCACAGCCCAGTGGTCTTCAGGCAGCTCTCCTGGGCAGCACCCCTCCAAGTGGTGATTCCAGAACTAGGGCTTCTTCCATGGTATGCAGCTTCCATCCTGGAATCTTTGACTTCCAACCAAGGGAAGGGATAGAGAAACTCAAGAATCTCGAGGGAGATTTTAGGGGCCAGTTGTAAAAACCCTTGTGTTACTTTCCCTCACCTTCCTTTGGTTAATTTTAATGCCCTAACCCAAAGACAAGAAAGGCTGACAAATGCAGTTTTCCTGGGTGCTCAGAGAGGAAAGAGATAATTAATGGCCTTTAGCCAGCTTCTGTCACAGGAAGGAAGGCAGAACACATGGACGCAAATAATCTTTCATTAGTAGATATAGTTGTGGGAACATGTGGAAGTTCCCTTTATTTCTTAGATAAATGGGAAGCAAGGAGTGGAGAGGCAGGAGAGGTAAAGGTCTGAGAAAAGAAGGAATGGTGTAAAATGGTTACCTAAGAGGATGGAGAATAAACAGCTCAGGGAAGTGTAGTAGAATATCTCTGAGGGAACGGTAGTCAGGCACTGGGGGATTGGCTTATGGTTGCTGTTGATCAGTGGGGCCAATGGTGGAGAGACAGATGAAAACTGAAGCCTCCCAAGTACATATACACCTGTCTGTCACTCTGTCTGACAGATATGACCTTCAGAAAGTACTGCTCACTGCTGAATTTCTGCTTCCTAATTATCACACAAGTTCCTTTTTTGACCAACTCTAACCCAAAGCCCATGGGAGAGGAATTCTGGGAAATGTACTTCCTGGCCTTAGTCAAGGTAACAACAAAGCACAATCCAATATACTTGACTCTGTTTTTCACCAAAGCACCTTTCACTACCTGAAATATTATACATTTACTTTCTTTTTTAAAAAATGTTTATTATAGAATTTAACTTTATGAAGATAGCAATTTGCTTTGTCTTCTGCTGTTATCCCAAGCACTAAGAACAATGTCTGGCATATAAAGTATTTGTTGAATGAATGAATGAATGAGGTTTTTGGATATCCTTCTAGATGCCTTTCTATGTATATATACGCACATAACACATACACATAGATATAGGAATAAAATTTTACAAAATAAAATTATACTCTATACTTACAGCTCTGTAATATTTTTGTTTTTTCACTTATTGTAAAGTCATAGACATCTTAGTATTAACAATAACCACTGATCACTGTCACATTTAAAAATTGTTATAAAGAATTCCTTCATTTATGTAGCAAGCTAATTAGTTAATTACTAATGCAACTGTTAATAATCACATTACTGCAATTAATTGTTCCCTGACTGGTAAACATTGTGCTAGTCTGGCTGTAGATTAATAAGGCAGGCATGATGAAAATGATAGAATGGTCTTGATTGAATTGTTTAAAATAAAACCAACACAGTATGACTTTTTCTTCAACATGATCTCAGATTCATTAATCTATGTGAACATGGCTTGGGCTTTTCCCTAGCCATCTAGGGAGAGTGCTCCTCTAGGGGTAACTTTGAGTTAGGGATGAGGGTGGATAGAATATGAGATATATGCCCCATAAGGTCTTTATTAAATGCTAGACTAGACAGATAAGATGGGATGACTTGTACTTACTGAGTGATATGGTCTAAGCCTCATGAGACTGAAAACTTGATGTGCTCAAACCCATAAAACCTCAGATTCCTATGTGCTTTATTCCTACAAATTTTCTTCATTCCCCCACTAAAAGGATATGAGAGGAATGAAACAATAAGAGATGGAGCTTATGTATGGTCTAAGTGTTTTAGAATAATCACTTGGAGCCCAGTTATACACAGGCTTAAATTGAGGAATTGATTATATAAGTGAGCTTACGGAGGAAACAGGCACAGTGCTCTGAATTTGAGAAGAGAAAGGGCAGAATCTCTATATTTATTATCAATACATCATGGACATCCCTCAAAATCGAGAATTTACAACCTCTACAGTGCATCCAAACCACCTATACCTCACCATAGACCAATTAAATCCAATGTCTGGGAAGGGAGCCCAGACACTGGCCTTTGCAAAATCTAAATAGAGAGAGCATGAAATTCACAAGTGGATGCATTTCTTCAATCTCAATCTGTGCTTTGAGTCAGAGAGTCTAGGGGCTGTGACTGCATGAGACAGGGGAGAGTTGGTTTTGAAATACGCAGTCAGATGGTGTCAGTGGCAGCTATAGCAGAAACCTGGCCAGAGCCTCATCATCAGTCACTAGTCAGGACCGGGGGTTGTTCTCACCTGACAAAGCTGAAGCCTGGAGGTTGAATTATGGAGAACAGGTTCCCACAGTGTGGTGTGCCTCTGGGCTGATTTTGGCCACCACTCACCTTGGCTTCGGTGATTCAGTCTCAGCTTACATGCTCTGCTTTCTGCACAGATGGCATCTGAGGCTTCAATTTGCAAACATTTCTAGCATATAATACATTATGTGGAGAGTACTTATTCCCTAGATGGAAGCCACTGACAGATCTTGTAATGAATTTACAGAAATATTAATATTTGCATGTTCTTCATATAAATATTGCCCTAAGGGTTTGTTTCATTTTGTTTTCCCTATTTGGGAAAAATATAGTGATATACAGTTTGAACCCATTTTAATAAAAAACTGAGATTATGAAAGTTAAAAACAATACTTAGTATGTTCATGAAAAAGACATGGAATGAAACATGCCAGTTGTTAACATTTGGCATCTTTGGGTGGGAAGTAAGGGTGAGATGGGAGAGGAGTAATTAGTTAAATTTTTTTGAATTGTGTTAATAGTCATGAAGAACAGATTCATTCTGTAATTTTATATTGTGAAAAAGGTTTTAACAATATAAAATTAAAGAGATTTCAATCTCTTGTGTTCAGTGCAAAACCTAAGTGAAAGGAGGGCTTCTTAAAGAAATTATGGAATCTTGCCACCTAAGTCACTCCAAAACCAGTGTTTGTTCATTCATTCCTTCATTCATTCAGCATCTATTAACTGAGTCACTCTCAGGTCCAGGTACTGTCCTGGCCTTGTTCTAGGTGCTGGTACAGCAGCACAAAGTGCAAAGTCTCTGCTTTCTTTTGTGGATGAGACAGATATTAAATAAATAATACTGGCTGGTAGTAAGTAGTAGCAATGAAGAAAGCTAAAGCAGAGTATAGGGACAGGGAAGGGGAATGTTGGTCAGTGCTGACGTCACTGAGAAGGCAACATTTCACTAGGTATTTTAATCAGGCAAAAGACCCAACCATGAAAGACTAGGGAAATGAAGTTCCAGGCAAAGGGAACAACATGTTCAAAGACTAGCAAGAAGGCAGGGTGGCTCAAAAGGAGAGGAGGGAGAGAAGGTCAGGAACTAGTCATGGTCCAGATGATAGAGGTCTGATTGTCTGGTGGTGAAAACTTGGGGTTTTATTCTGAAGGTAATGAGGGTCAGTTGTTGAGGCTTATAAGCAGAGAAGCAACATCATATGATTTACATTTTAAAGGGATTACTCCATATGTTGTGTGAATAGACCAGTTTGGGAAAAAAAGTAGAAGTCGGGTCAAATAGTAGTCTATTTTATTAGTCCAGACAAAAGACTCTAGGAGAACATTGACCTCTTAACTTTTTCTCCAATACTGCTGTTGCTTTTGTACTATTCTTTGTTGCCCTTGGACAAGAGGAAGACAAATCCAAAGGGAAGCCCCTCTGAGACCATAGGGGTGGACTGAATTGAAGGTATTGCAACTGAAATAGGTTGCCTAAAAGTCTGAGCCACTTGATCATGTAATTTATTCTTGCCTTTTGGACCTGCTCACGCCGGCTCACAATTAACTGTGTTACTTGTACCATGGAATGCTGCTGACCTTTTGACTCACTACCTCAGATAACATGAAGCTTACAATGGGAAGCTCAAGTTGTACAGCTAATGGTGTCCAGTGCTCTGTCACTGAGTCTCTGTTGGGGTCTGTTAGCTTTTCAGATGCTCTTTTTTGAATGGTGAATAGATCTCTGCTGTAAGGGCATGTCTGTGCTCTACAGTCCCAAGGTTTTATACTGCAACTATGCTACTGGGGCTTACCAGAGAGTATATAGTAACTCCATCAACCATAGGTATCTCTAAGACATTCATTTCTGTTGGATTATACAGTCCAAGAGTATAGAGCTGCTGTGTCGCAGCTTAGATCTGTTGCAGAATGTTCTTTTGATTTGGACTCTATAAGAAACTGATAGCCTATAGTCACCTGATCAATAAGTGGGAGCAGTTTTTCCAAGTTCAGCATATATTACCTCCCAAACCGTGAGCCTCAGTGCCATGCCTTTTTTTTTAATGGTAGGAGGCATAAGGTATGAAAATTTGTATTTTACTTTGTAGAGAATTCCCCAGGCCATGGAACCCTGAAAACTTTGCTGATGTGACAGTTTTCTGATGTAAGGTTTGTTGCCACTTCTCTGGCACGCATCTGTCTTAGAAGAGCATCTTGGGTACTTGTTACTTTCTGCTGTCAAGTCCAATTAGCATGATGTTGTCCATATAGTAAGCCAGCATGATGTATTGCCATGGATGGCTGTCAGGATGATTGAATTCCTTAAGGACTATACTTTGGAGGAGAATGGGAGAGTAAATATAGCCTTGAGCTAAGAAAGGGATTGTGGAGTGCTTTTCTGGCAGTATAGAGTTGATCTTCATACTTTTGGGGGATTAGATATGGACATCTTTAGGGGCAACATTATTCTACCTTTCACAACCTTAATCCAGAGGCTTCCTGCTAAGAGCATTCCATAGATAAGGACTCATTTACTCCCAGCAAATATTATTAGTCTGTCTACCAGGGAGAGGGTCAGCAACATGATTCTAAGCAGATTAGTCTGAGCCACTTGCCCTCTTTCCCTTTGGTGACTGGGAGAGAAATAGAGAATAGGGCAGGTCCCTTAACTCCTTCTTCCCTAGATCAATTAGCTTTACTTCATAGCAACCAGAAACTGTGGCTTAGTCATCATTTGTGGCATCTAACATCTTTTTATTACTTTCATTACTTCCATTCTATATGTGTCTGTTATATTTATTAACCTATCTGTCAGCTCTCCATTTATCCAGCCATCCCTTCATCCATTCATACATCTACATGAATTTACTCCTGTAAATTGTTTAGGACAAAAACCTTAGCTCAAATACTAAGCATAAATTATTCGTAAACCTGAGGAAATATCAACTGTAAAGACAGTGAGGACATAGTGCAGAGAAGATGAACAGGGAGAAGAGAGAGGTCAAGAACTCCTCCTGGGAGGAACTATGAAAGCTGGGACTGACAGCTTCTTGGCCATTACTTTGTAAGTCAAAATGCGCCTCAGGGAGGGGATGAAAGTGAGCCACCCAAGAAGGAGAGGTGCTCACCTCAGAATTCTCTGAGGAGCACACCCACTCCTCTACCACATTCCTATGGGCATGGAGAATCACTATTTGTAAGTCTCTAACTGATCATTTAAGAACCACTGAAACTGCGCTTTGCATTCTCTTTTTCTTTGTCTTTTTTTTTATTATTGCTGTTTTTTTTCAAGTTAAATATAGACGTCAGTGAGATGAAACAATCAACCTTTCTAGAAGCCTTTTCTCTACATTTTATTTTTGTTCTTTTGCCAATTTTCTTTGAGAAAAAACACTGTTTATTACCAAATAAATAATTTAAAAATTCAGTAAGGAATTTTGAAACAAAAACACTACATATTGGTTCCAATCTCCTTTAAAAGTTAATTTTAATTATGGAATATTTCAGACATACTGAAAAGTCAAAAAAAGTACATACCATATATCCATCACTAAGATTAAACAGATGTCAGACTGTTTCTGTATTTACTTCGTTTCTCTCTTTTATTTTTACTTTTTTGGAAATAAAGCATTACAGATGGATTGAAAACCTAATCTTATTTCCCTTTCTTCTCTTACTCTAGAAGTTTGTTTTTTTCTTTCTCACGCATGTGTTAATAATTTTATCATACATGTATGTATTCATGAATACTATCCTTTGGTTGCTTGCTTGCTTTCTGTATCTCATATCATGTTTTTGAAGTCTGTTCATGTTAACTCCTGCATCTGGCTTTTAAATTTTTATAGCTATATATTATAGAGTTTCAGTGTACACCTGAATTAGTTCCTTTGTTCTCTGGTTGACAGATGTTTAGATTTTTTCAGTTTTTTCTCCTATAAACAGTAGTGTGATGAACATAAATAGCCTCTTTCTTTGTGAATATTTGTGAAAAATTTCCTAATATAGACAATAGAAGTAGAATTTCTGGTTATTGTGGATCATTATACATACATTCGACTTTGCTCGATATTCTCCAATTCCTCTTCAAGGGGTTTCACCAATTTACACTCCATCCACAGAATAAAAGCATTCTTCTTATGAATCTGGTTATGGTGTAGTTTGTACTAATCCAGGTACAATGGTGAAATTGGCCAGATTTGTTAGCAGTCGCCACTTTTTGGGGAATTCTCGTTTCCTAGGCATCTCTACTTTTAAAGTGCCCAAAACATTCTGGGGATGATCTTTAAAAATTTCCTACTTTTAAAATATCAATCACTGGGTTTGCTTGACATTTCAATATTTTACTACTCTGATGGATGCAAATTGTATTTCATTTTGCTATTTTCATTCATTTTAATAGTTGCATAGGGCTTTTAATGCATAGAATTTCTCTATTAGTGAGGTTATTCTCTTTTAATACATTCGTTAGCCTTTTGGATTTTGTCTTCTGTGATTTCTCAGTTCTTATCCATTATACATTTTTCTCTTGGATCGTATTTATTATTAATGCCTTCTTACAGTCTGTGACTTGCCTTTTTGCTTTGTTTATTGTATTAACGTTTTAAATTTTAATGTTGTCAAATTAATAATTTTCTCTTATAGTTTTGACTTGTCTTTTATTTAAGAAATTAATTTTTACCCCGAAGTCATAAATATATTCTCCAGAATCTTAAAGATTAGCTTTTTATGTTTAGAACATTATGTGGAGTTAATTTTTATGCATAAGCTGGAGATCTACTTTTGTCTTTTGCTACATGGATTGCCAAAATCTTCAGCAACATTTATTGAATAGTGTATTTTTTTGCCATTTGATTTATAAATACCTACTCTCTCATGTACCATCTCCCATATGTATGTGGGCTCTCTGAGCCAATATCACATTGCTTAAATTAGTATATAGTCTCATAGTAAGTTGATATCTATAAAAAAATCCTCCTTTATTCTTTTTCTTAAAAATAGTCTGGGCATTCTTGGCCTACTGAGTGAGTTTGAGGATCTATTTGTCAAGTCTCCTTAAAAACTTTATTGCGATTTTGATTGAAATCATATTGAATATGTTAATAGATTTCCTAATTTTAGGTGACCCTTAAATTCTTGGGACAATCTTTGTTTCATCACATTGTATTATTATTTTTAGGTATTGCTGTATTCAATTCGCTAATGTTTCAGGTAGAATTTTTACTTGTGTCTTCACAAATAACGTTGCCTTTCTTTTTCTTTATTGTTCTTGCCTGATTTCTGTATTAAAGTAATAGCAGTCTCATTAAATGGGTTACAGAGATCATCCTCTTATTCTATTGTCTAGAACAGGGGTTGGCAAATTATGGCCAGCTCACCAAATCTGGTGTATTGACTATTTTGGTAAATAAAATTTTGTTGGAGGACAGTAATACCCATTTGTCTGTATACTGTCTATGGCTGCGTTTGTGCTACCACACAGAATTGCATGAACAATTGTATGTCCTATATGTGAAAACAAAGAAAATGGAGTAAACCCCAAATAAGTAGAAGGAACACAATAAAGTTGGCTTAAACTTTCAACAGCTTTCAACTGTTTCTGTAACTTAGTAGATTTTGCTTATAAAATTATCTGGTCCTAGTGTATGTATGTGTGTTGAGTAGATTTTTAACTGCAGTTTCAATTTGTTATGGTTTTATATCTGTTAGATATTCCATTTATCCTTGAAAGTATGGCTTTCAAAGTTGAAAGCCAAATAAAGCTAAATGATGTTGAAAGCCAAAGTTGATAAAATGCCAAAGAAAGAAAAAATAGCGAAAAGTAACAGAGTCAAATGCTACTGCTTGGAAAATATTAATTAAAAAAATTAACCCCTAGCAAGATCAAACACAAAAATTGGGGAAAAAGTAACATCACTAAAAATGGAAAATGGAACATAATTAATCCTACAGTCCAGGGATACGAAAATCACAATAGAATATAAATGATCGTATCCCAATCAAATTTTAAAACTTGGATAAAATAGACATTTTACTAAGAAAGTGAAGGTTACTGAAAGTATGTTTTGACTAAAGAATAAATAGAATATCTAATATCTAGTAGGTATAAAGTCATAACAAAATTGAAACTGTAGTTAAAAATCTACTCAACACTACATACATACACTAGGAACAGGTAATTTTGTGAGCAAGATCTCCCAAGTTTCAGAACAATTTTTTTTTTTTTTTAATGAGTTGGAGTCTCACTCTGTCACCCAGGCTGGAGTGCAGTGGCATGATCTCGGCTCACTGCAACCTCAGTATCCCAGGTTCAAGTGACTCTCCTGCCTCAGCCTCCCAAATAGCTGGGATTACAGGCACACGCCACCACACCTGACTGATTTTTTGTATTTTTAAAAATAGAGACAAGGTTTCACCGTGTTAGCCAGGATGGTGTTGATCTCCTGACCTCATGATCCTCCTGCCTTGGCCTCCCAAAGTGCTGGGATTACAGGTGTGAGCCACTGCACCTGGCCCCAGAAATAGTCTTATATAAAGCGTTATCATCTAGAGGTTGGTAAGCTGAGGCTATCATTGTCCTTTTTAAGATTATTAAATTCTAAGCTCAAAGCTTCTTGGACAGTATTGCTTGTATCAAATCAACTCCAAGCCTATGTGGGGCACAGCCTCAGGACTTCAACTTCTTATGGAGCCTTCCTCTTCTGTGCCCTACCAAAATTCAGGTTGAGATAGACTTATTGTCACTGCTCTGTGAGGGTGAGTAGATTCTTTCTAGTCCATCTTTTCACTGGGATTACAGGCCTTTCAAGAGGTGAATTCTAACACTCCACCTTGCTTAGGCTCAACGCTTATCTCTTGTCTCCCTTTTCTCTTGTTTCTGAGATATTCACCTTTCACCTCACTCAGAGCATCTGCTACATCACCTCAAACATATATTCTTTCTTTAGTTTTGGAAACTAGGAAATCACCACCATGAGTTGAATTGTGCCTCCCCAAACTCCGCAGTACATATGGTGAAGTCCTAATCCCCATTACCTCAGAATGGGATTGTATTTGGAGACAATGTCTTTAAAGAGATAACTATATAAAAGTGAGGTCATTAGGGTGGGCCCTGATTCAATGTGACTGGTGTCTTTATAAGAACAGGAAGTTTGGGCTGGGGGCAGTGGCTCATGCCTGTAATCCCAACACTTTGGGAGGCCGAGGCGGGCAGATCATGAGGTCAGATGGAGACCATCTTGGCCAACATGGTGAAACCCCGTCTCAACTAAAAATACAAAAATTAGCCAGTCGTGATGGTGCACACCTGTAATCTCAGCTACTCAGGAAGCTGAGGCAGGAGAATCGCTTGAACCTGGGAGGTGGAGGTTGCAGTGAGCAAAGATCGCACCACTGCACTCTAGCCTGGTGACAGAGTGAGACTCTGTCTCAAAAACAAAAACAAACAAACAAACCAAAAACAGGAAGTTTGGACACAGACATGTATAGAGGGAAGATGATGTGAAGACAGGGAGAAGATGGCCATCTACAAAATAAGGAGAGACCTCAGAAGAAACCATCCCTGCTGACACCTAGATCTTGGACTTCTAGACTCCAGAACTCTGACAGAGTAAATTTCTGTTGTTTAAGCCACTTGGTTGGTGGTATTTTGTTATAACAGCTCTAGCAAACTAATACAGCCACATTTTTTTTTCTTGTGAGGTCCATTTTATATTTAAAACCATATTTGATATATTCTACACAACATTTCTAACTGTTTGCAGCTAGAGGGTTTTCTGGTTAGCTGGAAAACATATTGTGGAAACCTAAGACTCAGACATATTTCAGACAGCCACATTGTGCCTTCTGGACTCTGCCAATCTTCATTAAAGGTATCACCTGGTGTTTAACCATGACTGCTAGACCAGAGATCAAGAGTCCCAGGTTTTTGTCACAACTTTTCATTAACTAGCTGAAAACTAATTAATTACTTCTTCTCAGCTTCAGGGATCTCATCTATAAAAGAGTGGCTTTCAGCTGGGCACGGTGGCTCATGCCTGTAATCCTAGCACTTTGGGAGGCCAAGGCGGGGGGGCGGGGGCAAATCACCTGAGGTCAGGAGTTCGAGACCAGCCTGGCCAACATGGCGAAACCCTGTCTCTACTAAAAATACAAAAATTAGCCAGGCATGGTGGCACATGCCTGTAATCCCAGCTACTTGGGAGGCTGAGTTGGACCTGGGAGGCAGAGGTTGCAGTGAGCCGAGATTGCATCACTGCCCTCCAGCCTGGGTGACAGAGAGACTCTGCCTCTTCAGGGCCCCCTCAGGAGCTGCAGAGATGTGAATGAGGTGAAGGCCATGCTGGTGGGTTCTGCACCCCCTGCCCACTTCAAGAAGCAGCCCCTTTTGTGTCTTTGCAATCTGAAAAATCTCTCATGTGGATGAAGCCTTGTGGGACTAAAACAACCTTAAACACACTTTTTAAAGACAATGTCTCAAGTTTCTGTACCATTGTCGTAGCTTGTTATTTTCCATCAGTGGCCTAAGGCCCCACCTTGCTCAGCTACCCCTCCTAGTGTGTTCCACCGTCTCTAGATAAAACAGAGAGAACCACACCCCTGCAGCCAAGGGATCTGGGGGTCTTTTCAGGAGTTGGTGGCAGAGCCTGACCCAGGACAGGAGCCTCCTGGTCTTCCACCCTGTCTTCTCAAGACAGGGCTTTGTCACAGCAGGGCATACACATGTGTGGGGCCATTATCTGTATGACATTTGTGAGCATAATACCCTGAACTTGCACAGAGCTTTTTTGTAAACTGTGGAAAGAATTACACTTACACTGATTCATTTAAAACACTGTCTGCCGTTTTGTCCTGTTACTTTCCTCCCATTTTCCTGCACTTGTGTCAGCTGACAGGACACCTGTCAACTGTTTAAGGGGTTGCTGTGAGAAAAATGCTGTCTGAGTACACTCAGGGAAGGGAGACTGCATAATAACACGTGATGGGCAGTCACCGTAGTCCGTATGTTTCTCATCACATCTGCAGCCATGACGTCTGCAAAGGACACTCATCACGCACCAAGGCCCAATCTGTAGCCCTTCTGTGTCCCTGAGCCCTGGGAGGCCCCTGTGGATCAGTATCTGACAGAGGTACAGGTGCAGACAGCCTGAAAGAAGCAAATTCTTATTTTACTGGATTTCCTCAGAACAAAGCCTTTTGGTATTTGCACAGTATCAAAAAAAAAAAAAAATCTCATGGGCCTCTTTTCAGTTTTGAACATAAAAAAAAAAAAAAAAAAAAAACCTAGTCTCTTTCCTTTAATACCAGCCTCAATCTCCTTTTAATTACCCTAATTTCTTCTTCAATAAATGCTCAGCACCTAATCGCCTTTGGCAATTTTCTCCTGGAGAGTTTCCTGTAATTTTTGCTTTCCTGCAGTTGTTTCACAATAGTTAGGGGGAAATGGTCCCTTATTTCTTTGTAGTGACATGGAGTTTGCCTCTCTCTATCAGAATACCAGGACCTGGTAAGAGTTTTGTCTAGGCCAGGCACAGTGGCTCACGCCTGTAATCCCAGCACTTTGGGAGCCTGAGGCGGGTGGATCAGGAGGTTGAGACCATCCTGGCTAACACAGTGAAACCCTGTCTCTACTAAAAATAAACAAAAATTAGCCAGCCATGGTGGTGGGTGCCTGTAGTCCCAGCTACTTGGGAGGCTGAGGCAGGAGAATGGCGTGAACCTGGGAGGCGGGGCTTGCAGTAAGCTGAGATCGTGCCACTGCACTCTAGCCTGGGCAACAAAGCGAGACAACATCTCAAAAAAAAAAAAGAGTTTTGTCTAATATTTTATATATATATAGCCTGATACATTTATGCCATGAGTTTACCTGGAGTCAGACTGCTGGATAACCATTACTTCATGCCTTATATCTACTCACCATTCATAGACATCACTTTTAAATGATTTTCCCCTTATTAAGAATCTGAATTAACTCAATAAGGTTCAGGAGTATCAAATAAAAATGTTTTGCATTTATTTCTAAATGTTTTTTAAATAATCTTTTCTGGAGTCTATGAAAACACAAGTAACATTAGCAATCATAGTCTTTATGGCATATTTCTTACGCTTTTTGGTAAAAGCACCTGAATTTTCATTTTGGGACCCATCTCTCCCCTATTCTCAATTCAGGTGGTTTAGGTGGAGTTGACTCTATCCTTGGCTGCAGAGGTGGAGAGAGAGCTCAGAAAAGGCCAGTGAGTGTGTTCTTTCTCCCTGGCCTCACCAGTTAGCTCAAAGATAGCTGCAAGATTCTTGCTCTAATTAAGAGAGAAATTTCTTCTCATACCTGAGTGTGAACCTGCGAGAATATAGCATCGAAGCTGCTAGCAGCCATCTTGCCACAAGTTCGAGCCTGCCAATGAAGCCAATGTAGAGTAGAGCTGAGCCAAGAAATGGGAAGAGACCAGGTCCTTGTGATAGATCAAACTCTGCCAGTTGTACTCCTGGACTTTTTAGTTACACAAGACAAGAAACAACTCTCCTCCTTCCCTCCCCGACACACACACACACACACACACACACACACACACACACACACTCTCTCACTGTATTGCTTTGTTAAGCCATTTCAATTTGAGTTTTCCCCGCCTGCAACTGCAAGATTCTAACCTCATCATTTGATAGACAAGGAAAGTCAAACTCAGAGAGAAGAAGTGACTTGGTCAAGAACATTGAGTGTGTAGATTGGTGAAAGAACCAGGACTAGAATCCAGGTCCTGACTCCGACCATAGTTTTTACCATGGTCTTAGCTGAGTGCACGTGTAAGTGGTTTTGGAAGCCAAAATAGATTGGAGACACTGGTAGAGGAATGGTGATAATTTAGTATATGGTTGGGGAACATTAAAAACGAGTTGTGAAAGTAACTATCAACTTATTAGGATGCTGAAGTCAAAATAGTGTTTTAGAAATAGATAAATAATCATCTAGATAAATCAGACTTGCACTAAAAATAGAACTGTAAGTACAAAGATAGTGGAAAAATACACAGGTTAGTTAATTCCAGCAGGTGTAGATATAAGTAAGAGAGTGTGATGATTAATACTGAGGTACAACTTGATTGGATTGAAGGATGCAAAGTATTGATCCCCTGGGTGTGTCTGTGAGGTTGCTGCCAAAGGAGATTAACATTTGAGTAAGTGTGCTGGGGAAGGCAGACCCACAGTTAATCTGGTGGGCACAGTCTAATCAGCTGCCAGCAAATGTAAAGGAGGCAGAATAAGCCTGAAGGAGCTAGACAGGCCTAATCTCCCAGCCTACATCTTTCTCCCCTGCTGGATGCTTCCTGCCATCAGACATCAGACTCCAAGTTCTTCAGTTTTTAGACTGAGACTGGCTTTCCTTGCTCCTCAGGCTTGCAGACAGCCTATTGTGGGTCTTTGTGATCATGTAAGGTAATACTTAATAAACTCCCCTTTATCTATCTATCTATCTATCTATCTATCTATCTATCTATCTATCTATCTATCTACCTATCCTATTAGTTCTGTTCCTCTAGAGAACCCTGACTAATACAGAGAGTAAGCATCTTGTTCTTTGCAACATATAAAACACAGGAAGCATAACATTTGCACATTTGGAAGTAGACTAGCTAGCATTATGATTGTCACCAAAGAAGTACTGCTGAATGCCAAATATGATCACAGAATTAGAAACACTGAAGAACCATCCCTCCCTAACAACCCTCCTCTCCCCAGTCTAACACACACACACACACACATACACCTGTACTAACACACATACAAGGAAGAAGAGATTATTTTTCAAGGGTACTCACTGGAAACCTGAATAGACTAAAAAGAGAAAACAAAGAAAGGAGATGGGGTTAATTCTATTTAAACATATAAACACCAACTATATAGAATTTATAAATTAAGCTAATTCTAAAAGTATAAAATATGTTTTATTATTCTACCTTGCTATGCAGGTAGAGTTAGGTTCAGAGTTAGAATTCTCACACTTTTAGGAGTTCCATGTCAGAATATAGCACCATAGGCCCCTAATCCCTGGGCCCTGGCTCCCTGGCTCCAGCATCCCTCACCTTGCCGCTCAGCCTGTGGCACATGCACCTTGCTATCTCATCCCCAGCTCTGTCTTACCTCAGGAGGGTCCTCTCACACACATGTGAACACCCAGCCTGTGTATCTAAGCTCTGTTTTCTAAACCCCTAGAAAGAGCCACCCTTGAACTGCCACTTGGACCTAGGGGAGTGCATCTGAAGGCATGGTTTCTCCTTAAAGTGACAGACCTGAGGAAGAAGTCTATGTAGTCCCTGGAAGCAGGTTGGGGGAGAAGTATTTCTGGATCTAGTACAAGAGGAATGTGGTCTAGAAGGAAGGAGGGCTCAGGCCTGGGGGTACCTCCCCTTGGCCCACAGTGTCTTAGTTCAGAGGAGAGGGACTTGACCAGAGTGTGGAGTCCCTCTTGCCTAAGCCTTAGGGTGGTGATGGCTTTGCCTCCTCTACTCCTCCACTACCTGTTTTTGCAAGTATTTGGTTCTTAGGGCAATAGGGAGCATTTAGCACTTGCCAACTGAAATTGTGGCAGTACCGACAGCCTGCTGTTATAACTGAACCTCTCTCCTATTTTTAAGGGCAACAAAAGGATATACTGGGATTGCAAGGGAGAGTGATATCTCTGATGCTTTCTGCTGCTTTTTGTTTGCTACAATCTCTTCTCCTTCTAAAATAGATATTTGTGGTTAAATCACTGGACTGGACACATCCTTCCAAGGTCTCCTTACTCTAACAGTGCCTCACCTAACTACCCCGAACATTGACTTCTTTTGGCTGCTCATCCTCACCTTGGAACTATTTTCTCACCCTTCCCTCATGCTCACCTCTCTGGTCTGCATTTTCTGTGGCCTTTGACTTCCTTTTGGCTGCTTTTGGAATAACCTTTGGATTGCAGCGGTAGCTGTGTTTTTCTTTGGATTGCATGCACTTCTACACTGTTCCACCACCTTATCATGCTCAGAGAATGATACTGGATATCACCCTGCAGTCCCCTGACTCCCACCCATGTCTGCCCTGGAAACCCCTACCCAGGTCCACTTTTCTAATTAGCCTTTAGCTTGGTTCAGTCTTCTTACTGGAGCATAAAATATGGATTTACAGATACAGACACATATGCACATAGAAAAGACATTAGGAGTCTTCTCCAAGACTATGTAAGCATTCTTTGGCCCAAATCTTATATTTGATAGAAGAGGATGTGATCCCCATTGAGACTGTGGTCACACAGTCCACTGGTGACATGGCTGGGACTGGTACCCAGGCCTTCTGAACCTTACTTCATGGTTCTTCCCATTCTGCCACAGAGACTCCCATCGTCCTATAGCAGATTTTCCCTCCGCTGCCACCTATATCATTACTGGAACTAACAAGGTATAAGAAAGCCCCTTTTAAGCACAGTATTTCTCTTTTTATTTTCTCTTAGCTCAGGTTTCTCCTATTCTATGTTTATCCTCATAGTATCTTCTAGTCTATGCATACTAAAACAGATCTGTGATTTGCTTCATATTTGATTCTCTTTCTTCTCAATTCCAACCTTCTGAGAACAAAAATATATAACTTAAAAATTTTAAATTTCAGAAGCTAGTCTGTGAGTCTAGGATGGACAACTTGGAGGGAAACCTAAGGTTTTCACTTCTCGGCCTCAGAAATTGGAAACATGGTGAAAAAGGTGAATAGATGTTTATTCCTCTAGGTCATTCACTGACAATTAATGCTAAGATCATCTAAGGCTAAGAATATTATTTGTGTACCTTTACCCAACATTGCAACACATACCAACACATATGTCCACACGCACACACATGAACTCAATAGAAATGACTTATAATCTTTTATTGAACAATCAAATCCTCTTTGCAAAGTAACATGTGTTCCAGGACTAGGAGCAATTCATAGCACACAGATAATAGTTTCTAATGAAATTCAATTCCTCCATGTGTGTTTACATGTTACAGTATTGGAAAGAGCACATGAAAACATCCTTAGTATTCAATGATTTTAATATGTAACTTCTTCAGATCAACCAATCAGAAAATAATGTTATCTTTGCTTCCTACATGGCTCAATTATAGTTGTTCACATTCCATGGACTTTATGAGATTTTTTTTCTGACCTTATGGGACTTACAGCCTGGTTCACTCATATCTCTGTGTCCTTTTCAGATACATAATAAGTATTGAACAAATAAAACCAGTAAACAAACACATGATAAATTCAACTAATAAACCTAGTAAATGAATCAGATGAACTATTTACAGCCAACGTTGTATATCAGTTGCTAAACTCATTAGTGAAGCAGTCAATGTAAACAGAATTAACGTAGTTTCCAAATTTAGATAGAGTGAGAATGGAAGAATTAAGACAGGCTAATTTTTTCTTTTATATTGTATAATTCTGAGAAAATTGGTTGAAAAACTGATGATCCTTATTTCAAAGCTTCTTGGTTACATTTGTGTAACCAAGACATAATTTGTATCTTGGTAGAATTTGATTAACTATCAGAAACATGAATGGATATGAAATCTGTCCTTGATATGGCATCTGTTTACTAGTAAATCTTTATGTTCTGCTGCTCTTACCAAAAGGAATCCTGCTATTTACTGTGCACCTGTGTTTTACATATATGTTTAAATTTAATCATCACAATGGCCCTACTGGGGGTCAGGGTAATTACTATTTTCATCTTTGATATATGGAAACTTCACTTTGGGTGGTTCAATTAGGCTGTGTTGGGTCACAGAACTAAAAGGTGCTAAAGGTCAGACTTGGAACTTGATCTGTCTTACTGCCAAGTGCATGCTTCATGCCAGTGCTACCTCTCTAAAAGGATGAAGTGAGTGATACCTTTAGGCAATAGTCTTATAACACTTCATTTACTTAACTTCCCTGTCAATAATTCAATTTCACTATAGAATCCTCTGTTGAGCCTTCCTTTGAAAAGAGAAAAAAAACCTGGGTATAAATTAGGTGTAATATTTCCTCTTCAGATAGCGTTCAAGTTCCTGGAAATGTTCTTTATACCAAAAAGTTTTCAGTAAAACCCACCTTTTGGAATGCTGAAGCTTTCTGAAAGGTCCACAGTAAAAAAAGAGATATTTAATAAAAATTTAATAAAAAGAGTCTTTAATAAAGACTCTGTCCTGAATTATTGGTCAAACAGTGACGCTTACATGCCTAACAATAAATATAGCTAATAATATTAATGATAATTATACCAGGCATCATACTTGGCATTTTATATGATAATAGCCATAGCAGCATTGTTTGAATACTTATTAGGTGAAGGATGCTATATTTTGCATAAATTATCTCCCATTCTGTTTTTTTTATAACTTTCTATGAGGTAGAAATGTTGTCTTCATTTTACATATGAAAAACTGATCTTCAGAGAGGTTAACTTGTCTAAGATCACATAGCTAGTTAGTAGCAGAGCCTAGTATTGATTTTCTGACTAAGTAGGTGATTTTTCTGAACTTGAACATAACAACTAGTAGACTGTGATTGTCTCCCAAAAGGGAATAGTCTTGTTGAATATTCTTTACTAGAGTGAAAGCTCATGGAATTAGTTCCCTCCCATATAGTTTCTTGGTTTTTTGTTTGTTTGTTTGTTTTGAGATGGAGTCTCGCTCTGTCACCCACGCTGGAGTGCAGTGGCCCAATGTCAGCTCACTGCAACCTCTGCCTCCTGGGTTCAAGTGATTCTTTTGCCTTAGCCTCCTGTGTTGCTGGGATTACAGGCTCACAACACCATACCCAGCTATTTTTTGTATTTTTTTCAGTAGAGATGGGGTTTCACCATGTTGGCAAGGCTGGTCTCAAACTCCTGACCTCAAGTGATCTGCCCACCTCTGCCTCCCAAAGTGCAGGGATTACAGATGTGAGCCACTGTGCCCGGCCCCTCCCGTATGGTTTCTGAACATGCTTCCTATGTGAAAAGCTCTATGCCTGCAAAGGACTTTGGAGGATATAGTCAGACACTGACTTCACTTTGGAAGAGATTGCAGCCTGCACAGCAGAGAATGGACAAGCACACCAGAGCCATTTTTCAATGTAGACAGGACTGTGTAGGGGACTGAGACAGATGCAATGGGAGTCCAAAGAAGGGTCTTACTCAACTTTGTATCTCTGTATTGGTCTGTTTCCATACTGCTATAAGGAACTACCTGAGAGTAGGTAATTTATGAAGAAAAGAGTTTTAATTGAATCACAGTTCCACTGGTTTGTACAGGAAGCATAGCTGGGAGGCCTCAGGAAACTTACAATCATGGCAGAAGGTGAAGGAGAGGTGAGCGTGTTCTTCATATGGCACTAGGAGTGAGCAGGGAAGTGTCAAAAAAAATTTTTTTTTTTTGATGGAGTCTCGCTCTGTCGCCCAGGGTGGAGTGCAGTGGCGCGATCTCGGCTCACTGCAACCTCCGCCTTCTGGGTTCAAGCAGTTCTCTGCCTCAGCCTTCTGAGTAGCTGGGATTACAGGTGCCCACCACCACCCCTGGCTAATTTTTTGTATTTTTAGTAGAGATGGAGTTTCACCATCTTGGCCAGGCTGGTCTTGAACTCCTGACCTCATGATCCATCTGCCTCGGGATTACAGGCATGAGCCACCACGCCCGGTCAGAAGTGTCATACACTTTCATACCATCAGATCTCATGAGAACTCACTAACATGAGAACAGCATGGGGGAAATCCGCCCTCATGATACAATCACCTCCCGCTAGGTCCCTCCCCCAACATTGAGAATTCTAATTCAGCATGAGATATGGTGGGGGCACAAAGCCAAACTCTATCAATCTCTCACCAGTATTTAGCAAAAAGAGAATTTTAAATATTTTTTGATGAGTAAAACGAAGTGGCAAAAGCTGCAAAAACTAGTATAAGATTCTTATTTTTCTGGATAAATGAAAGAATGCCAAAAGCTATCCAAACCAGTTTTCTTAAAACTAAAAAAAAAAAAAAAAAAAAAAAAAAAAAAGAGTGATTCTAAAAAAAGAAGGACAGGAAAAATAACTTAAAAAAGGAAGGAGAGAGGGATATAGAATGGCGAGGAAGGGCAATGGAGATAACAGCAATTGACTGCAGTTTTAGAAGCAACAAAGATAACAGAAAACAGTTAATGCTTATTTGCTTTCTGAAGAAAATATCTCAGTTGCTCTCTGAATGGCCTACTTTTCTGTGAACAGTAGGTGGAAGCCTCGTGTTTCCTTAAGTTACTCTAAAGCTTGACTGTAGCCTTTGAGAAAAGGCCAGGCTGTTTGGGAACTGGAAACTGTAGATTTTCACAAATTGCCCTACAATAGCCATTACTACTTTCTTTTTCCATTCAAGTAACAAGTATCCACTTAATTATACATAATTTTGTTCTCAATCCCCTATATTTCTAACGATTTTAAGAATGGTGATAAAGAGAGAATGAAGTTGAGTCTTCAGCTCTCTGCCCTAAGTTCTGGGAGAGGTAGGTAAAGACCATGTTGTAGCAGGTAAAGTTATCTTTCCACTTGGAATTTGAATTGACACAATTAAACCCACACATATGTGCATACATGTGTGTAAAATATATCTAAAATCTCTGTATATTTAACTCTCTATATCTACTTTATATACCAGGAGTTCCCAAGGCTTATTGATTTCTAGTTCCATAACACCCAAGTTACTACTATAAATTGTTTTGTCTATTTTTTCATAAAAAATTTCCATTTCTAAAAGCTAGAATTTTACACACTTCTCTGTACAAAAACTGCTTGCTAGTGATGTTCAGAAGATGGAAGATGGCCAGTCCCTATAATAGTTTCAGTGATGGATGTTTGCTCTTTGACTATGTATTTTATTGTGTTCTGCCTTGATTTCACATTGAAAAAAATTATTTTGTTGTTTAACTCTTTGCTGATATTAGCAGCATTTTCATGATGTGGCATTATTATTTGTGTTCCAAGATCTCTATATTGTGGTTAGTTTGGATGAGGGTGAGTGAATTTTCAAGTCCTTACCAGTTAAATCCCATTTTACCCTTTAAATACAAGTAGGGCAGCATGAAGGCAAATCTATAACGGTGTGGGCCCTGGAGCTTATAAAGATTGGCTCCCATTTTTAAGCAAATGTGTACAGAAATACCTTAATTTTGTAATTTACTAGAGCATATAATCATAAGAACATATTACAAAGGGTCTTCACTCTCAGAAGGGCTGGTGGAAGTGAGAACATAAGCTTCCTTAGCTTCATGGTTAAATTTGCCTCTGGTTAGCACTTATCACACTATCTTCAAAATACTTCTTTATATTTCTGTTGTTCTCACTTAACTCCACATCCTCAGGGCCAGAGGTCACGTCTTTTTAATCGGTGTATATCTAAGATGCATTTAAAAATGCTCATTAAACCCTTCAGATTGGTTTAATGAGGATTTTTTAAAGGCATCTTAGATATACACCAGGAAGAGGCAGTCTTGATATTCTCACACCTTGGCCTGCAGAAATAGGTCAAAGATCTTCAGTAATGTGAAGGAATCCTCACTCGTTAATCTCATGGCATTTCTTTCCTGACAACTTGAGTCATGATCTTTCACTGTGAGGCTTCGGGAGTAAACTTAACAGTGATTATTGTCATAGCAATAGTTAACAATAATGCAGAAGTCAATTGTAAGGATGCTTTCAGAGTAATTGTTATACATATAAAGAATAACTATGTCACTGGGCTTTTAGTTGACCTATGCTGATGAAACGGTTAGGAGGAGTAGAAAAGAAAGAAAAGAAGGACATTGTGAAGCAGGATCACTGTGCACTGGTTACCAACTTGTCTAAGCCCAGTGAGACAGAAAATACCCATGCACACAACAAATTGCATGAAATAGGTTTATTGCTTACAGATAGGCAGCAAGGGATAATGGAATCCTGGGATTTATTGCAAGCAGGTCTCAGGAAAGCTGCCTGGAGTGGATGGAGTCCCGAATGTGCATGCCTCACTTGCACCACAGATGAGGGACCCAGAAAGCAGCTCCCTCTGCATTTCATAGCCCAGGGTGATGTGACACATTGTGCTAAAATGTTAAAGGATAGCCTGTTTGTTCTAGGAGGGAATGGAACAGAGCACAGGCTGTTCCAGCCAGTCCCCACCATCTCAGGATGCTACATTCCCAGCACATTCTACAGTTCTTCTTGAGAAGTGCAAACGCGAAGTCCAGTGGGAGAGCAGGATTTGACTAAGGCCACTTGGAGAATTTTCCTGCAGAAGTGATTTACAAAGAGCGAGGTTTGCTTACATATAGGCACCTTTAACTAAAGTGAAAAACCCAATGGATCGCTAAAGACAAGAGCAACCATGTAGGTCAAAGCAGGTGTGCTGCAGCAGCTGCATATAAAGGGCTTCATTTTCCAGCATCTTTGGTAAGTTCATCTTACTTTCTGGGGGGTTAACCTAGGTCAAAAATCTGCAAAGTAAAAGAAATTTTTAACTTCAGAAAAATCATACTGGCTATATCCTGAGATTATAAGTACCCTAACCTTACCAGGTATACACATTTCTGCTCATTAATTTATCAATAAGTTATTGAGGGAAGCAGATGTGAGGCAAATCAAGAGCACTTGTCAACATTACTGAGCTATTTAAAAGAACTCTGAGAATGAAACTTCCTGAGAACATTTGGCAACACCATAGAAGGTGATGGGGTTCACAGAGCTTCTAGGTTCATGAATAAAAACCTACCTACGTGCTAGAAAAATGGTCTATCTCAAATCCATAGGGACAGAAGCTCCTGCATCCAGAATCCTTCCCACTCTTGCCCTAACTATCTCCCCATCTGGCTGTTAGTTTGTATCCTCGGTTCTGTGAGCCACTCTAGCCAATTAATGAATATGAGAAGGGGCTCATGGGAATCTCCAATTTGTAGGCAAGTCACACAGAAGTTGTGGGTAATGTGGGAACTTATTGTGATTGGAGTCTGAAGCAAGGGGCAGTCTTGTGGGATTAAGCTCTTAATCTCTGGGGTCTGTGCTAACTCTTGTTAGTGTCAGAATTGAACTGCATTGTAGGATCCCAACTGGTGTTGGAGAAAACTTGGTGGGAGAAAACAGCCTCACACATTTGGTGTCAGAAGTGAAATACTGAGGTTGTGTGAGAGATGAGGAAGGGAAAATGTTTTTATTGCACAGTTTGTTTAATTTCTTCCTATATAACAGTTAGGATCTATAACAGACTTTACAACCAATTAAACTCTAAAACATATCAGAATATATTTTGTTTCAAACTTTAACTAAAACTCAATTTTGCTGAGGAGCTTTTACAACATTTCAATATAAATACTTAATGGGAATCTTGCTCTTTATCCTTTATTGCAGAGTTAAGAATTCTTCCCTGAAATAAGGCCTTTCTGTTTACGATGATCATGGGTCTTTAGTACACACAGTAAAGCTTTTCAGTGTTGACCATAGAATACTAGAAAGTCATAATGCCTTCTTCAATAATGGATTGAATAGGCTGAAAGAACATAAGATTGATTGATTCTTTTTTTTTTTTTTTTTTTTTGAGACAGAGTCTTGCTCTTTCATCCAGCCTGGAGTGCAATGATGTGATCTCAGCTAACTACAACCTCCACCTCCCGGGTTCAAGCAATTCTCCCACCTCAGCCTTCAGAGTAGCTGGGATTATAGGCAAGCGCCACCACGTCTGGCTAATTTTTGTATTTTTGTAGAGATAAGGTTTTACCATGTTGGCCAGGCTGGTCTTGATGCGCCCGGCCTAAGATTGATTGGTTGTTAGTAACTTTACTGATTCTGTTTTAAATTGTCACCAACTAGCCCCCACAAATGCACATTTGGCTTTTTTGGCTTCTTTTTTTTTTTTCTTTTATACTGAGTCTCACTCTTGTCACCAAGGCTAGAATGCAGTGGTGCGATCTCAGCTCGCTGCAACCTCCGCCTCCTGGGTTCAAGGGATTCTCCTGCCTCAGCTTCCTCAGTAGCTGGGATTGCAGGCATCTGCCATCACACCCAGCTAATTTTTGTGCTTTTAGTAGAGACAGGGTTTTACCATGTTGGCCAGGCTGGTCTCGAACTCCTGACCTTAGGTGATCCACTTGTCTTAGCCTCCCAAAGTGCTGGGATTACAGGCGTGAGCCACCACGCCCGGCCACATTTGGCTTTTAAAACTCTGCTTGATTTTCCCATTTAACATTTATGAGAGAAATGAAAAATATACTAGATGAAGTGATCTTAAACTGTAAATACTCCTAAAGGCACGGGGTTAATAACTCTGTTTACTTGGGTATTTCTAATAAAGAAGACACATGCTCTCCTTCCAAATATAATTGTTATCTAATTGTGAGAGGTAAAATGCTGGGAAGAGCTCTATGCAGGAAACTCCTAACTCAGCACGTCTGGGTTGCCCAAAATCTGCACAATCCAAAGGAATGCATATCATTAGGACTGGCTCTTGGCCAGTATCTGGGATATGACCTTTAAGCCCTTGGAATATTCTGCCTGATAAGCATGTTTCCGTGTGCTGAGTCCTGGGTCATGTGATACCAGTTTGATCAGGTGAGTTATGCTCACAACATGATTAATGGTGGACACATATTTTTGCTCTGAGAGGCTTGAGTCAGAATAGCTGAGGTCAATCATGCAGGTGCTGCATGTCTATATAACTCACTCCCAGTAAAAAACATGGTCACCACAGCTTTAGTAAGATTTCGTGGTTGATAACACTTCACAAGGGTTGTCACAGGTAAGGGAGGAAAGACTTTCATTATACCCTATTAGGGTCTGTGTCTGGGTCTGAGAATTAAACTTATAGAAGACACATTAACAAGAGAAGCTTACAATTTTTTTGATGTTAATATTTTTATGTGTACATAGAGGCCTTCATATAAAAGAAATGAAAATTCAAAGAAGCGGATAGGCCTGGGAGCTTATATGCCATTTTATCAAAGAGCAATAAATTGTGGAGATGTGTAAATGAGGTTGAGCAAGAGGTGATAAATTGTGGGAAGGTGGCTAGGAAAACTAATGGAAATTATGGGGAAAACTAATGGAAGTTAAGGGTTAATTTAGTAGGTTTGTTTGTATACATTCATATCGGTATTGATTCCCCATCTCTCGTGATAGGGAGGACACATTTCTCATGGAAAATTTATGCACCGCTTTCAGGTATAAAGGGTGAGGCCACAGAGTCCTTCCTGAAGGAAATTGTTTAGCTTCTTCAAAATAATCAATATGGCTAAATGGCATATTTTGAGATGGCATAGTCTGATCCTCTTTATACACATTGTTGCTCATAGAATTGTGTTCACGTCAGTCCTTGGGAGGTGGCTGGCAAGATGGCTGAATAGGGAGAGCTCTGATCTGCAGCTCCTGGCGAGATGAACGCAGAAGGAGGGTGATTTCTGCATTTCCAACTGAGGTACCCAGCTCATCTCATTGGGACTGATTAGACAGTGGGTGCAGCCTACGGAGGGCGAGCCAAAGCAGGGTGGGGCATCGCCTTACCCGGGAAGTGCAAGGGGTCAGGGAAATCCCTCCCCGAGCCAACGGAAGCCATGAGGGACCATGCCTTGAGGAATGGTGCATTCCGGCCCAGTTACTATGGTCTTCCCAAAGTCTTCACAATCCGCAGACCAGGAGATTCCCTCGGGTACCTATACCACCAGGGCCCTGGGTTTCAAGCACAAAACTGGGCAGCCATTTGGACAGACACCAAGTTAGCTGCATGAGTTTTTTCTCATACCCCAGTGGTGCCTGGAATGCCAGTGAGACAGAACCATTCACTCCTCTGAAAAGGGGCCTGAAGCCAGGAGGTCAAATGGTCTAGCTCAGTGAATCCCACCCCCATGGAGCCCAGCAAGCTAAGATCAATTGGCTTGAAATTCTTGCTGCCAGCACAGCAGTCTGAAGTCAACCTGGGATGCTTGAGCTTGGTTAGGGGAGGGGTGTCTGCCATTACTGGGGCTTGAGTACGTGGTTTTACCCTCACAGTGTAAACAAAGCCACTGGGAAGTTTGAACTGGGCAGAGCCCACCACAGCTCTGCAAAGCCACTGTGGCCAGACTACCTCTCCAGATTCCTCCTCTCTGGGCAGAGCATCTCTGAAAGAAAGGCTGCAGCCCCAATAAGGGGCTTATAGATAAAATTCCCATCTCCCTGGGACAGAGCACCTGGGGGAAGGGGCGGCTGTGAGTGCAGCTTCAGCAAACTTAAACTTTCTTGCCTGCCAGCTCTGCAGAGAGCAGCAAATCTCCCAGCAGAGTGCCTGAACTCTGCTAAGGGACAGACTGCCTCCTCAAGTGAGGCCCTGACTCCCGTGCCTCCTGACTGGGAGATAACTCGAAGCAGGGGTCGACAGACACCTCATACAGGAGAGCTCTGGCTGGCATCTGGTGGGTGCCCCTCTGGTTTGAAGCTTCCAGAGGAAGGAACAGGCAGCAATCTTTGTTGTTCTGCAGCCTCTGCTGGTGATACCCAGGCAAACAGGGTCTGGAGCGGACTTCCAGCAAACTCCAGCAGACCTGCAGTAGAGTGGCCTGACTGTTAGAAGGGAAACTAACGAACAGAAAGGAATAGCATTAACATAAACAAAAAAAAATGTCCACACAAACACCCAATCCGAAGGTCACCAACATCAAAGACTAAAGGTAGATAAATCAACAAAGATGAGGAAAAACCAGTGCAAAAAGGCTGAAAATTCCAAAAACCAGAAAGCCTCTTCTCCTCCAAAGGATTACAACTCCTCACCAGCAAGGGAACAAAACTGGAAGGGGAATGAGTTTGACGAATTGACAGGAGTAGGCTTCAGAAGGTGGGTAATAACAAATTCCTCCAAGCTAAAGGAGCATGTTCTAACCCAATGCAAGGAAGCTAAGAACCTTGAGAAAAGATTAGATGAATTGCTAACTAGAATAACCAGTTTAGAGAAGAATATAAATGACCTGATGGAGCTGAGAAACACAGCATGAGAACTTCATGAAGCATACAGAAGGATCAATAGCCAAATCGATCAAGTGGAAGAAAGGATATCAGAGATTGAAGATCAACTTAATGAAGTAAAGCACGAAGAAAAGATTAGAGAAAAAAGAATGAAAAGGAATGAACAAAGCCTCCAAGAATTATGGGACTATGTGAAAAGACCAAATCTACATTTTCCCTACGATTGCCTATTTAATGAATGGTGTTGGGAAAACTGGTAGCCATATGCAGAAAGCTGAACCTGCATCCCTTCCTTACACCTTATACAAAAATTAACTCAAGATGGATTAAAGACTTAAATGTAAGACCTGAAACCATAAAAACCCTAGAAGAAAACCTAGGCAATACCATTCAGGACATAGGCATGCACAAAGAATTCATGACTAAAACACCAAAAGCAATGGCAACAAAAGCCAAAATTGACAAATGGGATCTAATTAAACTAAAGAGCTACTGCACAGCAAAAGAAACTATCATCAGAGTGAACAGAGAACCTACAGAATGGGAGAAAATTTTTGCAATCTATGATCTGACAAAGAGCTAATATCCAGAATCTACAAGGAACTTAAACAAATTTACGAGAAAAAATCAAACAGCCCCATCAGAAAGTAGACGAAGGATATGAACAGACACTTCTGAAAAGAAGACATTTATGCAGCCAACAAACATATATAAAAAAAAAGCTCATCATCACTGGTCATTAGAGAAATACAAATCAAAACCACAATGAGATACCATCTCACACCAGTTAGAATGGTGATCATTAAAAAGTCAGGAAACAACAGATGCTGGAGAGGAGGTGGAGAAACAGGAATGCTTCTATACTGTTGGTGGGAGTGTAAATTAGTTCAAACATTGTGGAAGACAGTGTGGTGATTCCTCAAGGATCTAGAACTAGAAATACCATTTGACCCAGCAATCCCATTCTACGATAAAGACACATGCCCATGTATGTTTATTGTGTCACTATTCACAATAGCAAAGACTTGGAACCAATTCAAATGTCCACCAATCATAGACTGGATAAAGAAAATGTGGCACATATACACCATGGAATACTTTGCAGCCATAAAAAAGGATGAGTTTGGGCTAGGCGCGGTGGCTCATGGCTGTAATCCCAACACTCTGGTATGACAAGGCAGGCTGATCACGAGGTCAGGAGTTTGAGACCACCCTGACCAACATGGTGAAACCCCGTCTGTACTAAAAATACAAAAATTAGCTGGGTGTGGTGATGTGCACCTGTAATCCCAACTACTCAGTAGGCTGAGGGAGGAGAATCACTTGAACCTGGGAGGCAGAGGTTGCAGTGAGCTGAGGTTGTATCAGTGCTCTCCAGCCTGGATGACAGAGTGAGAGTCCATCTCAAAAACAACCAACCAACCAACCAACGAACCAACCACCAAACAAACAAACAAACAAAAAAGAGTGTGTCCTTTGCAGGGACATGGATGAAGCTGGAAACCATTATTTTCAGCAAACTAACACAGGAACAGAAAACCAAACACCGCATGTTCTCACTCATAAGTGGGAGTTGAACAATGAGAACACATGGACACAGGGAGGGGAACATCACACACTGGGGCCTGTCGGGGGGTGGGGGGCTAGAGGAGGGCTAGCATGAAATACCTAATATAGATGACAGGTTGATGGGTACAGCAAACCACCATGGCATGTGTAAACCTATGTTACAAACCTGCATGTCCTGCACATGTATCCCGAACTTAAAGTGCAATAAAGAAAAAGAGGAGCTCAAAAAAAATGACATTTTGATTAGTCTTTAAATAAAGAAACATTAAAAAATGAATTGTGTTCATGTAACTCTCTAGGAGTGAAGGAGAGTGTGTCACACATTGCTGTATGGAGAATTGAGGCTGTCCTTCTGGAAGAGGACATATGGAAAATTGTGCCTGGTTTCTTATGGACATTGCTGCTTGTTCCTTTCCCTTGGCTAACTTTCAATCTGTATCTGTTTGCTGTAATAACCCAAAACCATGAGTATAACAGCATTTCTGAGTCCTGTTGTCTTTATAGCTAGTCATTGAGTCGAGGGTAGTCTTGTGGATCCCTGATAAATGTTCTAAAATTTAAAACAACACTAGAGTTTTGATCACATGTTGGTTGTCAGAAAAAAAATGTCAAAAAATTTACCAGGGCTTTTTGAAATGCCTAGATTTTCCATTTCTCAATGAAACTTGTTTGATCATGACTATTCCAGCTAATGGAGCAGTGTGATGTAGAGGAAGGAGCCACTGAGGGTATGTGGGGTGTTAGACTGGATCATCATTCTTCAAGGCGTGTTCCTTGGAATGCCTGGGAGGAGAGCAATTTTCTATTAAAATTTAATTCGCCTCCTTCCAAATATGGTTCCCTGGACGATTTAGCAAATAGCATTCCTTTTTTGGAGATTCAAAAAGCACATTAGCATTGAGGATTGCTACAGTAAAGAAATCTGCCTAACTTTGTTTTATCCAGTATTGCCTAAAATTATTGGACCACTGAAAACTCTCCATTTTGCTATTATTAAAAGAAAAGCAAACCCCTAACAACTTTTAACTACTCCTAGAAATAGTGTTCCATAAAAAAAATACTTTGGGAAAACTTGAACTTGATTTCTAAGACACCCTGCTGCTCTCACCCTTTATAATTTTTGAATTAAATTAACTTTAGGAAATAATCTATTCATACATAGTAATGTGTTTGACTCTGTACAGAAGAGGTCAAATAAAAGTGCATTTACTTTTTTTAAGACTTAAAGATATTAACAGAAAAATAACTAATATATGTGACAGCATTTACAACTAATGGCTGGTAATTATAGGCAGAAAAATAAATTCAGGTAATAAGCAAGATATTTGCAACATGTGCACAATTAGCAGGCAATGGGTTATTCTAGATAAGAAAGAATGAGAGAGTTCTAGTTGGATGTGTGGGGTGTCAGAGGAAATATTGAAAGTTAAGTGGGAGAGCCAGTGTAAGTGAGGAAACTGTGAGGGGTGATTAGGAAGTATCTTAAAGCAAAAATTCAACATTTATATTTTGTACTTTAAGAAGATGGTATGGTAGCCTTTGAAGTGAGATGTGAGGGCATTGCATTGGGCAAGAAGTATTTGAATCTGAGTAAAAATGTGTAGTGCTTAAAGAGGTAACTCAAAGGGGAAAATGTAATATTTCATTTAGGACCATCCTGTCCTGAGCTGGAAAATTAATTGTGGTTATAGAGGAAGAGATGGATGTGCACACGATGGGACAGATTGTGTGCGAAAAATCATTGATGAGGAGGAGTCAGAGATGACCAGGAGAGATCCACTGGGAAAAGACCCCACATTTCCTGATGTCAGCCAAGAGCCACCCTTTGAAGCAGGCCCTTCTAAACGAGTGCCATGTGCTACTAGCCTAACTTTTCCTGCAGAGGGTGTATAGGAGGTTATTTTCAATGCAGCTATCTGAGAGGAGAAAGTATGATGGAGTAAAACTAGAGTGATTCAAAGGGATGGGAGAGAAAGAGAGAGAGAGAAGACAAAGAAGGCAATTTTCTATTAAAATTTAATGGGGTGGCTGATGCTATTTGGCTGATTTTTAAAACTAGCAGCCCTTGATAGTTATGGAAGTTTTTTCTTATACCTTTTATAGTACAAGCCATGCACAAAGAGAGAATAAAAATAAAATTAGGCACTCTGAACATAGGAAACTTTGATTTCCTAGGAGTTCTCTGCTTTTAGAAGTATTTTTGAGGGGGTCATTTCCCTAGTACTGAGTAATTTTGGACTGGTTATCTGCCAAAATCAATTTTCTAGCTACTGTACTTCCGTAGTTACCTTTGCCAGACAGAAATAATTACCAGTTGCATTATACTTCCCAGCTTTTTTCCCTCTCTACTGAACACGTATGCCCTGTTATTTTTTCATGTCTATTGCCTGCTAGATTTAAGTTCTCTTGGGGCAAGGATTATGTCTGTCATTTTCATATTTTTGCCAGCACTTTGTAGCACAGTGTCCAACAATCAAAGGTATATTTAAACAGTGAGTTGAATGAAATTAAGACTGTTATATTGTGTATATTTTATAAAAATTAAAAATTCAATTCTTTATTATTATAGCAACCCAAAAGTTATTCAGTTTTCAATTTTTCCTTATAAGCCATTAGTATGTTTAACATCTGACAGAATTTTATGCATGGACAGGAATAGTTGCTATCACTAAGTTTATTAAAAATATTTTTCTTAATATTTAAACAATATTTAAACTCTAATCCATTTACACTCCCTAACTTTATTTATTTTATTTGTTTATTTTTTATTATTATACTTTAAGTTTTAGGGTACATGTGCACAATGTGCAGGTTTGTTACATATGCATATATGTGCCATGTTGGTATGCTGCATCCATTAACTCGTCATTTAACATTAGGTATATCTCCTAATGTTATCCCTCCCCCCTCCCTCCACCCCCCAACATTCCCCGGTGTATGATGTTCCCCTTCCTGTGTCCATGTGTTCTCATTGTTCAATTCCCACCTATGAGTGAGAACATGCGGTGTTTGGTTTTTTGTCCTTGCAATAGTTTACTGAGAATGATAGTTTCCAGCTTCATCCATGTCCCTACAAAGGACATGAACTCATCATTTTTTATGGCTGCATAGTATTCCATGGTGTATATGTGCCACATTTTCTTAATCCAGTCTATCATTGTTGGACATTTGGGTTGGTTCCAAGTCTTTGCTATTGTGAATAGTGCCGCCATAAACATATGTGTGCATGTGTCTTTATAGCAGCATGATTTATAATCCTTTGGGTATATACCCAGTAATGGGATGGCTAGGTCAAATGGTATTTCTAGTCCTAGAACGCTGAGGAATCACCACACCGACTTCCACAATGGTTGAACTAGTTTACAGTCCCACCAAAAGTGTAAAAGTGTTCCTATTTCTCCACATCCTCTCCAGCACCTATTGTTTCCTGACTTTTTAATGATTGCCATTCTAACTGGTGTGAGATGGTATCTCATTGTGGTTTTGATTTGCATTTGTCTGATGGCCAGTGATGATGAGCATTTTTTCATGTGTTTTTTGGCTGCATAAATGTCTTTTGAGAAGTGTCTGTTCATATCCTTCACCCACTTTTTGATGGGGTTGTTTGTTTTTTTCTTGCAAATTTGTTTGAGTTCATTGTAGATTCTGGATATTAGCCCTTTGTCAGATGAGTAGGTTGCAAAAATTTTCTCCCATTCTGTAGGTTGCCTGTTCACTCTGATGGTAGTTTCTTTTGCTGTGCAGAAGCTCTTTAGTTTAATTAGATCCCATTTGTCAATTTTGGCTTTTGTTGCCATTGCTTTTGGTGTTTTAGACATGAAGCCCTTGCCCATGCCTATGTCCTGAATGGTATTGCCTAGGTTTTCTTCTAGGGTTTTTATGGTTTTAGGTCTAACATTTAAGTCTTTAATCCATCTTGAATTAAGTTTTGTATAAGGTGTAAGGAAGGGATCCAGTTTCAGCTTTCTACATATGGCTAGCCAGTTTTCCCAGCACCGTTTATTAAATAGGGAATCCTTTCCCCATTGCTTGTTTTTCTCAGGTTTCTCAAAGATCAGATAGTTGTAGATATGCGGCATTATTTCTGAGGGCTCTGTTCTGTTCCCTTGGTCTATATCTGTGTTTTGGTACCAGTACCATGCTGTTTTGGTTACTGTAGCCTTGTAGTATAGTTTGAAGTCAGGTAGCGTGATGCCTCCAGCTTTGTTCTTTTGGCTTAGGATTGAATTGGCAATGCAGGCTCTTTTTTGGTTCCATATGAAGTTTAAAGTAGTTTTTTCCAATTCTGTGAAGAAAGTCATTGGTAGCTTGATGGGGATGGCATTGAATCTATAAATTACCTTGGGCAGTATGGCCATTTTCACGATATTGATTCTTCCTACCCATGAGCATGGAATGTTCTTCCATTTGTTTGTATCCTCTTTTAATTCATTGAGCAGTGGTTTGTATTTCTCCTTGAAGAGGTCCTTCACATCCCTTGTAAGTTGGATTCCTAGGTAT
This sequence comes from Homo sapiens, assembly GCF_000001405.40. Classification (NCBI taxonomy): domain Eukaryota; kingdom Metazoa; phylum Chordata; class Mammalia; order Primates; family Hominidae; genus Homo; species Homo sapiens. The sequence continues at coordinate 113,930,988 of NC_000005.10, forward strand.
TTTATTCTCTTTGAAGCAACTGTGAATGGGAGTTCACTCATGATTTGGCTCTCTGTTTGTCTGTTATTGGTATATAAGAATGCTTGTGATTTTTGCACATTCATTTTGTATCCTGAGACTGCTGAAGTTGCTTATCAGCTTAAGGAGATTTTGGGCTGAGATGATGGGGTTTTCTAAATATACAATCATGTCATCTGCAAACAGGGACAATTTGACTTCCTCTTTTCCTAATTGAATACCCTTTATTTCCTTCTCCTGCCTGATTGCCCTGGCCAGAACTTCCAACACTATGTTGAAAAGGAGTGGTGAGAGAGGGCATCCCTGTCTTGTGCCAGTTTTCAAAGGGAATGCTTCCAGTTTTTGTCCATTCAGTATGATATTGGCTGTGGGTTTGTCATAGATAGCTCTTATTATTTTGAGATACATCCCATCAATACCTAGTTTATTGAGAGTTTTTAGCATGAAGGGTTGTTGAATTTTGTCAAAGGCCTTTTCTGCATCTATTGAGATAATCATGTGGTTTTTGTCTTTGGTTCTGTTTATATGCTGGATTACATTTATTGATTTTCGTATGTTGAATCAGCCTTGCATCCCAGAGATGAAGCCCACTTGGTCATGGTGGATAAGCTTTTTGATGTGTTGCTGGATTCGGTTTGCCAGTATTTTATTGAGGATTTTTGCATCAATGTTCATCAAGGATATTCGTCTAAAATTCTCTTTTTTTGTTGTGTCTCTGCCAGGCTTTGGTATCAGGATGATGCTGGCCTCATAAAATGCGTTAGGGAGGATTCCCTCTTTTTCTATTGATTGGAATAGTTTCGGAAGGAATGTTACCAGCTCCTCCTTGTACCTCTGGTAGAATTCGGCTATGAATCCATCTAGTCCTGGACTTTTTTTGGTTGGTAAGCTATTAATTATTGCCTCAGTTTTAGAGCCTGTTATTGGTCTATTCAGAGATTCAACTTCTTCCTGGTTTAGTCTTGGGAGTGTGTATATCTCAAGGAATTTGTCAATTTCTTCTAGATTTTCTAGTTTATTTGCGTAGAGGTGTTTATAGTATTCTCTGATGGTAGTTTGTATTTCTTCGGGATCGGTGATGATATCCCCTTTATCATTTTTTATTGCATCTATTTGATTCTTCTGTCTTCTTTATTAGTCTTGCTAGCAGTCTATCAATTTTGCTGATCTTTTCAAAAAACCAGCTCCTGGATTCATTGATTTTTTGAAGGGTTTTTTGTTTCTCTATTTCCTTCAGTTCTGCTCTGATGTTAGTTATATCTTCCCTTCTGCTAGCTTTTGAATGTGTTTGCTCTTGCTTCTTTAGTTCTTTTAATTGTGATGTTAGGGTGTCAATTTTAGATCTTTCCTGCTTTCTCTTGTGGGCATTTAGTGCTATAAATTTCCCTCTACACACTGCTTTGAATGTGTCCCAGAGATTCTGGTATGTTGTGTCTTTGTTCTCATTGGTTTCAAAGAACATCTTTATTTCTGCCTTCATTTCGTTATGTACCCAATAGTCATTCAGGAGCAGGTTGTTCAGTTTCCATGTAGTTGAGCGGTTTTGAGTGAGTTTCTTAATCCTGAGTTCTAGTTTGATTGCATTGTGGTCTGAGAGACAGTTTGTTATAATTTCTATTCTTTTACATTTGCTGAGGAGTGCTTTATTTCCAACTCTGTGGTCAATTTTGTAATAGGTGTACACTCACTAACTTTATAAATCATATTGCCTTAGACCTTGAATACTGATCATAAAATTAGTCAAAAATTGCCTAAACACTTCAATAAAATTACAAGTCCCAGAGGTCAATTTCTCTTAAATGTTTTTTCACTTTAGAATACATATAATTATGGAAATAATTATTGAGGGTACAACCAAACCTACTCTTACAACTATTTTAAAATATCAACACTAAGGCACTGTGGGTGACTGACTTCTTTATTATTTGTATATCTATTCTCATAGCTAACATTACTTACAGTTAACTTATGTCTGACCTTGAGGAAAGCAGTATACTCTATGAGAGCTGAAGTTGCATTTTCTAGGTTGATGCTTGGCGGGACACAGGACCTGGTCATTACAGTCATTATTTAATCAAAATTCATAGAGTGGAAACCAGGTGCTAGATATAGCACTAATAAAGCAACAAACTGTAATTGGATTTAAAACAAACTTATCTTACAAAGGTTTCTTCTATCAGCATAATAAATGTAATATATAAAATATATGCTAAATATATATATTTATATGAATTATAAGTAAAAAACTTAAATTTTAAATTATTAGCATACATTTTATAATTTATCTTTTTGTTGTGCAATGCAGTTTTAAATAGCCTTTAACTTGTATGTAGCATTACTAAAATTACACAGTTTGTATTTTGCAGCTCAAACATGCATCTGTATACAAATAATTCTGACATTTGGATGAGGTTTTACAGTTTATGGAGAAGTTTCATGTATATTGCCTTGTATAAAAGCTAAGATATTAGGTACTATCACCATTATATAGATGATCCAACAGGGACTCAGATAATATATCACATGCTTACTGAATCTATCAAGATTATCTTTTTTTTTTTTTTTTTTTGAGATGGAGTCTCTCTATGTTGCCCAGGCTGGAGTGCAGTGGCACAATCTCGGCTCACTACAAGCTCTGCCTCCTGGGTTCATGCCATTCTCCTGCCTCAGCCTCCCAAGTAGCTGGGACTACAGGCGCCCGTCACCACGCCCAGCTAATTTTTTGTATTTTTAGTGGAGACGTGGTTTCACCACGTTAGCCAGGATGGTCTCGATCTCCTGACCTCGTGATCCACCCGCCTCGGCCTCCCAAAGTGCTGGGATTATAGGCGTGAGCCACCGTGCCCAGCCCAAGATTATCTTAAGATAATCTTTTTTATTTGTCCTATATTTCTATCTATTAAATTATATTGCTATTATAAATACTTTGAAATCTATAAGACTGCAGTCAGTTTTCATATCATTCATCACTTAATCAAATGATCTTTTCCTATGTGGTATCAGAAGGCTTTGGACTTTCTCTGATAAGGAGCAGTAGTGTAGTTTGTAAGGGTGCTGTGCACCCCAGTTTACAGCTCTTCCCGCTCACTAACTATAAAACCTTAAGTCGCTTAACTTGGGGATAATAATAGCATATAACTTAGAGAGTTTTCATGAGGATTACCTGAGGTACTACAAGTCAAGGACCTAAATCAATGCTTGGCTATAGGATGTAATCAGTGGAGGAAACAAGCTATTGTAATTCTTCTTCTTTGGGGGGCTTATTTTGTTGCTTATTAGCACTTGTATGGCAGAAGAAAGATTAGGAAAAAGAAATAGATTCAGTATTTGTTAACTTTCTTACTTTTCAGAAGTTTGGCAAAAGATTTCATTTGAGGACTGATTAAAATAAAAGAATATGATAATTTTTCAACAGTTTAAAACTGCATTTTATTGGCTGAAACTCCAAAGGCCAGTCAGTTTCATACATCTCAAAGTTCCTCATTGTACCCCTAGTTCGTCTGGTAGCTAACTTATCTCTCAAAAGTAGAAGCATTACCTCCTTTGGACCCTGAGTGGTAGAAAGATTACAAAGGGTATGTTAGTGAAAATCTCTCATCCCTGGGAAAGAAGTCAGCCTTTGGGTCCCAGGTTTAGATTGAATGGTTAAGTTGTCTCTTTGTGATTTGGGGGATTTAGAAAGAAACACAAGCCAAAAAGACAAAATATTCCTGAACCTAGAGCCATAAATCCTAAAATCCACCCTGAGAGATAGATTATTGCCTCAAAGCCTTGACTTTTATAATGCCGATAACCTGGGGAGCTGTGCCACTTTTAAATGGCTAATTTACCCTATAGTGCAATTAGTTTCTGAGCTTCTTTGGAGTTTACAGTGGGGAATGAGTTTATAGTGGGTAAGGACCCATAATAGGAGATGGACAGTGGAAGGGGAGCAGAAGACAAATTTTTACCCTGAGGGAAGATAGTCAATGTGGGGGAATGCTCACAGGGCCAGGACTCAGCACAGCTGGGTTCTGCTCTCATGCTGCCACCAAATAGTTGAACAGATTTGGGAGGCTGAAGAGCCAAGTCTTTGAGGAGCTGCCCTGCTCTGATATTCTCTGATTCCCTGTCATCACTGTGTCTTTATATTTAGGCTGGTCATTGCTATCACTTGGTCTTTAAATGAAGAAGAGATAGATCTGTATAGAGCACCCCTGACATAAGTGACTCTGTCTTAGGAAAAGACTCCATCTTACATTTCAAAGGCATCAAGCCAGCAGAGTCCAGATGTTCACCTAATCAATAGAGAAAATACGTAACCAGGTAAGAGTGTAGCCCCTTACTATCTCTCCTTATCAGAGGATTCAAGGGCCATAAAGTGAACAGGTCTTCACCAGGTGGACGTGGCCATCTCCATAGAGACCATCTTACTGTCCCTCATGATTAGCACCTGGCATCTGCTGCCAAAGGCTCTGTCCAAATCAAGGACACTTCCTTGCAAGATGCTGATGACCTTCCAGCTTAGCCCGAGACTCTCTCCTTGTCCACATCACCCTCCTCGGACTGGTTTGTTAGCCCGTTTCCTCTTGATGTTAAATGTTACTTTGATATGGAATGTTTAAGCTAAATATTTATATGTTGCTTAGGTAAACTACTATATATGGTTTGCGGTATTGACTGACCTGTGGAGTGGCTTCAGCCTGTGTACCCACAGCTCTGACTGCAAATTGAATAGATAGTACAAAGGAGAATTGCCGTCTTGGGAACTCCATGTAGCTTTTGGCTATTATGATTGAAATAGCATAAGTAAAAGTCTGACCTTGTGGAAGGACACAAACGTGCACGGATCTAGTTTATGTCTGACCTTGTGCAGCTCACAACAAGATCTCAAGAGAATACCATTTCAAATTTTCCTAAATATTTAGGTAAGTTACTTTGACATACCTAGTTTCTATTGATCTTAAAGTATAATCCTAAATTATGGCTTTATATTTACAGGACGATCTCTGGGCTGATGTTGGCTAACCCACAATTTCTAGTTTTACACTACTTCAGATGATCTCCAGTTTTTTCAGAGTATGTGTCTCTCAAAAATTCTGAAAACAAATATGATAATATTCAGTTTGGTGTTTTAAAATTAGTGTTATGTTAGTGATAACTAACTCCAGTTTCAGATGGGTCTTCAACTTGTTTTCTTCAGTCTCTGAAGAGCAGATATTGGTTGTTCTTGGATGTTCTCTTTGGTCTCATAGCTGTTTGAGGGCATTTTAAGGATGTGCCATGATATTTAATAGATGAAGAACGGATCTAGGACTTGTGGGTGGGTGAGACATTGCTCCCTCTGAGTGGTAAGTTGCTGATGCACTAGTGCAGATGGGCACAAGTGCACAGTGGACAACCAATTGTCTTGAGGCCTGTGGGTGGTTCTAAGAAGGTGCTTGTGTGAAGGCTTTGTGGTTGAGTGCTCAGGATTGGATGGGACATGGCTTTTGGTGCTGCTCACCAGCACTTCCTAGACAGTGCCCACTGTTGTGCTCAATACCAGGCAGGGAGGAGTTGGTACAGATATAAGACCTTGTATTCATCAGGGTTCTCCAGAAAGACAGAATCAATTGGATGCGTGTGTGTGTGTGTGTGTGTGTGTGTATATGATGTATATTGATTCTGTCAGTTAGATTATATATATACACACACACACATATATACATATACACATTTATATATGTGAATGAGAGGGGATTACATATATATATATATATATATATATATGAATGAGAAGGGAATTTATATATATAATTTGAATGAGGGGGGATTACATATATGTATGAATGAGAGAGGATTTATTAAAAGAATTGGCTCACGCGATAAGGGAGTCTGAATTCTAAGTGCCACGACAGGCTATCTGCAAGCTTAAGAACCAGAGAAGCCAATAGCATAGCTCAGCCCAAGTCAGAAGTCTGGAGAACCAACGAACTCCATGAACTCCATGGTGTAACTCTCAGTTTAAGGCTGAAGGCCAAGAGCCCTGGGAGGCCACTAGTACAAATCCTGAAGTCCAAAGGCTGATGAAGAACATGGAGGTTTTATGTCCAAGGACAAGAGAAGGGCATCTCACTCCAGAAGAAAGAAGAGAGAGCTATAGACAGAGAAAGAGAAAGAGAGGGAATTTGCTTTTCTGCCTTTTTGTTCTATTGGGGCCCCCAGCTCATTGAATGGTGTTCACCCACATTGAAGGTGGATCTTCCTCACTCAGTTCACTGACTCACACACCAGTCTCCTCTAAAAACACCCTCACAGACACACAAAGAAACAATACTTCACCAGCCATCTAAGCATGCCTCTATGCAGTCAAGTTGACACCTAAAATTAACCATCACAGGTCTGACAACACCTTTGCTTGGCCTTATTTCCCTGTCTTCCCAGGATTCTCCCTTCCTTCCGCTCACACTAATACCCTCCCCCAAAGTCTTCTTTATTTTGTCTCTGAAAACCTTTTATCTTTTCTTTAGAGTAGACCTTCATGCTCCATTAAAACTAGAGCTGAGATCATTAGTAACCGAAAACCTATTCCCTTTCCCCCTTTCTTGGAGGCAGAAATGACAGAGCACTTATGTTTCAGGCTCTCTTTCCCTGGGTTCAGTGCTCCCAATAGGGAAGGAAAAAGTAAGTACTCATATTAAAGTGTTTGAAATTCAAAATTTTGTTACTCACTACCTTAAGGAGTCATAAAAGGTGGGGAGAACTAATGGTTGTTAAAATATTTTAAATGTTGAGAAGTATTGCTCAAAGATCTACTTTATTCTTTTTGTAGTTCTGATATTTCTCTATACAAGCTAGGAGTGATTTCTATCTCCTAAGAACTGTCAGAAGAAAAAAGAGGCTGCATTCCTCAACTATCCAAAATGTATTACCTATATTTAGTTCAATAAACATTTTTAAGCCACGCTAAAGCTAGACTGTGCTGGAGAAATGAAAAATTCAGAGGTAAATAGGACATATTTTTTTTGTCCTGAAGAAGCTTAGTCTAGAAGACAAATTAGATTCTAAAGATAGTTGCAGCATGAAGAATATGGAACACAGGTGGGAAACATTACATCTTTGTGAATGAGAAAGGACTCCATGAAAGGAGGTGGCATCTGAAAGATTGAAGCACACATAAGATTTTGATAACTGGAGATTTCTGTTTCTACTTAGGAGATGCTGTGATTGTCTCCTCTATATTCATCCCATACACCTTCTATTCGGGTGATAACAGTGGAGTTTGAAGGGGATTGATCCTATCCTTGATCTCTCAATATGCTCTTATTGGGCCAACTTAGTGTAACCCTGTTCCCTTTTTAATTAATTCAGGTAACCCAGACTAAAATCATTTTGCTGGACCACAGATATCAGTTGAATTTGCATAAATCTCAGACATTTTTTGGAATTTCAGGACATTTATCCTGCATTACCTTTAGATGCTAGTTACTCTAATGTACTGCTGTAAAGCAGGAAGATATAGATGCTACACCTAACTGGGAAGCAAGCCTAAGGACAAAGCTGATAGACAGTAGAAAGAAAGGCAGAAAAATGAACCTTAGTACTCATCTAATACACATATGAAACTTGAAATACTTTAACATCTTTTGGTTAAATAAGTAGATAAATTTACTTAACTATTTAGGCCCATTCAAACTGGGATTTCTGTACTTGGAACTAAAAATATTGTAAATGATACAAAACAGGGAAGAGGTTGGTATTTCATAGTTTAGGTTCAAGAAACATTATAATAAACAAAGGCTAGGAGATGAGTTGTATCACAATTTGGCAGTACCAGGGTCAGGAATGGCAGACTAAATTTGAGAATTAGAATTATACAACTGAATAGAAATGTAAAGATCATTCATTTAGCACCTTCCTTTGTCATATGAGGAAAGGGAGGGTCAGAGATCCTGAATGACTTTTCTTGTGTAGGCAAGGTTGATCATAGAAGTCACCAATCTGTTTCCTGGACCCCATCTGCCTCCTCACTTGTTTATCATCAGTGTGCCCACATCCAGACCAGTCTGTCTGGTAGACTGGTAGCTCCTCCTCAATCTCCCACATTCTTTTTCATACTCAATTAGGACAGAGCTCATCATTTTTGCCCAAACATTTGCCCCTCCTTCTATGTTCTTCTTCAGTTGCTTAAGATAGAAATGTGCTTTTTTTCTTCTCGTCTAAACATTCTTCTTGTGTGATCCAGGCACATATCTTCCACTAACACCTATATCCTCATAACTACCAAATATACAGTCTGAAACCCATGATTTTAGAAGCTTGTGTACAACTTCCATTTTTCACTGGAAGGCCCCAGAAATGTATAGAACTGAACATATTCTAAATGCATTAACTACCTCCCCATTTGTAAAGAGCAATTATAGCAGACAAGTGGATCCACTTGACAGATATCTGGGATTCATTCTTAGTACCTTTTCTTTCTTAACTAACCTCTCCATTCCCATTATCCTGTTGATCAAAACAATCGCCTTTAAATTTTTAGAATCCGTTCCTTTTTCCCCACCCACAGACTTTGCCTTTATTCGGATCATAAACATTTTTTCCCTAAATTAGAAATAGAAGCAGTTGGTCACCTTGCTTCCAGTCTTGTGTTGCTTACAGTCTGTCCCTTCCACAACCATCAGAGATTTTCCTAAAGGGATATTTTAGGTAACACTGTAGTGGCTCTGGATACTGATTTTCTCTTCCCATAAGGGTGTTGTTTGCTTGGTCATTTGTTTATTTGTTTATGACTTGGCTGAAGTCTATTTCCCCTACAGTGCTTGCCCTCTAATGTTCCCGATCAGATTTTTTTCCCCTTGTTTTTATCTTTTGTCTTTTAATTTAATTTAATTTAATTTAGTTTAATTTTATTTTATTTTATTTTATTTATTTTTATCTTTTATTGTACCCAGGGCCCAGCATGAGCCTTTTATTTGTCAAAGGTTGTGTGTAAGTCCCTTTGACTAGGTGAGTTTTTAACCTTTCCTGGTGTGTGTGTCTTGCTGGTATACAATTCAGGGGATTTATGTTGGTTTTGTTTGTTTGTTTTGCACCCGTGGCTAGCCTGGAGATAGTAGCTTGGAGATTCCCCTTCTGATTGCCTTGAGAGGGCACAACTTGGAAATGCACACAGTCTTCCAGACCTGCCAAGAATGACTGTGCTGTTATTTTTAAGCCTGGCTTCCTAAGAGTTGCCCCAGGCAAGGTAACTTATTGTTTGATCACTATTTAGTCAGAAGTTGTGCATAAGCTCCTTATGCCAAAGAGAATTCCACCCAGTGTTGGTGGGTCTATGTGTGGCTTGGGATGTCTTTCCGGTCTGTCCCACCTGCCGTGACTCCTCTTGAGTAGGAGCAGCCCAGCACATATGCACTGCCTTTCTGACACCAAGAGTTAGCACCCAGCAGTGCTCTCCTGGCTTTCTCTTCATCCAGCTCTCTCCATTAAACTGGCCACTCTGCCATTTTGTTTGTATCCTGGAGCTACCATAATTGCTCTTCACCAAGTTCTCCATTGCTTCTGACAGTGCCTTTAGGCATGGAGCTTTCCACTTTTTGTTATGAATAAGTCAGCCAAGTCAGGCAGAGCTGCAGAGGTTTTTATTCTTAGGGCATTCCTTTCCCCCTGGGAGCAGAGTTCTGCCTTCCCAGAGTGACACTCTGCTCTTTGACTGGGTACTGGGAAGGAGGGTAGCCCCTGCTCTTCACAGCTTGCACCACCCCCACATGGAAGCTCTGTTTTACAGATGAATGCGAGTGTGGGTGATGGGGCCCAGCATTCTCTGTGTGTCATGACTGGACTAGAGCATCTGTCCTACAAGCTGGGGCTGGATGAGGGAGGAGATACCCCATCCTGTTGGACTGGAATAAAACTACAACACGGGGATCACGGTGAAGAAAAACACTAGCAGCCTTCTCCTTCCAGGCTAAAATCATGGCCACAGACTACTGGGAGCTGAGGGAAAGAACTCTGTCCCCACCCCTGTTTCCCCCATCTTCTTGGCTACATAAACAAGGAGAAGCTCTTTTAGAACATGGAACTGCTTGTGAGTGGAAATGAAGTGAGTCTTGGCTCAAATGTCACAGACTCACTGTTCTTACTGAGATAAAGTAGATTTTCTTGTATGAATGTTTCTGCATTTACCGTATGCCCTTAGGACATTTTCTAGAACCTCTAAAAGATTGAACTATATATATTTTTCAACAGTTAAACTGTCTTGCTGAGAATGAGCCCCCTCATCTTTGTACTTTATCATTCTGGATGTCCCATTCTTCATTTTTTAATATCCCCAGAGTCCTCAAAAAATGAAAGTAATCCAAGTATCTCTCAACTTCTGAGAGGCCCTGGTTGGCATTCTATAGGCACTCAATCCTTCCTCAAATTAATGAACAAGTAAATGGATGGAACTGATGGATTGTGTAAGAAGGATTGAAGGACAGTGAACAACTTTAGGAAGATGTTGCCACAGTTGAGTATATTGTGGTCTCTTCTTATGCTCATTTCTCCTCCTCCCTATTTTTAACCAGAGAATTTAGAAATTCAGGCAATTTAGGAATATTGAGTTTTCATAATCATATCTAGTGATCATAATCTCTGATCACTAGAAAGAGAGGTTCCTCTTCCCAAGGGGCAAGGGTTAGAAGGATGGGAATTGTACTGGTACCTCTGCCTCCCAACTCTTACCTCAGTTCATTGTTCACACGTCTGTCTCCCTAAGCTTTTTGTGTGCGGCAGCAATGACATTATCCGTGTATTCACAGCATTCCACCCTGTGTTCCCCAGAAAGCAACAGAGTTGGAACCATCAATGTAACGAAAGCAAGCCAAAACGCCCTCCTATTCGGGGCCTGTTCTGGGGTGGTGGGAGGGGGGAGGGATAGCATTAGGAGATATACCTAATGTTAAATGATGAGTTAATAGGTGCATCACACCAACATGGCACATATATATATGTAACAAACCTGCACATTGTGCACGTGTACCCTAAAACTTAAAGTATAATTTAAAAAAAAAAGAAAAAAAAAGTGACCCCAAAACACCCTCCTAAATCTGAAAACTACAATTCTTTGGGGGAGCTTAGTGCCTTTGTGGTGATATATTAACTCTGCCCTGGCAGAGATGAAGGGAAGGATGGATGTCAAAAGGGGCCCATTGAAGTTTACAAAAACGCCCTTTCAGAAAAATATATGGCTGGTCTGTACCTCTATTTAATATGGCTTGTCCCATGTCATGAGTATCCTTGATTGATGCAATGGGGAAAATGTGTGATTTACGAATCATTTCCACTAACAAGAACCGCCAAATTATCCTATGGCAGTCTGTTATAAGGCATAGCGAACCATTCATTTCCTCTTGATACCAGTCTTTGAAGTCGAGGGACATCCACATAGGATAAAATTAGACTGAAGTTACTGCTGAAAAACATTCAATACTTTTATCACTCCCACCCTGTCCCCTGCTAATTGCTTGCCATTGTTGCTTATGAATATTGGAGATTAAGAGTAAGTGGACAAGAGCCACATGTGTAAGTTACCTTTTATTTTTAGAATTAAAATGTTCCTTTTTCAGGACTGGGATATTTCACACTCTGTTATTTATTTCAGTTATTTACCTGGAAACCTGAGCCTGTTAGTTGCCCCTTTATATCTGTTCTCCCTCTTTTTCTTAGTACTGGCATTTCAGCTGGCTGTATGGCCACCTAGGGTTAAGACAATATTTCTTAGCCTCCTTGCACTAGGTAAGGCCATATGACTCAGTTTGGGCTAATGAGATGTAGGTAAAAGTATCACGTGTGACTTCTGGGAAATGTCCTGAAAGAGAGAAGCAGGCTCATCTATGTTCTTTTCTCTTTCCTGCTGCTGGAATGCCTTTTTTTTTTTTTTTTTTTTTTTTTTTTTAGGTGGAGTCTTGCTCTGTCGCCCAGGCTGGAGTGCAGTGGCGCAATCTCGGCTCACTGCAAGCTCTGCCTCCTGGGTGCACGCCATTCTCCTGCCTCAGCCTCCCAAGTAGCTGGGACTACAGGGGCCCATCACTATGCCCGGCTAATTTTTGTATTTTTAGCAGAGATGGGGTTTCACCGCATTAGCCAAGATGGTCTTGATCTCCTGACCTTGTGATCCGCCCACCTCTGCCTTCCAAAGTGCTAGGATTACAGGCGTGAGCCACTGCGCCCAGCTGGAATGACTTTATGATGGCTGGTTCTTAAAAAGTTACCTTAACACATGGTGGAATAAAAGTTATAGAATCCTTGGTCCCTGACAACTTTGTGGAACTGCTATAGAGCCCTGTGCTGCCCACCTCTGGGCATTTTAAATTTGGGAATAAAATTATGTTTTTAAACCAATATTGAATGCCCTTTACTTTTTATGCAGCAAGGGTCTAACACTAAGTGAATCTAATCTATACATCACCAAATCAATTTTCAGTTAGAAAGTGATAAGCTTAGTGTTAAGCTATGTTTGAAAAAGTACTATGCCTTTCTCTGATGAGTGTGGATAATCAATACTCACAACGACATACTTCCTTTTTAAAAAAAATTTCAGGTACAATTGAGATACAATTTATAACTGTACATACTTACATTATAAAATTTGTTAAAGTTTGACTTATGTAAACACCTGTGAAACCATAATCTCAATTAAGATAATAAATATATCCACCACACCCAAAGTTTCCTCCTGTTTCTTTGTAATATCTTCCTTCTGCCTCTTTCTGCTTCCTTGTTTCCATTCATACCCCACAACTCCAGGCAGGCAGTGATCTGCTTTCTGTCACTATAGATTATTGCTGAGTTATTTTTATTGCTGAGTAGTATTACACTGTAATAAGATATCACAATTTGTTCATTAAGTTGCTGATATAGGTTGTTTTCAGTTTTGGGGGTATTACAAGTAACGCTGATATGAACACTTAAGTACAAGTGTTTGTGAAAGCATCTGACTTTACTGCTCTTCAGTAAATAACCAGGAGTGGAATTATCTGGCCATTTGGTAGGTATATGCTTAACATTTTAACAGGAAGGGTGACACAAACAAAATGGCAGAGTAAGAGTATTCAACCCTCATCTTCTTATAGAAACATTGATTGTAAAAACCACTCACAGATGAGAGTAACTTTTTGTGAGTCTGAGAGTCCAGTGAAGAAAATCCAGCACCTCTTTGAAGCAAAAACCCAAGAATAAATGCATTGAAGAAGGTTAGAAGAACAGTTTCACATTACCTGTATCACACTTCCCCCAACCTGGCACAGCTCATTGCCAAGAGAGACCCCTCAAGCCTGCAATTTCTTCTATGGAGGAGAGTGAAAGCACAGTGAATGCTGGATTTCTATGACCATGAGGGACACTGCCCAAGAGGCATCTTTCTCACCTCATCCTGAACATGGAGGAATTTGGCTTGGTTAAATAGTCTGGAGGCAGCTAGGAGCAGGGAAAATGGGGGTTTTCATAGCAACTGGGGCGAGAAACTCAACAAAGAGCCGTGGTTTCTAGTAACTACCTCATGAACACTACCAAGAGGCAAGCTCTCTAACTTCACAGGACACATCATCTGTAGACACTTTCAACTAGCTCACATGTTCCCTCAGCACTCCATGTGCCCGCACCCCCACCTTGCCCTCACTGTGACTGGGGCCCTACATCCATTCCTACAGATGATGTGTGCAGACTTCTGCAGATCATGCACAGGCACATGCTGACAGCTGGCTCAACTCTGCTAGTTTGAGAGAAAGCCCTTAACCTTAATGACTTCAAGGGACTTCTCTGGGGAAAATAAATGGGGGACCATTAGTGCCCAGCCTGGCATTTCAAGATCAAGAGAAGGCATACAATACTAAGATTCCCCTTTCCCCAACTAAGAAGCAATAAAAGAAATGGAGCGGGTGCATCCATAGATAAGGTCTGTGAGATTCCCAGAATTCCTAATCAGTCAGACTGGTGTTTCACTCCCAAAGCCAGCCAGTAAAGACTGGAGGTGATCGTTTCTTCAAAAGTGAAGATAGTAGTGCAAGAATTCAAAGAACATGAAAAATCAAAGATATATGACACCTTTATCAAAGGAACACAAGTTTTTAGTAACCAACCCCAAAGAAATGGAGACCTACAAATATCCTGAAAAAATTTCAACACAGTTGTTTTAAGTTAGTTTACTGAGCTACAAGGAAACATGGGCAGACAAATAAATAAAATTAGGAAAACAATAACTGAGCCAGACAAGAATTCAACAAAGAAGTAGAAGTCATAAAGAAGAACCAAATAAAAATTTTGGAGTTAAAGAATACAATGAATAAAATGCAAACTTCAGTAGATCTTCAACGGCAGACTTGACCAAACAGAAGAATCTCTGAACTGGATGACAGGTTATTTGAAAGTATCTAGTCAGATGAGAAGAAAGAAAAAAGAATTAAAAAGAATGAAGAAAACTACTATGGTTTTACTGCAGCCGCCAAAAATCATGTGTTGGAAACTTAATCCCTAATACAAAAATGTTGGGAGATGGGACCTAAGGAGAGGTATTTACTTCATGAGGTCATTAGATTCACCCTCATGAATAGATTAGTGCTGATAATAAAAAATATTGAGGCTGTAAATTAAGTATTTCACTCTCTCTTGCTCATGTGATGCCTTTTACTATGTTATGACACAGCAAGAAGGCCCTCACAAGATGTAGCCCCTCAATCTTGGACTTCCCAGCCTCCAGTACTGTGAGCCAAATAAACTTCTGTTCATTATAAATTATCCAGTCTCAGGAATTATGTTATAGCAATGCAAAATGAACAAAGACAAAATCCTATGAGATTCATAGGAAATCATCAAGCAAAATTATATATGTATATGAGAATCCTAGAAGAAGAAGGAAGGAAGGGACACAAAGCTTATTTAAAAAAAAAATGGCTGAAAACTTCCCAAATCCTGGGAAAGATATGAGCATCTAGGTTCATGAAGTTCAAAGGTCCTGAAGCAGAATCTACCCAAAAAGATTACACAGAGACATATTATATCAAACTACCAAAAGTCAAAGAAAAATCATTTTGAAAGCAGCAAGAAAAAAGCAACTTGTCATATAAGAAATGCCTACAAGGCTATCAGTAGATTTTTCAGCAGAAAGCAGGCCGGAAGAGAGTGGGATGGTATATAGGAAGTGCAGAAAGGAAAAAGACATCCATCCAAAAATACTGTACCTGGAAAAGCTGTCCATCAGAAATGAAGGAGAGATAAACACTTCTCCATACAAACAGAAACTGAGGGAATTCATCACCACTAGACCTGCCTTACAAAATATTGTTGTTTAAGTTCAAATAAAAGAATGCTAATTAGTAACATAAAAGCAAATGAAAGTATAAAATGCACTGGTAAAGTAAATATGTATCAGGTTGAGGAAATTCCCTGCTCTGCTAGTTGGTTGAAAATTTTTAATCAGAAATGCATATTGGATTTTGTCACATTCTTTTTTTTTTTTTTTTTTTTTTGAGACAGATTTTCGCTCTGCTGCCCAGGCTAGAATGCAGTGGCGCGATCTCGACTCACTGCAAGCTCCGCCTCCCGGGTTCATGCCATTCTCCCGCCTCAGCCTTCCGAGTAGCTGAGACTACAGGCGCCCGCTGAGCGGGACTACAGCCGAGCGTGGGCTCGGCTAATTTTTTGTAGTTTTTAGTAAAGGTGGGGTTTCACCGTGTTAGTCAGGATGTTCTCGATCTCCTGACCTCGTGATCCGCCCACCTCGGCCTCCCAAAGTGCTGGGATTACAGGCGTGAGCCACCGCACCCGGCCAGATTTTGTCACATTCTGTATCTGCCTCTATGAGATGATCATTTGGCCTTTCTCCTTTGGCTTCTCAATTTGGTGAAATGTGTTATTTCTAAATGTTAAACCAACTTTGCATTGCTGGGACAAAATTCACCTTACCATGTTATATTATCCTTCTTACTAGTGAATTCAATTTGCTAAAATTTAATAAGAAATTTTGTTTTTTCTTTCATGAGCAATATTGGTTTATAATTTTCTTGTTTTGTAATGCCTTTAAGTATCAGAATAATTTTTGCTTTACAGCATGAGTAAGAATATATTCCCTTTTCTTTAGTATTCTGGAATCATTTGTAGAATCATTGCTATTTCTTTGTTAAGTATTTAATAGAATTTGCCAGTGATGCCATCTAAATGTGAAGATTTTTGTGTGGTGGAAAAGATTTTAAATAAAAATTCAACTTCTTTGATAAGATATAGAGCTATTGAAATTATCTATTTCTTTTTGGGTGAGCTTTGATATTTTGGGTCTTTCAAGAAATGTATGCATTTCATTTAAATAGTTAAATTCATTGGCATAAAATAATTAACATATTCTTATTATTTTCATGTCAGTAAAATCATAGTGATGTCGCATGTCTTATTTCTGATATTGATAATTTCTATTTTCTTCCATTTGTTTCATTTATTTTCTCAGTTGTTTTCTGTTTTTTGTTCATTGATTTCTACTCTAATCTTTATTATTTCTTTTCTTCTGCTTATTTTGTGTTTAATTTTCTCCTCTTTTTCTAATTTCTTAAGGTAGAAGCTGTGGTAATTTATTTGGTAATTCTCTTTTTTCTAATATAGATGTTTAGTGATATAAATTTTAGTACTGCTTTTGTGACATTCATTATTTTTGAAATGTGTTATTTTCATTTTGTTCAAAGCAACTAATAACTTCTTTTTTGATTTTATCTTTAACTCATAGATTATTTAGAAATGTGTTAGTTAATTTCTAATTATTTAGGGATTTCCCAAATACCTTTCTGTTGTTGATTTGTAACTTAATTCCACTGTGGTTCAAGAACTTACTGTGTATAATTTTAATCCTTTTAACTATATTGAGGATTGTTTTATTGCCCAGAATATAGTCTGTTTTTTGAAACTGTTCCATGTGCACTTGAAAAGACAGTATATTTTGATGTTTTGGGTGTTGTGTTCCATAAATGTCAGTTAGATCTAGTTGGCCAATAGTGTTGCTCAAACTTTCTATATCTTTACTAATTTTCTGTCTATTCGTTAGATCAATTATTGCAAAATGAATGTTGAAACCTGTAACTGTAATTTTGGTTTAATGTGTTTCTCTTTGTAGTTTTATACACTTTCCTTCATGCATTTTCCAGCATGAATATATAGGTGCATGAATATATAGGATTATTATACCTTTTTAATGTATTAACCCTTTTGCTATTACGAAATGAGCCTCTTTTTTCCTGGTAATTTTTTTTCTTGAAGCCTATTTTGCCTGATATTAATATAGACTTTATTATTTTGATGAGTGTTAGCATGATATATCATTTTTCTTGCTTTCATTTTTAACAAATTAGTGTCTTTTTTTTTTTTTTTTCTGGCAGAGTCTCCCTCTGTCGCCCAGGCTGGAGTGCAGTGGTGCGACCTCGGCTCACTGTAACCTCTGCCTCCCAGGTTCACGCCATTCTTCTGCCTCAGCCTCCCGAGTAGCTGGGACTACAGGCGCCCATCACCACGCCTGGCTAATTTTTTGTATTTTTAGTACAGACAGGGTTTCACCATGTTAGCCAGGATGATCTCGATCTCCTGACCTTGTGATCTGCCTGCCTCAGCCTCCCAAAGTGCTGAGATTACAGGCGTGAGCCACTGTGCCTGGCCAACAAATTAATGTCTTGTTCATTCTTCCAGCTTCATAAACATATGCAATATAATTACTGTTTCATTATTCTTATCTATTAAGGTTATCATTCTATAATTTCTAAATCAGCTTTGTTTCACTCCTTATTATAAGTTATATTTTCCTGCCTCTTTGCATGCATCATAATTTTTAAGTGGATGCCATACATTCTGAATCTTACTTTGTTAGGTGTTTGATACTTCTTATATTCTTATAAATACCATTGAACTTTGCTCTGTGATGCAGTTTGTTTAGGTGGAAACAGTTTGATCATTTTAGGTATTGCATTAAAACTTTGTTAGGTAGTATAAAAGCCACATTTAGTTTAGGGCAAATTTTACCCTGCTGCTAAGGCAAAACCCTTATGGGGTTATTCTACCTAATGACCCATGTATTAAGAGATTTTTCACTCTGGCTGATAGGAGCGGGAATTGTATATGTTCCCATTTCAGCTGCAGGGATTATTTCTACTCATTCTTCTAGGTGCTTTCTTTTCTGAACTTGGGTTGGTTCCTTACACAGTGCTTATCTGATCAGTGCTTAACTGAATACTCAAGAAAGACTGCAAATTTCTGGAGTCATCTGGCTATGCAGCTCTCTCCTCTCTGGTACTCTCCCCTGCAAGTTTGAACCAACTTGTCTCCTTGAACTCCTAACTTCATGTGAACTCAGGGAGACTACTAGGCTCTGCCTCCTCTCTCTCAGCAGGGTCCTTTAGGAAGAAAATGTTGAGACAGAGCTAGGATTACAAGAGACTTATTAGTAGATATAAACTGTGAAAGATAATAATGGAGAAACAGGAGAATTATAGTAAAGGTTTCAGACTGCATGAAGATATGACATCTAAAAAGGAAAGTGGAGTGGAAGCAGGATTGGGCAGTGAGAGCTTTAAACCACAAGACAGGTCTAATAAGGTTTCAACCATTCAGTCATGATCTGTAAAGCAAAGACTGCCTGTTAGAGGAGTCTCACACTTGAAGAAGTGGCCAGACCCGTTCTTTCTTTGTCTGGGTGCTACTTGGGAAGAACATGGTCTGGCTGAAAAGTTGAAGTGGAACCTGAAGATACTTAGAACTGTAAACTTTGGAGATAAATAAGCAAATTATTTTTCTAAGGGAGATCAAAACAGCATACCTCCACAACCACCATAGTTGCATTTTATTGAAGTAATTTTAGCTTCTCTTGGTGGAAAATGATCATTAAAACTAAATATCTACTTTGTTGTGTCATACCACACATTCTGTATTGATTAAACCAACAATTATCCAATAAGAATATATTGGGTGCTTGCTACATCCTTAACACTGTTCTAGGCAGTGGGAATATAGTGTTGAATATACATTGTACCTCCTCTCATGGAGCTTACATTCCACTGGGAATGTACTCAGTTGAGCCATGAAGTTTTGGCTTTAGGTATTATTCACCTAGCAAGGCATACATACTAAGCTTGAGCTTTCTGGGGACTTAAACCTACTCAGCAGAAGAGGTCTCTAGGCAGACTCCTAGGGAGTGTTAACAGCAAGCACACACTACTTCTTCCTCCCTCATTCTGCTGCTCCCAGCCTCAACTGAAGAGCTGCCTCTGAAAAAATGTTTAAGCTCACCCAAAACCGGGGCTTACCTTCCTGGATAGTGAAGGAAAGCATTCTGGCATTTACTAATGTAAGCTTGGCTTCCTCTGAGAATCTGTACTTCTGGTCTTGGAACAAAGCCTAGGTCCTGTTCCACAGGCTGTGACCTGGCTTCATAACAGGGTTCAAATGCCAGTATGTTCAGAGCTCAACTTGGGCTGAGGCTGCTCACATTCCCTGATAGGTATTCATTTTGTAATGTCAAGCTGCCAATGCTTTTAATTCCATTCCAAAAGGTAAAAATTTATCAATTTTATTTCCCTGGCCCAATTACACACAAAATCTGCGATTTAACAGAACTGTTCTCATTTGTTTAAAAAAGGAATACTGTGGGACTAACGAGGAATTGTAGGCAAGAAAAACTTATTAAAATGTGTAGCATGAATAAGTGCTTTGTAATTCAATATTGCTTTTAGTTTTCCAATTCATTTGCTATAAAGTAAGGTGTAAATAGAACTGGCCATTTGAGAGGACATAGTTCTTTAAGAATTGGAATCTATTTTTGAAAGCTAAACATGTAAGTCATTATGATAAAAATCAGCTTTTGAGGGACAGAATATTTTGAGATTAATTTCCACCGATAATAGCCAATCAAGTCTAACAGGTTTGTTCCTCTCTTCATGCTTTAAAACTTTTCTCTCTCACTCAGCCACTAACCTAGCTGGAAAGAGATGTCAGTGAATGATCAAAGCTGTACTAATGCAATTTTCTACCAACATTTAGTTTCATATCATTTAGGGGCAGAGGGAATATGGTTTTACAACATATGGGAGCTACAGATAATCTGGGCTCTGTGGAGACGCAGTGCTCTAAGATCCTGATCTTTGGCAGAATCGGGAATTGATGAGGGCCTGGGATATTCAGCTGGAAAGACCTCCACCCTGATCAGGTTATTCGCCTTCCACTCCTCCTCAAGCCCCAAGCAACAATGCAAACATTGATTGGCTTCTTTTGTACACAGGTTTTGGGCAATGCTGCCGAGTTGCAGTTTGGTATATAGAAGAAGACTGAGCCCCCCTGAATCTCAAACCTATGAAGAAATTTCAGTCACCATTCAAATTGCTGAGACAGAGGAATATATTTTCTGTCATCCAGACCTCTCTTTGTAGTTTGACATGATGTGTATTATTTTAGTGTATTTATTTATGAGGAAAACAGATTTCAGGGTTTTTAATAGGTCTTCAGCAGGAAGACAGCCTTTTATTATATCAATACAATAAAATGTAGCAAATTTTGGCAGCTCTATGAATGCCATTAGCCAGAGCACATGATAGAGAAATCCCGTGTGGTGTGGATGGGGTGGGGTGAGCGTGGAAGGTTTTACTGAAGATGAGATATTTTAAATAAGAGTTAGGCCATTGTTGGTGGGTGGTGAGAGAGTTTCAGGTAGAGGGAACACTCTGCTATGTTAAGTGATAGAAAGCATGATGTTTTTGAGGAGCTAAAAAACAACACGGCTGTGAATGAAGAGAATAGTGCAAGGTGAAGAAGCAAGGCAAAGCCAGAGAGGTAGGAAGCAGATCATACAGGATTTTTCAATCCAGATTAAGATTTTGGCTTGAATCTTTTCTTCCTCCCCATCCACCCCCACCCTTTGCAAAATATTTTCTTTAAATGATTCACCACTCTGAGCACTTGATATTTATTAAGTTATTTATTTCCCACAACAATCTAATGAGATAGATATTATTATCTGTCCCATTTTACAGTTAAGAAAACAGGTCAGGAAGGTTGAATAACTTATTCGGAGTCACATGGCTACTGAGCGGTGGAGGTGGGCTTTCAGTTTAGGTAGTATGCTTCCAAGAACAACAGGATGCAGTAAAGGATTTTAAGTAGAGGAGAGATGCCATCAGTTCCATTCTTAAAGAGATTTCTCTAGCCAAAATGTGGAGAAGGGATCTGGTAAGAGTAGGTGGACCAGTCAGGTGTGTATTGTAGTATTCTAGATAAGAGATGATGGTGCCAAGAGTGTGGATGTGACAGAGGATATGGAGAGATGAGTAATTAAGAGATTTTTTTTTTTTTTTTTGAGACAGAGTCTCGCTCTGTCGCCTAGGCTGGAGTGCAGTGGCGCGACCTCAGCTCACTGCAAGCTCCGCCTCTCGGGTTCTCACCATTCTCCTGCCTCAGCCTCCCAACTAGCTGGGACTACAGGCGCCTGCCACCACACCTGACTAATTTTTTTTGCATTTTTAGTAGAGACGGGGTTTCACCATGTTAGCCAGGATGCTCTCGATCTCCTGACCTCGTGATCCACCTGCCTCGGCCTCCCAAAGTGCCGGGATTACAGGCGTAATCCTCCTGTAGATAATATAGATATTAACTAAAGCCATTGAAGGAAATGAAGTTACTTAAAGAGAGTGTAGACTGAGAAGAGAAAAAGGTCAAGGACACAAGAATTGAGTGGAAAAGAAAAACAAAATCTATTTATACATTGGATAAATCCATAGGGTTGCCTTTTATACCACAATCTATTTTCTGAATTATGAAATACTGACTGCGATTTGTGAGAACCAGATTTATAATGAGAATTTAAATCTTGGATGCATGGCACCTTAAAAAGCAAATAGGTCCCAATGGTCCTTGCTGCGGTCATGCAACTGAATGCCTTGCATGTTGGTCTTATCTATGATGTTTCTTGTCGTTGCAGAATAAGGATTAATTGTATTCACTATTCTGGAGTAGCTATGGCTGATAAAGATTAATGATTAATGCCCCATATCACAAAGGACAGATTTTTTATTTGTTTGTTTTCCTTTCTCTTACATCAAAGGCTCCCTATTCTCTGGAAAATGTCTTCCATTCAAAATGTGAAATTTTGTATGTTGTGAAATACTGTATTTACTACATTTTAAAAAGTTTACTGTGTAAATATGGGCAAAATGCTTATTGTGTGCACACATGTAAATGTGTAGGAGGTTTGGGAAGCAGATGACAACAGATGGGGACATGCCCTGGCATATTAATCAGCACCATTCTGTACGGGCACTCACAGAGACTCGATAAATACTTTCAGATTTGATTAATAGATCGGAAGATATGATTCTTGTGTGTTCTACAATCACATTCACCATCCGTTCATTACTTCATTGGCCACCATTCATTGCTCCATTTAGTAAAAAATCTACCATGTTATAGACATTTCTCTTTTGAGTTTGACCAATGATCAAATATGATGTATGTATGACACACTTAAGCAGAAATAAATCTTGAATATGTTTAAATATACACTCACTTGTGTTGCTAAAATGATAAAGATTAACAGTTGGTAAAGCTATGGTACAAATACTTTTAAAAATTGTCAATATCTACTAAAGTTATATGCATTCCTTATGATGTATCTTTTCTGTTAGGTGTCAAAGGAAATGCATGCATATGTTCATCAGAATGTGTTCATATTAGCACTATTCATTGTAGCCATTGAAATGGAAAACTACCCCAATGGCTATCAATACTTGAAAGGATAAATGAAATATGACAATGAGAATGAACAACCTACACATATATAGACAATTATTTTTTGACAAAGATACTGCAAGATATTTCAATGAGGAAAGAACTGTCTTTTCAACAAATAGAGACATATCAACTAGATATTAGAAATTGGGTACTGGAAAATAATCTTATACAATTCCCCCAAAATAATTTGAGACTGATCATAGACCTAAACATAGAAACCAAAACCACAAAGCTACTAGAAGAAAAGAATAGGAAGATATGTTCATGCCCTTAGGAAAATTTTTCTTACCTAAGACGTGAAAGCACTAACCATAAAATAAATGGTAAATTGGATTTAAAACTATAGTCTTCTATCAAAAAATACTATGAAGAAAATTAAAAAATGAGTCAGACTGGGAGAAAATGTTCTCTCTACATATCGACAGAGGATTTAGATTCCTAAAATATAAAAACTCCTACAAATTAGAAATTTTAAATGCAAATAACCTAATTAAAAATGGGCAAGAGACTTCAACATTTTACAAAAGAAAACAAGTTCGTGAAAACGTACCCAACATTAATAATCATATTGGAAATGCACATTAAAACTACAGTGGGGTGCCACTTCACACCCGTTAGAATGGATACAGATAAAAAGACTGCTAACACAAAGTGCGGGAGGAAGTGAAACAATAAGAACTCTCATGCATTGTTGGCGGGAGTGCAAAATATACAACCACTTTGGAATACAGTTTGGCCATTTCTAATAAAAATTAAAAGTGCATTTCACTTCTTTCTATTTTTTGTAGAATTGGTCAGGGTCTCCACAATTATGCTAGACTGAAGTAATGATTATCATCCTTCTTGCCATGTTCTGGATCTTAAAGGGAAGCATCCAGAACTAATCCATTAAGTATAATTTTGATTGCATGTTTTTTGGATACAACATTTATCAATTTATTATATTTTTCCAGCTAAACATTTATTTATTACTTTTTGTTAAAACTTTTATTTTAGGTTCAGGGGTACATATGCAATTTTGTTATATAGGTAAACTCGTTTCACAGGGTTTTGATGTACAGATTATTTTGTCACCCATGTACTAAGCCTAGTACCCAACAGTTATTTTTTTAATCCTCTCCTTCTTCTCAACCTTCACCCTCAAGTAGGCCCCAGTATCTGTTGTTCCCCTTTTGTGTCTATGACTTCTCATTATTTAGCTCTCATTTATAAGTGAGAACATGTGGTATTTGGTTTTCTGCTTCTGTGTTAGTTTGCTAAGGTTAATGGCCTCCAGTTCCATTCATGTTCCCACAAAAGACATGATCTTGTTCTTTTTTATGGCTGTATAGTATTTCATGGTATATATGTACCACATTTTCTTTATCCAATCTGTCATTGATGAGCATTTAGGTTGATTCTATGTCTTAGCTATTGTGAATAGTGCTGCAATGAACACATGCATGCATGTATCTTTGTAATAGGATGATTTATATTCCTTTGGGTATATACCCAATAATGAGATTGCTGGGTCAAATGGTATTTCTGCCTCTAAGTCTTTGAGGAATTGTCACAATGTCTTCTACAACGTTTGAACTAATTTACATACCTACCAATAGTGTAAAAGTGTTCCTTCTTCTCTGTAACCTCACCAGTATCTGTTTTTTTTTTTTTTTTTTTTTTTGATTCTTTCATAATAGCCATTCTGGCTAGTGTGAGATGTTATCTCACTATGGTTTTGATTTGCATTTCTCTGATTATCAGTGATACTGAGCTATTCTTCATATGTTTGCTGGCCACATATAAGTCTTCTTTTGAAAAGTTTCTCTTCACGTCCTTTGCCCACTTTCTAATGGGGTTGTTTATCTTTTATTGTAAATTTGTTTAATTTCCTTATAGATGCTCGATATTGGACCTTTGTTAGATCAACAACTTAGGCAATAACACTCTGGACGTAGGAACAGGCAAAGATTTTATGACAAAGACACAAAAGCAATTGCAACAAAATCAAAAATTGACAAAGGGGATCTAATTAAACTTAAGAGCTTTGCACAACTAGAGAAACTATCAACAGAGTGAACAGACAACCTTCAGAATAGGAGAAAATATATGCGAAGGTGTTCCCTTCTTACCTTACTTTGCTGAGACTTAAAAAATTTTAAATTATTATGAGTACATAATAGTTGTACATATCTATGGGGTACATGTGACGTTTTGATACAAGCATACTGTGTATAATGATCAAATCAGGGTAATTGGGGTATCTATCAACCCAAGCTTTTATTATTTCTTTGTGTTAGGAGTATTTCAATTCCACTATTTTACTTCTTTTAAAATATACAATAAATTGTTGGTAACTATAGTCACCCTATTATGCTATCAACTCCTAGTACTAACTCATTCTAACTAATTGTATTTTTATACCCACTAACTATCCCTTCTTTATCCCCTGACTACCCTTTCACCTCTGATAACCATCATTCTGCTCTGTATCTCCATGAGTTCAATTTTTAAAGCTCTCACATAAGAGTGAGAACATGAGATATTTGCCTTTGGGCCTAGGTTATTTCACCTAATATAATGTCCTCAAGTTCTTTCTAAGTTGTTGCAAATGACAAGGTTTCAGTATTTTTTATGGCTGAATAGTATTCCATTGTGTATATGTACCACATTTTCTTTTTCATTCATCCATGGATGGACAGTTAGGTTGATTCCATATCTTGGCTATTGTGAGTAGTGCTGCCATAGACACGGGGGTGCAGATACTGCTTCAGTATATAATTTTCCTTTCTTTTGGATATATACCCAGAAGTGGTATTGTGGATCATATGGTAGTTCTATTTTTAGTTTTTTGAGGAATCTCCATAGCGGCTGTGCTAATTTATATTCCCACCAACTGTGTATGAGGGTTCCCCTTTCTCCACATCTTCACTAACATTTATTATTGCTTGTCCTTTGGATAAAAGCCATTTTAATTGGGGTGAGATGATATCTTATTATAGTTTTGACTTGCATTTCTCTGACAATTAGTGATGTTGAACATTTTTGCATACTGGGCCATTTTGTATATCTTCTTTTGTGAAATGTCTATTCAAGTCTTTTTCCCATTTTAAATTTGTGTTGTTTTCTTCCTACTGAGTTGTTTGGGCTCCTTCTGTATTCTAATTATTAATCTTTTGTCAGATGAGTGGTTTGCAAATATTTTCTCCCATTCTGTCAGTTGTTTCTTTACTTTGTCAATTGTTTCCTTTGCTATACAGAATTTTTTAGCTTGATGTGATCCCACTTATTCATTTTTGCTTTGCTTGCCTGTGTTTTTGAGGTTTTTCTCAAAAAATCTTTGCTTAGACCAATGTCTTGAAGTGTTTCCCCAAAGTTTTCTTTTAGTAGTTTCAGATCCTAGTTTTAAGTCTTCAATCCATTTTGATTTTATGTATGTATATGGTGAGATACATATCACACATATGTATATGGTGAGAAATAGGGATGTAGTTTTGTTCTTGTACAAATGGACATCCAGTTTTCCCAGCATCATTTTTTGAAGACTGTCCTTTCCCCATTGTATGTTCTTGGTATTTTGTCAAAAATAGGTTCACTATAAATGCACGGATTTATTTTCTGGGTTCTCTATTCTGCTTGATTTTTTTATATGTCTGTTTTTATGCTAGTACTATGCTGCTTTGGTTACTATAGCTTTGTAGTGTAATTTGAAGTGAGGTGGAGTGATGCCTCTGGTTTTGTTCTTTTGTCTCAGGATGGCTTTGGCTATTCTGGATCTTTGAAACTTTTCATCTTTGTTAAGGATCGAACACATTTTATCTAATACATATTCTAAATCAATAAAGTAGTTATAGGATTTTCTCCTCTTATCTACCAAAGTGGTGAAGTACACATAAAACTTTTCCTGAGTTCAACTCTGTTTGCACTCTTTGAATAAACCCAACTTGATCAGAATATATCACTATTTTAATTAAAAGTAAAATTCCATTTAGGTGGTTAATATTTTATTTATGATATTTGTATGCATATTCATAAGTAAAATATGAAAGGATTTGAAGGAAATTTGAAGGAAAAAACTGTTATTTGCAAATGATATTATTGTATACTGAGAACAACTAAAAAAATCAACATGAATTAAGTAGAGAGTTTGGCAGAGTTGCTGAATATAAGATCCTCCTATAGGCAATGTTTAAAAATTTATCCCCAAAATAACCATCTAGAAAATATATTGTATGTTATTCTATTTATAATGGCATGAAAACTATAAGCATATTGGAATTAACTTTTAAAAAAGCAACATCTCTATGTAGAAATTTAAAAACTCTAATAAAGAAACTAAAGGATGAAGAGGTATTCTGATAAGACAAATTAATATAAATGTCAATTTTTACCCAATGACTCTATAAATTCAAAACAATCCACTAAAAGTCCAAGTGGAGCTATTGAGAAGTCTGATAAACTTATTCTAAAATTTATATGCAAATTACCAAGTTAATGATTAGAAAGAAGAAAAACTATAAGGAGAAACTAGATATTCTTGCTACAAAGCCATAGCAATAAAATATTATTGTTGGTAAAGAAGAAACAGACCAACAAAAGAGAATATAGAATTCAGATTCAGAATACAGTTCCCAGGGCTGAAATCTTCTGGCCTGAGTCTCCGCCTTTCTGATTCTTCTTCCAGGAGCTGCTATTTTTTTCTGCACATCCCTGCTGTTCTCATGTGGTTTCCTAGGCTAGACTTCCTTCCACAGTATCTTTATGTCTGTTTCTAACCTTCTTTGCCTATGAGCTCTTGTTTGGTGATATCCATTAAGGTTTTGCTTCCTTACAATGGGCCTTAGAAAATGTCTGCCATTCATGTTAGCCTGGAGCTGCAACTCTCTAACCTTAATGCTTATATGATCTAAGGATCTGTGAGAGCTAGGGTAGAACACACCTCAAATTGTTCTTCGTAAAGACAAAGAAAGTGGGAGCATTTATCTACCAACCCAATCCATGATTGGATGAGGTACAATCCCCTCCTCTCCTCACTACATTTTTTGATCTGCCCCTTCTGTACTCTGAGGCAAACTGCCTCTGCCAGAGAAAGCCCTTAGGCAGAGAGTCAGAGATGCTTGCTGTAAAATTCTGTTGGCTAATATGGAAAGCCTTGGCACCAAAACATCTGCTATGGTACATTAGTGCCATCTTTTTTTTTCTCTTGTATTTGTACTCTAGAGAGCCTGGTAGAATCCTAGGGGTGAAGAAGCTGAATGAAATAATTATAGCTATATTTGGAGGGTGGTGTTCTATTCCTATTCCTCAGAACTCTCGGGAAATGAGTGGTGTTTGGGCTAATTGCCTCTAAGCTTCAACAATTCATGTTAAAAGTAGAATCTAGTTTTTCCTCATGGAAATATCTTATAATTGAGGACCATATACTCTAGAGGAGTGATCTCTTCCCTATTCTGAGGCTGAACTATTTATAATACTAAACCGTTGAGAAAACTCTTGCTTGTCTCCGCCTTTTAGAGATAAATTTCCTACCCAGTTGCTAGTATCTTTGTCCCACATGGAGAAAAGAAAAAGCACACTATTCTGACTTCTGAGAGAACCACCAGCCTCTTAGTCGCTCCCTTTGATCAGGATGAGTCCCTGAGTTTTCTCTTGGGAACCACTACCCAAGACAACAGCCCCATTTTGCAAGCAAACAACTTGGTGATAAAGCCCCAGCAGTTGTATCCAGTTGAAGGCAGGGCAAATAGTGGAAAAAACATTAGAGCCGGAAGAGCAGGATTGAAGACTCCACTTGGTCTCTTATTAGTTGTGTGATATCAGACATATAATCCCTCCCAGAGCATCAGTTTCCCCTTATATTTAAAATGCAGGTTAACCTAATTCACAGGGCCATTTTGAAAATTAAATGGAATAAAAATTAATAATATCTGTGAAAATATCCTGTAGACTGTCAATGCCAATGCCATAGAAAATGTTATTGGTACAATCATAAGAAAAAAATCTCTTCTTATAGGAAATAGATTTTACTTGTTCAGGGAGTTTATCAGTCATTGGTTTTGACCCTTTACAGGGAAATTGTGAGACATGCTAAATTGAATTTGGATTCAATGCATTACATGAGATCTTAGGGCCAGTAGTAGTCCAATTTGTATTATAAATGTACATTGGATTTTCAGGATTTTTAAAAAAATTCCTTGTCTCTTTAATTGCAGCCTCCTGTACTCTTCGTAAAATCATCATACAATTTTACATATACTATTTTTTAAAGTATTATGCTATTAGACCAAAAATACATTTAAGTGACAGGAAATCCTTATCAAGCCATCAAAAGCTGGAAAGTGATGCTTCAGAAAGTCCTTCACATGCAGGTTAAGTAAGAAATGCATTTCCAACCTGCCAAAGAGATGGAAACAGGCTGCACAGGGAACTCAGTTCATTCTGTGAATGGGTGGGCATAGCCGGGTCAGCAAACACAAAGGAGTAGGAGCAACCAGGACTTAAAAAGAAAGGGCCGTTGACTCTGGGAGCAGCAGTGGTATATTCTGATGTTAAAGATCTTCCTATAACTATGACCAAGAGATTCAGAAAAAAACATTTAGGGAAATGCTGGTAGAGAAGAGGAAAGCTCATTGATTCTTTGAATACATATTTGAGTATAATATGAATCAGGTAGGAATACAGGTTTTAGGCAAGGCATTTGTAGAGGAGGTGGGCCTTGCGGTATGTCTTGAAGATGGTGGGAATTGAAAAGGTCAAGGAGAGAGATGAGGGATTTAGAGGGAAGGGGGACGATGCACTAAAACTAGATTCCTGAGTGAGCATAGTGTGAAGACAAGGGGAATGGCCTTGGCAGAAGTTCAGGATGTTTGTTGAGGGTGATGGGAGATTGGATTGGTGTTGCTGTTTGCTTTCCTGGAAAGTAGACCCTGAGACAGAGATATGCATGCAAGACATTTACAGGTGAGTGCTCTTGGAATCAACATCTGTAGGGAAGTGAAGGCAGGAGGACTGGACAGAGAGAGAAGCTGGGCTGTAGCGTAGCTGCAACCAATCACCTCAGGAAGCTCTGAATTTAGGATGGCCCTGCAGAATTGCTGCACATCAGTTTTTCATTGTGTGGCTTGCCATGGCTATTAACAAGGTGTCTCTCTTCAGGTAAAGGCAAGTGCCTGGAGTGCGTACTCAGATGCCAGGTGTCAGCCTTCAATAGTCTCAACAGTATGAGAATAAACCCCTTAAAGGGTTGGTGGTAGTCAGGTGGTGTACTACAGTGCTCACTCCATTGGATAATTAGGATAACTTCAGATGTTAAGGAGTCTGGGGGCAGGGTTATGTATGATTAAGGTGAGGGAAGTGAGGTATTTTCCTCAGGCACAAAATTTAAGGGGAACTCCAAAAAAATTCAGTCATAAAGATAACTAACATTTTAATGCAATATTTTAAAAAACCAAAGTCAATGCAAAAACACTCAACGATGAACAAGATCTTAAATAAAGACTAGATCAGTAGTACTAATTTTTCCTTTGCCTCAGGCTCCAATATGGCTTGGCAGAACAACACCTGAAGGTTATAACATTTATTCTGCAGGAAACAGGAAACCATTGGAAGTTTTCCTCTTTTCATTTTCCTATAATAGCTATACTATTATAACATTAAATTTGTTTTAATTGCCAAAAAGTTTTTTACTTGAAATCTTACAAATAGGACTCTTGTTTGCAAGAGACAGGAAAACTAGTTACAACGGGCTTGGCCAATAACTACAGGTAATGTACTGACCTACACAGAATTCAGGCTCAGTTTGATCCAGTGGCTTAAGCAATACCTTTAGTGATCAGTTTCTCTCCATCATAAAGGTATTCATTCTTCTACTGGCTTTCTTCATTAAAAAAGATATGGACAGCATTCCTGAGTCTCTCATTCTCAATCAACCAAGTCCAGAGGAAAAGAAATTGCATTTCTTTCTCCAAAACCTCAGCAAAATTATCTGATTGGAATATAAATTCAACCATGAGTCTATCCCTGTGACCAGGTGAATGGGATGTGATGATTGGCTTATGCTAACAATGCATACTTCCCTACCTGTGAGAGAGGTCATTCTATACAACTGGGGTACTTCTACCAAAAAAAAAAAAAAAAAGATGGAGTTCTTTCTAGGGAGCTTACTGCACATGAACATACATTTCTCTGTTTCTGTTCAATCCATGTCCATACAAATACATGTGTAATTAAAGTGTTGCAATCATTTATTTAATAATACCATATAACACCTTTATTTTTAAAAACATTTAAGTAATATAAGAATACTATTAAAAGCAAGTAGGAGGGAATATAAAATACCCATTCCACTCACTCCTACTTCTCCTGTTCTCCAGGAGAAAATATTTTACTCCTCGGAGGTACCCTGTTTTTAAATTTATTTATAATTTGCTTTTTTAAAAAAATATACATCGTGCATATATTTGTTATTTATGTGTTTTCAAAAAAAGGTGGTATAATACATGTATCACATTTTTCTTCAACTTGCTTTAAAATTACACTTATTGTATACTTACTTTTACTTTTTAGTGACCAAAACTTGTATTTTTCACTTAGCAATATTCTTGAATATCGGTCAATATTAGTACCTACATGAGTTTTTTTTTTAAAGCTACTGCATGGTGTTCCATGGTATGGTTGATGTTTTCAGAATATTTAAGAAAACTCATTTGATAGATATTTAGTTTGTTTTCAGTTTTTTATTACTATAAATCATGATTCAATGAACATCATTGTATGTGTTTTTCTACACACAGGAGAATAATATCAAGCAAAGACAAATCTAGAAATTAAGAATTTTTTAAATAAATGGATTTGGTTCAAAAAAGAATCTTAATTCTACTTTTTTTCTCAAATAGATTATTAAATGCATCAATATTGATTGTTACAGTATATGCTTTTCCTAATAGTTTGAAATGGTAACTTTTCCATAAGTTATTTTTTCATATAAAATTGTGGCTGTTTCTAGATAGTCAAGATCATTAATCTATTTGTTTAACCTAGGATTAGTATTACAATACTTTACTCTGTCTACCTTTTAATATAGTTTATATCTGGTATAAAGCACAGATATATTTGAGTATAAAACATGCAATCTGTTATTATGTTTTCAGAATAGCTTCACAACTCTAGCTCAGTTAGCATTCCTTACAAATGTTAGAATCAGCTTGTCAAACTTCATGTAAAATCCTTCTGAGATGGCATTGATTTTAAGACTAATTTGGAGAAAATTATCATTTATTCAAGTCTTTTATGTACCTCAAAAAAACCTTATTCTTTTCTCTATAAAGACCTTGCATGTTGTTTATGATGCTTAATTCTAATTACATTATGGTTGTTTTTATTTTAAACAGGATAGTTTTCTTCTTATACATTTTTAATTGATTTTGCTAATGTAATGGACATTGATTTTAATAAGTGACCTTGTAACCACCTACTCTGCTAAACTCTTTTCTGATATAACCTATCATGTGGTTCCTCATTGCCTCTTCTTTAAGAGCTGGTATTCTCCAGTCTTCCTGGATGTTTCTAACCCTGTCGAGACACAGACCTTCTCCAAAATAATCTCTCATAGTCACTCGTCCCACCTGATGGCAAACACTATTCACCTAGTCCAACTGGTAATGAGGGAGAAATGTGGGGTGGCTTCTCACCAGGATAATCCTGCTGCAGCGCGCCAACTAGGCATTGTCAGTTGCCCTTGATCAATTGTCTTTTATTTTTTTCTCCAACATTTCTTGTCCATCAAGAGTTCTACTTATTTGTATACAGAATAATGTACGTGGTATAATCTATGGTACATGGTACAATGTATAATCTAGAACATTTATAGGGTGAGGAAATTTATATATAGAAATATAAATATAGAAATATAAATATAGAGGAGTGAGACTGTAGCAAATGTTGAAATAGAAGACCATTTTTCCCAAGTGAAGTTCCTTGCCATTTATTAAATCCTCCATCTTTTCATAAAGTATATTTTCTTTTCATAAAGTATATTTTCAAGTCTTACTGGCATTATGACTGAAATTTTTATATATGTAGATTAATTTAGATCGAACTTACATATTTTATTATTGTATTCCTAACTATGGACATGATATAGCTCACCATTTATTCATGTATTCTTTTATTTTCTTTAGTAAATTTTTACATCTGTCTTCATAAATTTCTCATACATTTCTTTCCTGGCTTAATCCTAGGTACTTTATTATTCATGTTTCAATGTGAATGAATTTTTTAAGAAAGACAACATTTTCTAATTGATTATTGCTATTATGTAGAAAGGCCATTATTTTTTTCCCATTCTCTTTTCTTTCTGTGGTTCATTTTCGATCATTCTGTTAAACTATTTTCAAATTTGCTGATTCTTCTTATGTTAGATACAATCTATTGTTAAACCTATTTTGAATCCTTAATTTCAGTATTATATTTTTTAGTTCTAGAATGTCCATCTTATTCAGCTAACTCCAGTATCTGGATTATCTATGAATTTGCTT
The DNA here is from genome assembly GCF_000001405.40 of Homo sapiens. NCBI lineage: Eukaryota > Metazoa > Chordata > Mammalia > Primates > Hominidae > Homo > Homo sapiens. Next base: position 113,964,263 of record NC_000005.10, read on the forward strand.
TTATTGGCTATTTTTTCTCTTCGTATTTGTCCTATGGATTCTGTGTCTTGGCATGCTTAGTAATTTGTTATTGAATGCAGGACTTTGTTTATTGAAGAAAAAATGGTAGAGACATCAGATGACACCATTTTCCATCAATGTTCACCTTTTCCTCTGCCTGGAAAAGAGGCTATGGAGATGACTCCCTTGAATCAACTAGGGACTAAATCTGGGTCAAGCCTGAGCTGCAGTTTAGGGAAGACCTGGTCTACCTGTCTTTCCCCTTTCCAAGGCTGTGGCTCTTCTTGGCTTTCATTTGAGAATGTGGCAGTTATTTGTCTCAGGAATGAGAGACTGATGGGATCTGTATTCTACTTTTTAAAGGTTTTAGGTCTATCTCTTTTTTCCCTTCCTCCATGAAACTGCAAAATTTGACAAATATTCTAAGACTGTAAGACTAACACTGTATTTGAGGCCTCTAAAGTCTCCAGTTTTGTCACTCGGGCCCCATATAACTCTGCTACGGGCTGAACTTGGATTCTCACCCTTTATGTTAACCCAGATTAGCATATTCTCCCTACCAAAAAACAGTTTCCGCTCATTAATGCCAATTACTCCCTGCAGGGATTTTTAACTCTCTAGGAGTCTTGTACTTGTCAGGTATTTTTTTAAAGCACCAAGAGAACGCATAAAATTTCATTTTGCCTTTCAGAAATTTCCTTTTTTTTAAAGTCCTCCTGATCAGCACAACTTTGGAATTCAAACATTGAGAGGAAAATCATCTATGTGTTTAAAGCTTCTTAAGTTTACAATTTCATCTCTACTTCCCTGCATGAGGACCAAAAGCTCTGCTGGTTTCTCTGTCCCACATCAGTGGCCCTATGCTTGGGACAAGCCCAGATTCTCACCTCTAGTCACATTCAGGATAGGTCGCTACTCCCATTTGATCTTCAGTTCATCTCTGAGAGGTTCTCTTCCCACTAGAATTTTAGTTTCCATAGTTCCAATTGCTTTCAAAGGTTTGGATATTCTAACTACTTATTGTATCTTACCCAGAAGTAGAAATGTCAGGCCATTTATTTTTATAAGTTAACCATGATTATAGCACAGTGGTTTTATTACTGTGCCATTATATTCTCACATTGCCAAGGTTTCCCAGGATTGCTGCAATCTCAGGTTTTATAGGGAAACCAGACCTGTAGGAGTAAACTTGGGCTGGGAAGCTGGTCAATGTCCCTAAGTGTATTTCTATGGTTGGGGCTTGGCCCGTTAGAATTCCCTTTTGGCAGTAGATAAACTACTGGTCTTTTTATATAGTCACATTTTAATTCGTGAGCTTTCAGAACTAATTCATTTAGTGATCGCCAAATGTAGGTATTCATGTTTTAAGTGTGGTTGGGTGGTATATTTTCTGAGCCCTTGTGCACTTGAATTTTCTTTCTGTTGCCTTTATATATGAATGATCACATTGTTTGGTATCAAACTCCTGAATAACAAGCTCTTTTTCTCCACTGAAGGACTCTGGAGATAATGTTTCAAACTTTTCAGGTGTTTAATATTTCAGACATCACACTTTAGTTGTTTCTTCCCAGGTGGGTAGTCTGTTCTTTTCTTCCTAGACATTTTCCAAATGTTCTAACTGTTTATATCTTTTGGGTTCAGAATTTTTTTTTCAATTTTGGTTTTTTGGGTTTGGAGTAATATCTTACTTTTTAAATTAAAAATGTCGAGTTTGGCTGGATGCGGTGGCTCACTGCCTACAATCCTAGAGCTTTGGGTGGCTGAAGAGGAGGACTGTTTAAGGCCAGGAGTTCAAGACCAACCTCGGCAACAAAGTGAGACCTTGTCTCTACAAAAAAAAAAAAAAAGTTTTTAAATAGCTGGGTATGTTGGTGCATGCCACTTGTAGTGAGCCATGATCACGCTATTGCGCTTCAGACTGGGTGATAGAGCAAGACCCTCTCTCTCTCTTAAAAAAATACATGTTTACCACAAAATTTTTTTAGCATAAATTAATATAAAAAATTATAAAAGTGACCCCAAATTCCACCACCCTGAAGTAACAGGTGTTAATATCTGCTGATCACCATTTCAGACAGACTTAAAAATATATACAAATATGTAGATTAACAAATAAATATATGTAAAAATTTCATAAGAATAACATCATAATAAATGTTTTAATCATTATTATTATTATTTTTATTATTTTTGTGACGGAGTCTTGCTCTGTCGCCAGGCTGGAGTGCAGTGGCATGATCTTGGTTTGCAACCTCTGCCTCCCAGGTTCAAGCAATTCCCCTGCTTCAGCCTCCAGAGTAGCTGGGACTACAGGCATACATCATCATGCACGGCTAATTTTTTGTATTTTAGTAGAGACGGGGTTTCACCATGTTGGCCAGGATGGTCTCCAATCTCCTGACCTCGTGATCCGCCCGCCTCAGCCTCCCAAAATTCTGGGATTACAGGCGTGAGCCACTGCGCCTGGCCAATTTTTGTTTTTTTGAGATGGAGTTTCATTCTTGTAGCCTAGGCTGGAGTGCAATGGTGTTATCTCAGCTCACTGCAATCTCCACCTCCTGGGTTTAAGCAATTCTCCTGCCTCAGCCTCCCAAGTAGCTGGGATTACAGGTGCCCACCACCACGCCAGCTAATTTTTGTATTTTAAGTAGAGTCAGAGTTTTACCATGTTGGCCAGGCTGGTCTCGAACTCCTGACCTCATATGATCCACCTGCCTTGGTCTCCCAAATTGCTAGGATTACAGGTGTGAGCCACCTCGACTGGCCTAATTAAAATGTTTTAATAAAAAATTTTCAATTTTATTTTACTTGAACAGAAGAAAACTAAAGCAAAATCAAATAAATTATTGAACTTCACAGAGAAGTTCACTTATTCACTATAAGAGATATTTAGTTTTAACACATTGCTCTAATGTTAAGAAAAGAACATAATAAACACGTTTCTATTTTGGAAACTATTTATTGACTCCCAGCTATGAGCAATGAATTGATGAGCACACTTACACTTTCTTTTTCTGCACTTTCTTACACTTGTTTTCCTCCTACTTCGGCATTTGCCATTATATAATTTTATTTATTTAGCATTTGTAACATTTACAGGGCTTAAAAATTGTATTTATTTATTGAGACAAGGTCTCATTCTGCTGCCCACCTAGAGTACAGTGGTGCGATTATAGCTCACTACAGCCTCCACCTCCTGTGCTCAAGCCATCCTCCCAGCTCAGCTTCCCAAGGAGCTGGGACTACAGGCATGCACCACCACACCTGATTAATTTCTTTTATTTTTTGTAGAGACAGGGTCTCACTATGTTGGCCAGACTGGTCTCAAACTCCTGGCTTCAAGTGATCTGCCCACCTCACCCTCCTAAAGTGCTGGGATTACAGGTGTGAGCCACCCTGCCTGGCCTATTTTTAGTTTTTTTCTCCCACCATAACTCTCTCGGTCTTGGTTATCTGTTTAAATGGATTCAACGCTTTCCACCAGGCCATTTGCCACTACTTCTTTCTTGCTCTATACTTTATTTCTATTCTTTTCCTATTTGGTTGGATTTCATTATGGGGTATTTTCTCAAAAAAAGTTCTGGTGGGTGTTAGAGTCCTCAGATGTTTTCAAATCTGAGTGTGCCTTCCTGCTGCCTTTTTATTTGAGCTACAACTTGTCTGAGTGTTATATCATTGGCTTTCACTTGTTCCCCCTTAGTGATGTAAACCTGCTTCTAATATTCTGACATTAATTATTTCTGGGCACTGTGGAGAAACTAAGGCTGCCGTGATTTCTTATCCTTGTGGATAATTTGCTTTCTGGATAACTGGATAACTTTTTTATCATTAAGAAATCTTGTTATTGATCTACTTTAATTAAAAAGATATACCATTTTTATCTGCAGGTCCAGTTCTTCTGCCATTTCTGCGAAATTTTCCTGAATATTTCGGAATATTCTTGGCATCGCTTTTGAGGTCCTTAATTTAAAAGACCTTGATTATTTTTATGTTGTATGGTACTTGTCTTCCCTATGCCTCATTTCTTCTCTAACTTCATTTGTCTGTTTTTTTCTTCTACGTGCATTGTGACTATCTCAATGACATTAATTTGCTTTTCATCTCTATTATACTTTCCCCTATTTAAAATGAATAATTACACATGTAATAAATGGCAATCGTTCTTTATCACAGTTCTCAATTTATTGCCTTATTTCTACAATGCTCTTTTAAGTTTCATTCTACTACTAGATAGGCTTGTCTTTGAGCTCTTGTTTATTAAATTAAAGTCTTCCACAACACATTGCAAAAATATGCAAGAAATCTGTTTCAGTTGCTTGGGTTATATTTTTGTAGTTGCTGGGCTATTTATCTCTCTTTTACATGCCGTTTCTTTTACATTATTATCTGTTACAGTATATGTTTCAGTCAAGGTCCTGGCAGGAAACAGATGATATATTCAAACTGGGATATCTGAGGATAATTTAATACAGGACCTGTTCAGAAAGGCATAAGCAGGATTTGGGGATTTCTAAACCAACAAAAACTAGTGTGGTACTTCTGAGCCAGCGACAGCAGGGGGCCATTACCACCCAGAGGCCATGGTTGCTGGAACCCATAGAAGGCAACTACAGAGAAGGCTGCCAGAGAGAAGCCGTGGCCTTCTATAGAGAGACAAGCTTATCCATTGTGATATGGAAGGGAGAGAGCTGGGGAACAAATAACCAACTCAACTCCTTTCCTCTCATCTTTTGCAGGTGTCTTTCAATAGGAGACCAAAAGACAAATGTGCATAAAGGACCACCTTCTAGGGCATGGGGAATGAAGGAGAAGGATGGGAGAGGGTGGAGAGAAGGGCAATTGGGAGATACCCTGTACAAGGTACTCGCAGAGATGCCATGCCATGGCTTTGCCTGTTTATGTTTGAGTGATTCTGGCCAGATCTCCTTTATATGCTAACATGATGTGGATTAATTCTTCCTAGCATCCATGACACCTACTCTGAGTCTGTTTTCTCTTTCCCTCCACATTATAGTTTGAAAGTAGAGTGTTGCTTCTATTTTATTTTTCTGATGCCTGAGGTTATGGAAATATGGGATGAGTCCAGATTAGATATGTGATCTGGATTTTTCTCTCTCTTCTCTGATTTCCGTTAAGTTTTCTATTTCAATGCCCTGTCTACCAAACAAAGGAGTATATCTATTCCTAGCCTTTGACGTATTTCCCCAAGAGTTTTTTCCGCATCTATGACAAAATTTTTCCTTTCCTTTCCTTCAGTGAGGATATGATCTAATGAAATTTCATTTGTTTGTATTTTCTTAAAGCACTGAGCTCCTTCTTTACCTCAATTTAGCATCTTTGCAACTCATCCTATTGTATTTTCTCCTTGCCTCTTTGCTTCTTATGATTTTTCTTTATACGAGCAATAGCTTCTTGGGTCCTTTGAGAACACGTTTTCTAAAATAGCTGTCTATTTCTTGTAATAAGTAAATTCACTTATCCACTATTACCCTGAATCTTTAGGAAAATACTCCTTTACCCTTATATCTGCACGTATTTTCATATATTCAAAGCTTTTTGTCTTTTATTCAAGCAAGGCAGGAAACATCTAGACTACATCTTTGTCAAAAGACAAGGTATGTGGGATTTCCCTGGCTTTACTCATTGTCAGCTTGAGTACTCATCAAATCTCCTTGTCAAATGTATGGTTTAGAGGAGATATTGATGTGGACAGCATCCAGCCAAATTCCTAATGTTGAGCAGGCATTTGTTTAATGCATCTTGGCTATATTGAGGTGGGAGTTTCCCTTGCTCCCAATTCTTGGCTGTCTGACACTCAGAACAGATGCAATACATGAGATGCTATAATTATAGGGACAAACCACTGCCAGGGCCTGTTCTGCCAGGGAATTTCCATGCCCAAGTAGAGTCCCTCACTGTAGGGTCTACTCATCTCAGCTTATACTGCCATTGTCAGTGCATGACAACTATCCCCCTCCTCTCTTCATTCTTCCTCTGATTATTTTTTGCCTCTCAATAGATATAGAAAGATAGCAAAGAGGGACAGACAATGATCTGCCCACTTGAGTAACACAACTGAGGACTGACAGACCGTTTTTAGAAATTGTTTTCTGTGCTCGAGTCTCTGTGCTAGGAGTCTGTTGGCAGAGTAGAAGCACATCTTTTTATCTTCTCTAAGACAGTTGGCAACTCAAAATGGCTTTGTGAGTCTGGTTCTGACAGGTTTTTTTTTTTTTGTCAGAGTCTTACTCGGTCGCCCAGGCTGGAGTGCAGTGGCACAATCTCGGCTCACTACAACCTCTGTGTCCCGGGTTCAAGCGATTCTCTTCCCTCAGCTTCCTGAGTGGCTGGGATTACAGGCATGCACCACCACGCCCAGCTAATTTTTGCATTTTTAGTAGAGATGGGGTTTCACCATGTTGGTCAGGCTGGTCTCGAACTCATGATCTCATCACCCACCCACCTCAGCCTCCCAAAGTGCTGGGATTACAGGCGTGAGACACTGCATCTGGCCTTTCTTTTCTTTTTGTAAAAATAAATGTTATTGTGTCTATTAGAGGTTTAAAACATGATGTGTTGGGATATATATAGATAGTAAAATGGTTACTATAGTGAAGCAAATTGACATATCTATCATCTCACAAAGTTACTTTTTTGTGACAAGAGCAGTTAAAATGTATTCAAGAAAATTCCCAAATACAGTACAATTTTATTAATTATGGTTCTCATATTGTACATTAAATGTCTAGTCTTGTTCATCTTACATTTCTGCTACTTTGTGTCTACCACGTTTTATAGTTAATGGAAATTCCTCCTGGCTTCTGCAGTTGTTTTTAGTGACAGAATTTTTACCTTTTGGGCTCTTCATTGTGAGACATTGTAAGTCTATATTAGTGTGGCCACAACAATGCTATGTTCAACTGGGAGCCACGCTCTACTGGCCCTTGAAAATAATTATCATGAAAGAATGTGGACATAAGTATTCAATCATCCTTTCTTCATCTGATGAAATCTAAGAAACTTCCTACCCATCAACACACACTTTTCTTTGATGAGTTTGCTATCTTTATCTGAAATGGAAATTCCACAGGTGGTATGTAATTTGATTTAAGTTTGCTTCATATGTGAGTATAGAGGCCTTATTTACTATGTGCATGAACATTTTGAGTAGATTAAGTTTAATAATAAATTACTGCTGAGTGGCTGAATAAATCAGTAAAGAGGTTTGTGTACTAGCTGTGAAATTTCTTGCTTGGTTATTTGTCATAATGAGACTGAACTCCAGGTCTAGCCTCTCTTTTGTGTGACTGGTGGAAGATTCTATTAATTAACTGTGGGACTTCTGTGACCTTTCAGCAACCTACTGCTAACATACTTAAAATATATTGAGACTAGAAATACCAGCATGACCCGTTTGACAACACAGGTAAACAAATTAATTCTTTTTATTGGATTTTTCTACAGTAAACATAGCTAAATGTCACCAATATCTTTTCCTTCAGTAGCTAATTTATCATTTTATTTTTCTGATACTAAAAATGCAAATTTTTACTCTCTTTTTCCACATATTTCCATGTGTATGCCCATTCTTTCCTCTTGCCCAACATATAAACACAGCTACTCCCTTCAATCCTTCAAGTCTTACCTTCTCAATAAGGTTTAACAAAGTTATTAAAAATTGCAACCCAACCCTCATCTTGACCCTCTCAATCCCCCTTACAATGCTCTATCCTTGTTTTATGGAAATTGTCACCTTCTAATAAAATGTGATTTATATATTTATTATATTCCTTTTTATTGCATGTTCTACCCCACTACCCAATCTTGCTAAAATATAAATATCATAAAGGTGGGTTTCCTTTTCTGTCTTCTTCATCGATTTATCCTAAGCACCTAGAATAGTGCCTGGCATACAATAGATGCTAAGTGAATGTTTGTTGATGGATGGACAGACGGAAGGAAGGAAGGAAGGAAAGAAGGAAAGAAGGAAGGAAGGAAGGATGGATTTGTCCTTTTTCCTTTTTGAGCTCTTTTCTCAGCCTATGCTTTAGAGAGCTTTGCCTCCTCTGGAATTTTATCAGTCGTTTCCATCCCCCAACCTCTATAATTTTAACCATTGTGTTTTTCTCTTCTTTGGACCTCAAAAACAAACTTGAGTCTGTCTCATTACAAAAATGTGTATATGGAGCCTGCCTCCATTTTTAATGCTCTCTCTCACCTTCCTGACCCCATAGTCTTCTGGAAAGAATGCATCTGTTTTAAACTCTCTCCCCATTTCAGTGATTTGCCATCTGGTTTTTCTCTTGACCACAGAATTGAAATGGCTAATACAAACTATCAATGGTCTCCTTTTTGTCCTCATCCTATTTTATGTCTTTGTGCCTTTTGGGGTCACAGCTAACCTTACATCTTGAAAGTTTATTCCCATTGGTTCCTGATTTTTTTTGGTTTCCTTCCTGACTCACTGAGTACACTCGTTCTATCTCTGCTGTCGCAACTTCCTTTACCTTCCCCCTAACTTGCTGTGTTCTCCAGAACTTAGGCCTGGACTTCCCTACCTTCTCACTTTATACACTCCCTAGCCAGTTTCATCCACCCCCAATATTAGTTACCATTGATTTCATCAATCACCGCATTCCCCCTCCTGCCCCACATCACACCTGTTTTGCCAATTTACTATTATTTTCAACTTAGTGCTTAAAAGTACTTCAATAAAACATACCTAAAATGGATATCATTAATTGTTTAAATCCCTCTACACCCCAAACCTCATCCTTCCACTTCTACCACCACAGCTAATGACAATTCCATCTACATGCTTTTCTAAGCCAGAAGCATCGGCATCCTTAGTGACTCTTTCCTTGCAACTAAATTACTTACCAATTCTTGTCACTTGTAACATAAATTTATCTACACAATTAGTTCCTTTATCTCCACTTCAATCTCCCTATAGCTTGGTTTCCTATCATCCCTCATCTGGATTATTGCAATATTCCTGTAACTGATCTTAGTTTAGTTTCTTATTATCAATACCCAGTTAAATATACTCCTTACCCAATCCAACTAAAACCCTTCAAAACAACTTTATTCCAGCAAATGCTTATGAAGCACCAACTGTAGTCCTATCAGAAAGAAATAGTGATCCCTCCCCTTAGAGGATATGTGTTAGGAAGAGACACAGGTATAAATGGATCGAATGCAATCCAATAAGTGAATAAATACAATGCTACAGATATGACCAAAGTGAAATGAAGTTGGTTGGCTGAGTCACGTGTATCTGTCAGAATGGAGACCTAGGTTCTCTGGATTTGTAGTATGGTGCTTCCTCCATTGTGGCTTTCTTATCAACATTTCTTGCATGCCAGCTACTCTGTAGAAGACATTGCCCCTATGTTTTGGTGATGATGGATGGTATTTATTGAAACTCTTGCTTATTTTGACCCAGTGTTTGCGGATAATGAAGTTCAGACTAGGGTGGTGGCAAGAAGTGGTCAGATTTTTGATATATTTTGCAGGTAGAGCTAACAGGTTTTTGGTGATTAATTGGATATTGAAGTGTGAGACAAAGAGTGAATTTTAAAATGATGCCAAGATGTTGAACCTGAGTATCAGGAGAAACAGAGTTGTTGCTGATGGAGATGGGGAAGATCACAGGAGGAGCAAGTTTGGCAGCAAGGTGGAGATATGGTTGGAATCAAGAATTCACTTTATGATATGTAAAGTTTGAGACATCCATTTGTCATCCAAGTTGGAGATGGTAAGTGGGAGATATTGAGTTGATTATAACAGACTGGAGTTTAGGGAAGAAATCAGGGCTAGAGACATAAATGCATGACTTAATTATGTTCATGATATTTTAAGCTTCAGTATTAAAATGAGATCCTCTGGGATGGAAATGTAGAAAGAGGACAATTCTTAGGAATGACTCTCAAGGATTACAATCATTAGAGGTCAAGAAGCTAAGGAGAATCCAGTAAAGAAGACAGAGAAGGGACAGCTATTGAGGACAATGGGAACTAAGAGAGTATGACATCCCAGAGGACAAGAGAATATGTTTTAAGGAGGAGCCAGTGATCAGATGTGACAAATGCTATTGTTAGTTCAAGTAGGAAGAAGTCAATGAAAGTACCATTAAATTGAGCAACTGGAAAGTAATTAGTGACCTAAACAAGCAGTTTCAGAAGTGGATAGGAGAGAAAAAGCATAATTTGTGTAGGTTCAAGGGAGACTGAAAGGGAAGACTATTACCAACTCTTTTGAAAACTTCTGGTATAAAGAATATCTAAGAACTGGAGCAGTAGCTGGAGGAATTACAGAGTTTGGAGTGAAAAAGAAATGAGGCAGACAGAAAGGGGCCAACCTTAGGAGTCAGGTTCTTGAACTGGAAGTGAAGATGAGATCCAGTACCCAAGACAAGGGGTTGGCCTTATACAGGAGACAAGAACCTTGGAAGAACTGGTGAATGAAAGGCCTATAAAGTTGTAAAGTCGGGCCTTGACATGAAGGGCTTTGAATAATATTTTAAAAGTTTTGAGTTTATTTGAGCATGAGAATAATATGATTGGAGAAAGACATGGTTCTGACTGTGAACTGCCCTCATGCTAAAACTTAAAATATGCATAACTCACACTGTGCTGTTCCCTTCTTCCAAGTGACTCTCTTGCAGATTCTGTCTTTTTCATTTATTCTACTGTAGGTAGGTCATTTTGGCTTGCTTTGTGTTGTTTTTGCATTTTGTCCACAGCTTACGGTTGCTGTCTACAGAAAGATCAGGTACAATATGTGCTACCTGGCCATGTTAGAAGTAAAAGTTGAGTGTTTTATGTTCTTGGCAAAACATGCCAGTTGCATAAACTATTCCACCTCAACAACACAGTTTGCAGATCCTTTGGCATCCACTGTGGCCTTCCTCCAGATGCCAGTTGTGGGTGGCCCTCCCAAGTTGGGTGCTTTAATTAGACCATATTATCATAGTGGTATATTACACTTTCCAACCAGATAGTTTATCAGAAATGTTATAGTGCTCTTACAAGCAGACTAGAAATTGGAAGAAAGGATCTAAGTACTGACAATAAAGTTTTTTTTCTGTTTTCTTATCTCTAAGGTTGGCCTTGACTGTGATGCTTGATTACATTACTTTCAAGTTCCACAGCACTTGATGTGTCCCTTGATAACTATGTCACTTTGTGCACACATATTACATGATCAGTGATTCTCTATTAAATATAACATTCCTTAAATTCTGTTTCCTGGTTTCTCTCCATAATGACTAATAGGAATAAGCCATATATAGACCTAAATAATCAAATATCATTCCCTAAAAATCAATTTATATTTTCTCAGCTTGCTAAATCAATGTTAAATTAACCAAGCCATGGCATAGAAAATGAAAGCTGGATAATACCAAGCCACTGATTCATTCAAGACAAAGCTATTTGAATTCCTCTTTAAATGGAGACATTTTTGATGTTAGATATTCACATGATGGCTTGAAAATCATCTTGGTCAGTAGAAAGTCTTCCAAGCCCCTACATATTTAGCATACCTTGAATGTAAAGCATCAAGTCTGCATGGGTTTTAGACTAGACTTTCTAGGATGTAATGAGTAAAGAATTGATTGACTATTAACTGAGAACTCAAGGGAAAGATAAAAAAAGTTAGGCTCCTTATTAGATAGGACATTATTAGACAATATTGGGAACTTAAGAGCATTATCTTAATCTGTTAGGAAGTCAGTAGCATGCCTGAAACACCAATCAGATCTCAGATTCACAGTTCAGGACAAATAGAACCATTATTACTGTTTTCAGCTGAGCTTGTTGTGATTCATAATAGGGAACAGAATGGGAAGTGTGTCCTTCTACAGATATTAGCTCATTAAGTTAGTAACTCATTCCAAAACATGTATGTGGTATACTAAAATCAGTAAGATATGATCTATGACATTAAACAATTGAGATTTGGTAGGAATTGACAAAATATTACCCGAGGGGTACCATCAGTTGTCATAAGTAGCTCCTTAGCAGGATGCACAGGCTATAGTGAGCTATATAAGAGAAGGGGTCAATGTGTCTGGAGTGGCCGCCAGATAGATAGAGGTTCAGGGAGGGAGAGAATCAGAAAGTCCTGTGGCAGTTGAGATAAGCAGCTGTTTATCAGGCATAAATGGCAAGTAGGGCATTACAGGCATAAGGAGCTGTTAGAGCAGAGCCAGGATGGTATGTTATACATGGGCTTCTTTGAGGGCATATCAGTAGTTTGGGATGGATAGATTACCAGGGCCAAGAGAAGTGAGACAGGAGGCCACAGTAAGGATCATAGCAGGTGGAGTTATTTGAAGTGGGGAGGGCACAATCAGATTCAGGCTTTCAAACATCACTCTGACAGTTGAGTAAGACTATTCAAAGGGAAATATACCACAGATAATGAGTTCAGCTAAGAATCTTTTTCAGTGGTCTAGGGTTGCCAATGTCAGTTTAGGATCCACAGAATAAAATTCTCTAAGAAAAGGTTAGAAATTATGTAATTTATTATTTTCTTATTTTGTGATGGGTTTATTTCTAAATTTCCTAAAGAGATAATCATCTATATCATATATAAAGATGCTAGAGAAAAAATACATGACAACATTTCTTTGACCTTTCAGCGAACTATTTAAGGAACAGTGATGAGATCTTTCTTATTTTCTGGATACAACACGTAGCAATATACTTGAAACAGAGTGGGTTTACAAAAAGTAAACCTTCAATGTGCAAGCCTGATGTAATGGCAAAATCACCGTCACTACAAAGAATTTTTTTCCTCTGAGCCAATCTGGATTTTTTTCAGTATAACACCATTTCTATGTGTTTCTGCTTTTAGGACAGATAGTAGACTATTGTTTCTGTCTTTCTATAATTACGCTTGACAAACCTATAGATCAGCACCAGATAAATTGTTGGGAGAATTAATACTCTTTCTTTATGTTTTTGATCAAAAGCTTTTTATTTTCTGTCCTGTTAAACATTGCCTTTCACATTGTCAGCTCCTTCAGGGCAGGGACTAAATTTTACTCTAATTAAGATATAAACAATTCTTACCTTTGTCTAACACATGAAAGTTTCACAAAGTGCTTGCATTTAAAATTGTTTATTTAATCATAGCCACCATGCTAATTAAAAAGGCAAACTTTTTTTATGTTTTTTTAAAATTTTTTATTTTTATCTTATTTTATTATTATTATACTTTAAGTTTTAGGGTACATGTGCACAATGTGCAGGTTAGTTACATATGTATACATGTGCCATGCTGGTGTGCTGCACCCATTGACTCGTCATTTAGCATTAGGTATATCTCCTAATGCTATCCCTCCCCACTCCCCCCACCCCACAACAGGCCCCAGTGTGTGATGTTCCCCTTCCTGTGTCCATGTGTTCTCATTGTTCAATTCCCACCTATGAGTGAGAATATGCGGTGTTTGGTTTTTTGTCCTTGCGGTAGTTTACTGAGAATGATGATTTCCAATTTCATCCATGTCCCTACAAAGGACATGAACTCATCATTTTTTATGGCTGCATAGTATTCCATGGTGTATATGTGCCACATTTTCTTAATCCAGTCTATCATTGTTGGACATTTGGGTTGGTTCCAAGTCTTTGCTATTGTGAATAGTGCCACAATAAACATACGTGCGCATGTGTCTTTATAGCAGCATGATTTATAATCCTTTGGGTATATACCCAGTAATGGGATGGCTGGGTCAAATGGTATTTCAAGTTCTAGAACCCTGAGGAATCGCCACACTGACTTCCACAATGGTTGAATGAGTTTACAGTCCCACCAACAGTGTAAAAGTGTTCCTATTTCTCCACATCCTCTCCAGCACCTGTTGTTTTCTGACTTTTTAATGATCGCCATTCTAACTGGTGTGAGATGGTATCTCATTGTGGTTTTGATTTGCATTTCTCTGATGGCCAGTGATGATGAGCATTTTTTCTTGTGTTTTTTGGCTACATAAATGTCTTCTTTTGAGAAGTGACTGTTCATGTCCTTTGCCCACTTTTTGATGGGGTTGTTTGTTTTTTTCTTGTAAATTTGTTTGAGTTCATTGTAGATTCTGGATATTCGCCCTTTGTCAGATGAGTAGGTTGCGAAAATTTTCTCTCATTTTGTAGGTTGCCTGTTCACTCTGATGGTAGTTTCTTTTGCTGTGCAGAAGCTCTTTAGTTTAATTAGATCCCATTTGTCAATTTTGGCTTTTGTTGCCATTGCTTTTGGTGTTTTAGATATGAAGTCCTTGCCCATGTCTATGTCCTGAATGGTAATACCTAGGTTTTCTTCTAGGGTTTTTATGGTTTTAGGTCTAACGTTTAAGTCTTTAATCCATCTTGAATTAATTTTTGTATAAGGTGTAAGGAAGGGATCCAGTTTCAGCTTTCTACATATGGCTAGCCAGTTTTCCCAGCACCATTTATTAAATAGGGAATCCTTTCTTCATTTCTTGTTTTTGTCAGGTTTGTCAAAGATCAGATAGTTGTAGATATGCGGCATTATTTCTGAGGGCTCTGTTCTGTTCCATTGATCTATATCTCTGTGTTGGTACCAGTACCATGCTGTTTTGGTTACTGTAGCCTTGTAGTATAGTTTGAAGTCAGGTAGCGTGATGCCTCCAGCTTTGTTCTTTTAGCTTAGGATTGACTTGATGATGCGGGCTCTGTTTTGGTTCCATATGAAGTTTAAAGTAGTTTTTTCCAATTCTGTGAAGAAAGTCATTGGTAGCTTGATGGGGATGGCATTGAATCTATAAATTACCTTGGGCAGTATGGCCATTTTCACGATATTGATTCTTCCTACTTTTTTTTTAAAAATTTGCACATGAGAAAATACTTGCCCAGGGTCGTCCAGTAAGTAACCATCAAGGTCAAAGCTTGAATCAAGTCTTTTAATTTTTAATATGTTTTGGAACTAAGATTTACTGAGCATTTAACTGTGTGCCAGATGTTGGGCAAAACCTTCTACATGGACATATCCCACTGTGGGGGGCTGCTACTGGTATTAAAAGATGAAGGAAAGAAAGGTTAAGCACCTAAGCACACTGTCAATTTGGTATTCTTTTCATTATATCTGGGCACCACCTCTTTGAATATACCACAGAATTTATTCAATGCCTTGTACATACTTAGCCCTCAATAAATATTTTTGGCTGGATTAATGAATCTTAATATCTTAACATTTTCATATCCTTCTTTATTAACACTCTCTAAAATTTGATGGGGAACTGGTTAGGGTCTTGCTGAGCTAATCATACTGTCCTGTGGAATCAGGACACCATAGGACAGGCACTTTAATGGTTGAGAGCAGGCGTGCCTCTGCCACTTCCAATCATGTTTGAACTTGGCTTGCTTGTTTAACTTATCTGAGTTGTAGTTTCACAATTTGTAAGCAATGCAATGTGGCCCCTGTGTGCTCTAACCTCATCTCATCTTACTTTTTCCTCACGCACGGGCCTGTACCCTCACCAGACATCTTTTCTGCCCTCCAAAGAGTAAAATTTATTCCTGCTTCTAAGTCCTTGCTCTTGTTGAAATGCTCTTTATCCAGCTGTCCACAGTGCTGGCTCTTGCTTATCTTTAAGCTTTCAGCTCAAATGTCCTCTTCCTAGAGTGGTCTCTGTCCTCTCTAAAGTCTCCCACCTTCCGTCCCCACAGTCAATCTCTGTCTCAGAACTCTGTCTCATTTCTTTCTTGACCCTTATTATCATCAGAAATTATCTTGTTTTATTATTTACTTGTTTATTGTTTATTTCATGCCAACAGGATATAAGCTTCAAAATTCTGTCTGTTCTCAATATGGTCATTTTTCTGGAGGTAGGTTTTACAATTTTCATTTGAATCTCGAGGTGGTCTGTGTGTTCCAAAGGTAACACAAAAATTTCTTATTTGAATTCTGATAAATTATTCCTTTTATTCAAATAAATTCCTGAAGACTCAAGCATTTAGATATCTTGAAAAATGAAACCATAAAGATTTTAGAATTGCACTGCTCAATATGGTAGTAACTAGCCCCAAGAAGCTATTTACATACAAATTAATTAAAATTAAATAAAACTGGAAATTCATTTCCTCAGTTTTACCAACTACATTTCCAGTGCTCAATAACCCCTTAGGACTAGTGGCTACCAATTGGATAGTGCAGATATAGAATATTTCTATCACTGCAGAAAGGTCTATTGATCAGTGCTATTTTACAAGATAGCCTGGATATTTCTTTATAACCATATAAGGGAAACCCTCAAAAACAGATTACAAAACCAAGAAAGGAAAAACTTTGATAAATTTAGTTGTATAAAAACTAGGAACTTCAGAATAGCCAATGGTATCTTCAACAAAGTAAAACTAAATATAGAAGAGGTAAATGATTTGCAATATTTATGACATAAAAAGCTAAGTTTCTTAGGCTTATTAAAATTCATATAATTCAATGAGAAAAAACTTGATTGAAAATGTTAAAGTAAACAAAGTCAAATGTTCAAAAGAATATGAAAATAAATATTATCTCACTCTTAATTAAAAATATATAAGCCCAAACAATAATGTCGTGCCAGTTTTAGTGTATTAAATTAGCAAAAGTGAGGAGATTTGGTACTAGTGAAGGTATGAGAAGTTGCCCTATTTATTAAATATAATAGTGTATTTTCCAGAATAAAATTAGAACAAAATTGTTAAAAAGCAAGGAATTAGAGTATACCAACATTGTTTGCTACCCTTTTACAAAATGCACCCAATAGGTATCATGTTATGTATGTACTTCTATATCTTGTTTTACACTTCATATTAGATTTTTGAAAAATTTTCATATCAGCCCACAAATATCTAGTTCATTTTTGAATGTCGCTGTGGTATATCCTCATGTGCATGTGCATTAACTTATTTAACTCTTGGTGGTAGATATTTATCTTCTTTTGAATCCCCTGGGGTAGATCATGATTGGGCTACATCAGTCATGGTGGTTCCACTCGTGCATACCTTCCCACCCACTAGCCCAACACTTGGGTTAGGAGTAGGGATATGACACTGACAATAAGACATGAGAGAAAGTTAGGAGGTGGGATCCTAGTAAATATTTGCCTCTTTGATTAAAAGAGATAATAACAAGGAATGGCCTCTACCACTGGATATGTTAACACTATTACTATTGATAAATAATATGTTATATATTTGTGGAGTACGTGGGATATTTTGTTACTTACACAGAATGTGTAATGTAGTCACCAAGTCTGGGTATTTGGGGTGTTCATCACTTTGGGCATTTGTCATTTTATGTATTGGGAAAAATTCAAGTCTTCTCTTCTAGTTACTTGTGAATAGTGTTGCAATAAATGCACTAGTGCAGTTATCTCTTGGATATACTCATTTATTTTCTTTAGGATAGATACCCAGTAGTGGGATTGCTGGATCATATGTTAGTTCTGTTTTTATATTTTTGAGAAATCTTTATATTATTTTCCATAGTGGCTGTATTTGCATTCCCATCAACAATGTATAAGAGTTCCCTTTTTTCCACATCCTCACTAGTGTCTGTTATTTTTTGTCTCTTTAGTAATAGCCATTCTAACTGGGGTAAGATGATGTATCATTGTGGTTTTGATTTGCATTTACCAGATTATGAGTGATGTTGAGCATTTTTTCATTTACCTGCTGCCCATTTGCACGTCTTCTTTTGAGAACTGTCTGTCCATGTCCTTTGCCCACCTTTTATTGGGATTATTTGTGGGGGTTTTTTTTCATTGTTTTATTTTGTTTTATTGTTGAGTTCTTTGAATTCCTTGTATATTCTGGATATTAGTTCCTTGTCAGATGAATAGTTTGCAAATGTTTTCTCCTATTTAACAGATTGTCTCTTCACTCTTTTGTTTCCTTTGCTGTGCAGAAGCCTTTTAGTTTAATATATTCCCATTTGTCGATTTTTGTTTTAGTTGTCTGTGCTTTTGAGGTATTAGCCATAAAATCTTTGCCTAGACCAATGTTCTGAAGTGTTTTCTCTGTTTGCTTTTAGTAGTTTTATAGTTTTGAGTTTTACATTTAAATCTTTAATCCAGCTTGAATTCATTTTTCTATATGGTGAGAGACGACGGTCTAGTTTCACTCTTATGCATATTGCTATCTAATTTTCCCAGCACCATTTATTGAAGAGGATGTCCTTTCTCTAGTGGATGTTCTAGGCACTTTTGTAGAAAATAAGTTGGTTGTAAATATGTTGATTTATTTTTGGGTTCTCTATTCTTTTCCATTGGACAGAATACCAATACCAATGCTGTTTTGGTTATATAGCCCAGTAACATATTTTAAAGCCAGGCACTTTCATGCCTCTAGCTTTGTTTTTTTGGTCAAGATTGCGTTAGTTATTCTGACTTTTTTTGGTTCTATGTGAACTTTAGTATTGTTTTTCTATTTCTGTGAAAAAGGACATTGGTATTTTAATACAGATTTCATTGAATCTGTAAATTGCTTTGGGCAGTATGGTTATTTTAACAATATTAATTCATGAATATAAGATGTCTTCCCATTTGTTTGTGTACTCTTGAATTTCTTTCATCAATGATAAAACTAATTTTGATAGTAATTTAGGGGCCATGATAAAAACTAGCTTAAGGGCCAAGCTTATGTGCCAATGATGACAGAGTACAAACACAGAAAAATCCAGAATCTTTGATGATGTTGTTGAACACTTAATTAATTAGTCTTTGACCTATGATATTTTCTGGTTTCTTGTTATAGGAGACAGTTATCTGTATTTTTTAAGGCAATTTAATTGGAATCTTCTGCTCCTGGTAGCCAAGAGCATACTAATTTTCACAGCTGTTATATATGTAACATTTAAAAAACTTTTTATTTTTAAATAATTATGGACTCCAGGAAGTTGAAAAAATAGCACAGAGAGTCCTGTGTGCTCTTCACCCAACAATGATTATCTTGTATAACGGTAGTACAATATTGAAATCACAAAATTGACTTTGGTGCAATACTGATAACTAAACTACATATCTCATTCAGTTTTCATGATTTTTTATACATTCCTCTGTGAGTGTGTGCGTGTGTGTGTGTGTGTGTAATTTTATACAACTTTACGTCATGTACAGGTTTGTGTAGCCACTACCATAATCAAGATACAGAACTGCTCCTTCACTACAAGGAACTCTTCATGTCATTTTTTTATACTCCACCCATCCACCCTGACAACAACTAATATGTTCTTAGCCTCTGTAATTTTGTCATTTTGAGAATATTATATGAATGGAATCATATAGTATGCAACTTTTTGAGACCGGTTGTTTTCATTAAGCATGATGCACTTGAATACCATTCAGTTTGCTGCACATATAGTTTGTTTCTTTTTATTGCTGAGCAGTGTTCCATTTTATGGATGTACCAGAATTTGTTTAACCATTTATCCAAGGACATTTGGATTATTTCTAGTTTTTGCTATTGTGAATAAAGCTGCTATGAATCTTTATGTACAGGTGTGTGTCTGTGTGTGTGTATGTGTGTGTAAGTTTTCACTTCTCTGGGGTAAATGCCCAAGGTTGTTATTGCTGGGTCATATAGTAAGTACATCTTTCATTTTGTAAGAAATGGTCAAACAGTTTTCCAGAGTGGCTGTACCATTTTACATTCTACAATGTATAAGAATTCCAGTGGCTCACGCCTATAATCCCAGCATGTTGGAAGGCTGAGGTGAGTAGATCATTTGAGGTCAGGAGTTCAAGACCAGCCTGGCTGACATGGTGAAACCCCATTTCTACTAAAAATACAAAAATTAGCCAGGCATGGTGGTGGGTGCCTGTAATCCCAGCTACTCAGGAGGCTGAGGCAGGAGAATCGCTTGAGCCTGGGAGGCAGAGGTTTTGGTGAGCTGAAATCATGCCACTGCATTCCAGCCTGGGTGACAGAGTGAGACTCTATCTCAAAAAAAAATTATAATAATAATAATTCCAGTTTCTCTGCATTGTCACCAGCATTTTGAATTACACTAACATTTTTAAGCCATTCTGAGTGTGTAGTCATAGCTCAATAAAGCATTTTTAATTTTTTCAAAGGATACATAAAATATTATTAACAATGGTTATATTGGGGAAACAGTTTGGAAACGAGGGAAGGGTAGATGTTTTATTTTGTAGTTTTGTATTTTGTTTGGATATCGTTATGTGTATATATTAGTTGCATATATTATGTCTACAGGACATATATATGGGCCTTTGTTTTTTGTTTTATTTTCTTATTTGTTTTTAAGTCCATAATAAAAGTTTAACAATTCTGTTATTATAGAGTAGAAGTAAATGTCTGTATAGCTTTTTCTGTGTTGGTAACAGAACTAATGTCAAGAAAAAGCCGCAGACATCTAACAATGTTGGCTGTCCCGGTTTTACATTTTACTGTTTTGACACTTATTTACCTAAACTGAATATAACGTTTCCCTTGTGTCTACAAATTTGCCAGATTACATCCTGTTCTACACATGACTACATTTATATTCTTCTGAAGCCACACAAACAAAATATATTTTCCTGTTAAATGCCATGCTTAATAGCATTTTGGAATTTAATTGCTTGTCTTTTATACAACTGAGAGAGAATGCAAGCCTTGCCTTCCTTGAAGTGTATTTATTTATGCTACAATACAATTTTTACTCTCAATTTGATCTTTTAAGAGGATTGTTTGTACTTCATTGGTTTTTGAGTAAGGTCACACAGAGTAAATGTGTAAACACTGGTTATCTGCTGTCTGAATAATGAATCTCAGAAAGCCCTGCAAAACCTCTGCATTTATCAAGGACAGAAAAATTGCCTAATCAAGCAACATGCAAGGAGCAGAAATAGAATGAGGTAAGCCCCAACTGTACGTGTCAGGGAAAGTGCTTTCCGCTGGGCATAGTCATGCCAGCCACCCTCAAGGTCATCACCTTTTGCCCTAAATGGATTGATTGTGTGGTAAACTATTCTGATTGTTCACACATGTGGATGACCTTCAGGAAAAGAACAGCAGGGACACCTCTGTGGTAAAACATGTTGGATTTATTGATCATTGTAACAAGGAAGAACAGACACCATGGAGAGATATGAGATGTCTCAGTGACAGAATGTTAGTGAGAACCTGTTACAAGATTTGATCTTTAGTTGGGTGACTTGGGGAAGGGTTTAAGAAAGGTGAGCTTTTCTCTAAATTGGCCGTCAGAAAGCAGGGTCAATTCTCAATAGATCTTATTTATAAAGAGGGGAGACTAGAGCAAGGCTAAAGCTCTAACTGGTAAAGAAGTAGCCATCATTCATTTTAGCCGAAAGAGAGTGCTTGGTATTTTGTGAGTGGCACAGTGACTTTGCTTTTATATTGGCTTAGAAAAAATTATGTAGTTGCTCCATATTGTCTCATTCTACCCATGATATCAGAGTAACCTTGTTTGAGGTTGGTACTCTGTGAGACTGTTAATGTTCGGGAAAAGAATAACATTATCCAGCTGTCGGTGCCACCCACATCAGTTTCTGAATGTCAGCAGCTGCTCCTTTTTCGCTTTCTCCTGTGAGTGGAAAAAGTTGAAGCCACAATATCATAGATTGCTATATGGACCACAGCTTGGCATTTACTCATGTAGCTTTTAAATGTATTTCATTTATTTGCCATAGCTCTTTGACCTGGTTTTCAAGTATGTTGTCATTATTCCAAGGTTAAATGCTAACATAAAAACGCATGACTTTCCCATCATCCTAAAAGTCAAGCCCGTCTGATTCAGCTTTCTGCCTCCAGGCTAAGCTGCCCATAATGATTGTAAAAAATTGATGTCTTTTCTGCTTTTAATGATCTAGCTGAAAGGAAGAAAATTCTACTGTTGCCCTCAGAACTCCACAGCCTTCACTCTGACTTTGAAAATGTTTTTCTACTCGGTCCTCTATGGAGATGCTCTCTCTCCTGTATAATTGAACTAATTTCCTGGAGCAGGCTTTAGAACCAAGGACCCCAAACCAGAAGGCTTTAGGCTGAATCTGGCCAGCTGACCTGTTTTATTTTGTATGCATGGTGTTTTAAAAACAGGTGAAATTTTGGATCCGGGCGTTGTGGCTCACGCCTGTAATTCCAGCACTTTGGGAGGCCGAGGCGGGCAGATCACGAGGTCAGGAGATCGAGACCATCCTGGCTAAAACGGTGAAACCCTGTCTCTATGAAAAATACAAAAAATTACCCCGATGTGGTGGTGGGCACCCGTAGTTGCAGCTAATCGGGAGGCTGAGGCAGGAGAATGGCGTGAACCTAGGAGGCGGAGCTTGCAGTGAGCAGAGATCGCATCACTGCACTCCAGCCTGGGCCACAGAGCGAGACTCCGTCTCAAAAAAAAAAAAACAAAAAAAAAACCTGAAAATTTCATATAAAATTCATCATTTTGTCTTCCCTGAAGAATCAGAATATTTGGCCATACTGAGCAACCGTTGGGTTGGAGTTGAGTAATGACTATTCCTTTAGGTCATCCAAAGATTGCTATAGTCCCCTCCACAGCCTACTGCAGCACCACCCTATGCTACTCATTTGTGTTTTTGCCTGGGGTTTTATAGCGTTTGAGTTTTCAACACTGGCATAGACTTCTTTTCTCTGCTACTTGTATACATTTCTCAAACTGGGCTTTGGAGTATAGGAGGGTCTACAGTGTATATTCAATGTCATTCAATAAACATAATGGATAATCCCAGAGTGCTAATTGTGCATAGAGGTTTACAAAACATATTATTGTTACAATAAATCTTACACAAATATATTATGGAATGTAATGGAAAATAGATTAAAAATAAATCTAGAAATAAAAATAAAACTTGTCACTTCAGGCTATACCACGGTGAAGCCCATGGAGTAGTGACTGAAGTCTTTGCCATTGGAGTTACTTTGGTGGAAAAGTTATTGAACAGTGGTACTAATACAATAATCCCAAGTTAATCTTTTCCTATTTTTGTAAACTTTCAAGGTGTCAGAATTTTTGAAATGGAAAGAAATTTAAATATTAACTAATCTGTTCATTTCATTTTTATTGGGAATTTAAAAGACTGATCAATGAATAGTCAGTCTGGGCAGTGAAAGAATCCAGATTTCCAGATTGCTAGTCTTTTCCTATTCAATGTGTGTGTTGCTTAACATAATGGCAGAAGACTTACATACATATTACTAATGTGTATTATTATCTTTTTGGTTTGATCATTCTATTTGTTAATTATAGAATTATGGAGAACTTCTCAAAGAAATTCAAGTTTTCTTTGATGTAGTATGATAGTTTATATTAATGTATTATATAATTTGTATCAAATAAGACTCAAATAGAAGTTACTGGTCACACTAAGAACAAATTATTTGATTTTATATGTTGGCATCTTTGGATAGTTTTGGCCATGAAAATGCAACTATCTGAAGCATTATAGTTGCAGCAGAGAAAGAGAAAATATTACAATTTGAAATGAATCTTATTTACCAAATGTGACTTGCAATATTTTCCCCATCCTAGACAATATAATAAATATGTTTGTAGATCAAACTTCATGCATCTGGTCTAATAGAGTCATACTTTGACTTTTATCTTTGTTTTTCCCATTTGTTAATAGCCTGTTGAAACCTATTCTTGTTCTGTGATTGGTGAATAGTAAGAATACTTTCAGTTTTCATACCTACAGCT
This sequence comes from Homo sapiens, assembly GCF_000001405.40. Taxonomy (NCBI): domain Eukaryota; kingdom Metazoa; phylum Chordata; class Mammalia; order Primates; family Hominidae; genus Homo; species Homo sapiens. The sequence continues at coordinate 113,987,942 of NC_000005.10, forward strand.
GAATGGTAATTGGTAAAATTTTGAACAAAATGATATTACAACAGAAAGAATTTGATAGATTATTAGAATTTATGGAAGCTGGTGATTGACTTGTAGAAGGCAGTTAACTGATCTCAGAGGAGCAACAATGTGTCATACTTGAAGAATTTATTTACTGGCAAATCTCCAAAAATGAATTACTTCTTTTCCAAATTTCTTTAGTTATTTATATCAACCACTATGATGGATCCTAATTACTTTAATTTGTTTTGAGAAAAAATAATAACTACTGTCAAAAACACATCATGCATAAAGAAGAATTCATAACATGCAACCTTGAAACTTATATATTCTTTATGACTATAGTATGCAGTATGATTACAGGCATAATTTTGCTTAAGGAATATTCAATGCTTGCTTTTTTATAAAGGCACTCATATCATTTTGGGTGGACAGTAGCTCTACATATTTATTTAATCCAACTATACAAATCAAGTGGTTGAATATTAGTAATTTCATATGGCTTAACTTCTCCAACTCTCCAATTGCCTTACCTGTCTTATATTTGTAGCACCTTAGGGACTCTCATATTCATCACATCCACAGACAAACTCATGATCTTCTCCAGACCTGGGGTTCCTGCCTTAGGAGATGTTACCACTGTCCATTCATCTTGGTAAGCTGAAAACCTGTACTCCATCTTTTATACCTCCTTTTTCCCTAATCTATCAGTATCAAAACATCACTGTGATCTTTTGATTGTTTTTCTCCATAATATCTTGATTACATGTACTTCTCTCCACCTTCAGTGCCAGAATTCTTAGTCATCTTTCACTGGAAATATTGAGAGCACTCCTACTGATCTCCTTGTACCAAACATGTCCCTTTTTGAAGGTGTTGGCCAGATTGCAGCCTGAGTAATATTTTCAAGCTCCAAATCTGATCATGTTTCACCATGCTCCATAAGCCCTGCTTAGAAACCTTCAATGACTCTCCAGTGTTTCTACAGTGAACCAAAGTTCTTTACCTGGCTTATGTGGCTAAGGCCAAGACTGGTAGCTGTCCAGTTAAAATCCATAGTTTCCTTTTCCATTACTGAAAGAATCTGTAGTATTGGATGTGGCAGTATAACTCACTTGCAGATAGGAGTGGCCGATGAGAGAAAGTTGGGATTGTTGAATGGGACTTGGAGAGAGCACTTTTAAAGAGGTTTAATTAGGCTGGGTGTGGTGGCTCATGCCTGTAATCCCAGTTAACTCAGGAGGTTGAGGTGGGGGAGTTGCTTTGAGCCCAGGAGTTCAAGACTGCAGTAAGTTATTATTACACCACTGTGCTCCAGCCTGGGCAGTGGGGTGAGACCATATCTCTATTTGGTTTTGGGTTTTTTTTTTTTTTTTCATAAAGAGGCTTAATTGACTGTGAGGCACATAATTTTGCTCTCACTCTTTTCTCTTTTCTGTTGTCTGGAATGAGTATGTGATGTTAGAGCTGCAGTAGCATTGTTGTGACTATGAGGAGGCCTTCAGAATAGAAGCCATACAATAATATGTTAGAGAAAATAAGCAAAGTCTGGATCCCTTGTGACTTAAGTCTCCCCAGAGTGCCTCTCTTCAGACTTCTTTATGTCGGGAAACACATATTAACCTGTTTATCTTTAAGCCCCCATTATTTGGTTTTTCTATTTTTCTATGAAGCTGAACTTACTCCTAATTGTTAAAATGACCCTGTGAAATTTGATCCCTATCTATTCTCTATGCCTCTAGCATTGCTTTCTATATCCTGCCATCGCAGCTTACTTTCATTTTCCCAGATCGGCGCGCACTGTATTTCTTGCTACTGCCAATCCTTTGTGTGAGCTGCTCTTTTGTTTGGTATACTCTATGCATATAACTTCACTCCCCTCCTTTACCACGTAAATCTCTTTTAATTTTTCAGAGGTCTTCAGTTTTAATATACTGGGAAAGCCTTTACCTTTTCACTAGCATATGTCAAACTCCTTGGAATAGCTCTCCTGGAACTGTGTTCCTTTTCTTTCCAAGGTTTGCCTCAACTTTTCTTAAGTGTTTGGAGATATTCTTTACATACAATAAAAATCACCCTTTTTATGTGGATAATTGGGTGACTTGTGTCAAATGTGTAACCACCACTAAATTCAAGATACATATTTGCATTACCACAAAAAGTGACTCATGCTCCTTTACAGTCCTTCTCCTCAGCCTTCAGACCCTGACAACCATCAATTTCTTTTTTTACATTTCCATATTGGTTTATTATAAAAGTGGATTTTTTTTCCCCAGGCTTACAAATGTATAACTGACAGATATTACATATATATATATATAAAAAATTGTACACCATATATATAGTGTACAACATGATGTTTTGATATATATGTATACATGTTGAAATGATTAAATAAAGCTAATTAACATATCAGTTACCGTACCATTTTTTTCTGGTGAGAACATGTAAGATCTACTTTTAGCAATTTTCAAGTATACAATACATTCTTGTTAACTATAGTTACCATGCTGTACAACAGATCTCCATAACTTATTCATCTTGTCTTACTGAAACTTTATACCTTTTAACCAACATCTCTCCATTCTCCTCCAGCCTCTGCTACCCTCTGCCCCTGGTGACTTCCATTCTCTTCTCTGCTTCTGTGAGTTCTACTTTTTTAGATTCCACATATAAGTGAGACCATGCAGTATCTGTCTTATTTCACTTAGAATAACGTCCTCTAGATTCATCCATGTTGTCACAAATCATAAGATTTCCTTCTTTTGAAGGCTGACTGGTAATCCATTGTTTATATACACCACATGTTCTTTATCCTTTCGCCCACCAGTGGCCGCTAAGCTAATTCTGTATCTTGGCTATTGTGGATAATGAATATAGGAGTGGAGATATCTCTTCAACATATTTATTTCATTTCTTTTGAATATATGCCCAGAAGTAGGATTGCTGAATGATATGGCAGTTCTGTTTTAAAATTTTTGAGGAGCCACTGTACTGTTTTCCATGATGGCTGTACCAATTTACTTTCCCACCAAAATCATACAAAGTTTCCCTTTTCTCCACATCCTCGCCAGCACTTGCCATCATTTGTCTTTTGTATGCAACCATTCTAACAGTAATTAGGTGCTACCTCATTATGGTTTTGATTTGTATTTCCCTGATTACTGATATTGATAATTTTTTATATATCCTTTGGCTACTTCTATATCTTCTTTTGAGGAAATGTTTATTCATGTCCGTTGACCATTTTCCAACTTATTTATTTTCTTGCTGTTGAGTTATTTCAGCTCCTTACATATTGTAGATATTAACCTGTTATGAGAAGTATGGTTTGCAAATATTTTCTCCCATTATGTAGATCATCTCTTCACTCTGTTTGTTTCCTTTGCTGTATAGAAGCTTTTTAGTTTGATGCAATCCCATTTGTCTATTTTTGCTTTTGTTGCCTGTGATTTTGAAGTCATATTTAAAATAATTGGGCAGGCGTGGTAGCTCATGCCTGTAATCCCAGCACTTTGGGAGGCTGAGACAGGTGGATCACTTGAGGTCAGGCATTTGAGAAAAGCCTGGCCAACATGACGAAACCCTATCTCTATTAAAAATACAAAAATTAGCTAGGTGTGGTGGCATGCACCTGTAGTTTCAGCTACTTGGGAGGCTTAGGCAGGAGAATTGCTTGAACCCAGGAGGCAGCAGTTGCAGTGAGCCGAGATTGCATCACCGCACTCCAGCCTGGGCGATAGAGCAAGACTGTGTCTCAAAAATAAAATAAAATAATAGCCTGACCAATGTCAAGATTTCCCTCTACGGTTTCTTCTAGTAGTTTTACAATTTCAGAGCTTACACTTAAGTTTTTAATCTATTGTAACTTAATTTTTGCAGATGGTGTGGGATAAGGGTCAAATTTCATCCTTCAGCAGGAAGATATCCAGTTTTTTCAACACCATTTATTGAAAAGACTATCTTTTCCACATTGTGTGCTCTTGGCACCTTTGTTGAAGATCAATTGACCATAAAATGAAGACTTATTTCTAGAATTTCAATCCTGTTCCATTCGTTGATGAGTCTGTTTTCACACCAGTGCCATTCTATTTTGATTACTATAGATTTGTAGTATATTTTGAAATCAGATACTATGTGCCTCCAGCTTTGCTCTTTTTGCTCAAGATCACTTTGGCTGTTCAGGGTCTTTGGTTGTTCCACATGAGTTTTTTTTTTTTAACTTCTGTGAAAAATTGATAACCATTCATTACCAATGGATTTTATTTCTATTCCTATGGTTTTGCTTTTTCCAGAATGTCATATAAGCAAACTATATAATATATAGCTTTTATTGGTCAACTTCTTTCTGTTAGCAAAATGGTTTTGAAATTTATTCATATTATGCATGTATCAGTAGCTCCTTCCTTTTTGCTTTGTAATGTTCCACCGTATGAGTATACCAGACATTTGGGTTGTTTCCAGGTTCTGCTTTGTTTTATAATAAAGCCGCTATAAACATTCACATACACATTTTTGCATTTTTTATGAACATAGGTTTTCATTTCTGTTGAATAAATGACTAGACAAAGAATTGCTGAATCATATGGTAAAGGCATATTTAACTTCATGGGAATCTACAAAACTGCTTTCAAAATGGGTTATACTAATATACCATTTTGCATTTCCATCAACAATGAATGTATGAGAGTTCCAATTCCTCTGCTCCCTCTCCATTAATTTGTATTATCAGTCTTTAATTTTAGCCATTTAAGCAAAGTGGTGGTAATGTTATGGTTTTAATTTGTATTTTCCTAATAAGTAATGATGTTGAGTATCTTTTCATGAGCTTATTGGCATTTATATACCTTCTTCGGTAAAGTGTGTGTTCAAATTTTCTACTTATTTATAAGGGATTGTTTGTTTTCTTATTACTGAATTGTAAGAGTTTCTGTTTTTTTAATATATTCTGGCTATGTATTTTAAAATCACTGTTTTACAGAGTTATTGTACTATTCCACATCTGTGACAGCAGTATATGAGAGTGCTAATTCCACTACATCCTCATCAACATTTTATATAGTCAGTCTTCTCAGTTTTAGACATTCTAATAGGAATATGTGTGTGTATTTCATTCCTTTTTTAGAGTAGCTTTTACAGAAAACTATTACAGAAAAATTGATAAAATGATACAGAGATTTTCCACATGTCCAGTTTCTCCTATTATTAACATCTTGCATTAGGTATGGTAAATTTCTTACAATCAATGAGTCAATATTAATATATAACCATTAACTAAAGTCCATATTTTGTTTAGATTTACTTAGTTTTTTTCCACATATTCTTTTTCTGTTCTAGGATCCCATCTGGAATACCACATTAAATTCAGTTGTCATGAATCCTTAGGTTCCTCTTGACTGTGAGATTCTTTTAATTGTGTTTAAATTTGTATTTCCCTAATGATTAGTGATGTTGAACATCTTTTCATGTGCTTATTTGCCATCTGTGTGTCTTTTGTAGTAAAGTGGTTTTTCAAATTTTGAGTCATTTATTACTGAATTTTTTAATTATTGAGTTTTGAGAGGATGACTATTTCATATATATATGAAATAATATGTCTGATAAGAGGCTTGTATCCACATATGTATACATATGTGTGTATATATATGCGTATATATATGTGTGTTTATATATGCGTATATATATATATATCTGAGACTTCTGGATATAAGCGTCTTATCAGACATTCTTTGAAAAGCTTTTAAAGCTTTTCTCTAAGCCAGTAGCTTATCTTTTCATTTTCTTTTTTAAAATTCATTAATTTTTTTATTGTACTTTAAATTCTTGGATACATGTGCAGAACATGCAGGTTTGTTTCATAGGTATACATGTGCCATGGTGGTTTGCTGCACCTATCAACCCGTCATCTAGGTTTTAAGCCCTGCATGCATTAGGTATTTGTCCTAATGCTCTCCCTCCCCTTCCTCCCAACCCCCTGACAGGCCCCAGTATGTGATGTTCCCCTCTCTGTGTCCAAGTGTTCTCATTGTTCAACTCCCACTTATGAGTGAAAACATGCGGTGTTTGGTTTTCTGTTCCTGTGTTAGTTTGCTGAGGATGATGGCTTCCAGCTTCATCCATGTCCTTGCAAAGGACATGAACTTATTTTTTATGGCTGCATAGTATTCCATGGTATATATGTGCCACATTTTCTTTATCCAGTCTATCATTGATGGTCATTTGGGTTGGTTCCAAGTCTTTGATATTGTAATAGTGCTGCATGTGTCTTTATAGTAGAATGATTTATGATCCTTTAGGTATACACCCAGTAATAGGATTGCTGGGTCAAATGGTATTTCTGGTTCTAGATCTTTGAGGTTCTAGATCCTTGAAGAATCCACACTGTCTTCCAGAATGGTTGAACTAATTTACACTCCCACCAACAGTTAAAAGCAGTCCTATTTCTCCCATTCTTGCCAGCATCTGTTGTTTTCAGACGTTTTAATGATCACCATTCTAACTGGCATGAGATGGTATCTCATTGTGGTTTTGATTTGCATTTCTCTAATGACCAGTGATGATGAGCTTTTTTTCATATGTTTGTTGGCCGCATAAGTGTCTTCTTTTGAGAAGTGTCTGTTCATATCCTTCACACACTTTGTGATGGGGTTGTTTTTGTCTTGTAAATTTGTTTAAGTTCCTTGTAGATTCTGGATATTAGACCTTTGTCATATGGGTGGCTTGCAAATATTTTCTCCCATTCTGCAGGTTTCCTGTTCACTCTGATGATAGTTTCTTTTCCTGTGCAGAAGCTCTTTAGTTTGATTAGATCTCATTTGTCAATTTTGGTTTGTGTTGCCATTGCTTTTGGTGTTTTAGTTATGAAGTCTTTGCCCATGCCTATGTCCTGAATCATATTGACTAAGTTTTCTTCTAGGGTTTTTATGGTTTTGGGTCTTATATTTAAGTCTTTAATCCATCTTGAGTTAATTTTTGTATAAGGTGTAAGGAAGGGGTCCAGTTTCAGTTTTCTGCACATGGCTAGCCAGTTTTCCCAGCACAGTTTCTTTTAAAGAGCAAAAGTTTGTAATATGAATGAGATTCAATTTATCAATCTTTTTTTCCTATGGTTCATGCATTTTGTGCCTTTCAAAAAAATCCTTGCCTAACTCAAGGTTAAAAACAATTTTCTCTCATGATTTTTCTGGAAGTTTCATCATTTTAGTTTTTATATTTAAGTCTTTGGAAGTTTATTAACCATAATCTATATAACAGTTTGAATTTCATATTTAATTCTATAAATGTTTTTCAAACCACTTTTACACCCACACGAGTGGAAGTTATATATATTAAATTCCTAGTGCCTCAATACTCTTTCTCTTGGATTCTTCTGTTAATGGATTACCTATGATATTGAAGGTTTTTCCTATGCCAGCATTAGCATTCAATTTCTTTTTGAAATATATAAATATTGTGTGTCAATCACAGGTGTCTGATAGTGAGCAATAGAAAACAACTCCGCTTCTTTAAGTAATTTATTGGGAGAATATGAGGGAGCTGAAGAAACAGTTTTCACATAGAAGGAAACAGTTAGTTCCAAAGTGTCTTGGAAGTATGAACTGCTCCATTGTCTTGCCCAGTCAATTCCGTTGCAATAAGTGACCTGAAATCATCTTGCTCTCAGGATTGAAGCAGGTGGAGGAGCATACCTTTTGTCGCTTGCCTTAAGATTCAAATTGGAGGTTAGAAGAAAGCTAAAAAATAAAAACTGTCAACTGACGTGGCTTGGTCATATGCCCACTCTGGCTAGGAAGCATACCTGAATCAACAGCCTCATAAGACTATAGACTATATTCAATGAATAAAGATCATTCCCTGAAAGAAGTTTTGGACACTAATACCTAAAGGTGGGATGGGAACTGGGAAGCCCCAGACTACAAAGTTCTTGATATACAGCCTATTGCCTTAAAACTCTCCTTTTGGCTCCTGTGTGTGCATGCTCGCATGTGTGTTTGTGTTTTCACTTCGATTTTGTAAGTGAAAAGCAAAATGATTTGTAAATAGGTACATCTGTCTAAATGATCAGCCTGGTCCATATTTGTCATGAAAAACCAACTGGCAGTTCAGTTTTAAGACAGACAACACACACTAGAAAAGGAAAGAACTGGGATCCGGGAAACCTATGCCAGTTCCATCTCTGGATATTAGCTATTTGTGGGATCTTGACAAGTCTTTTAATCTGTTTGAATCTAAGTTTCCTTAAGTATAGAACAAATTATCCAGCTACATTATATCTAAGTCCCTTTTTGCTCTAAAATTCTGTAATTCTAAGGATGCCATCTGTATAAATGTTATCTGTTCTTTTGTTAAGAACAGTACTTGTAATAAGAAAACTGAATACACAGAGAAATACATAAACACGTTGCCAGACAAAATACAGGTAACTCAACTACATTTTAAATTTCAGATACACAATAAACAAATTTCAGACATTCTAAAAATATTAGTTGTGTACATGTGAAATTCAAATTTAACTGGCTGCTCTGTATTTTTACTTGCTCAACTTGGCTACCTTAAGGCAGTCCATCAGATATAGCTTATACGCAGCGCACAGGGAAGGAATTCATAAGCAGGAAAAATTACACACAGGTTCTTGAAATAGCATTTTTACATGCTTCTTTGTTAATTGTACCTATAGCAGTTTTAGTATAATTTCTCAATTGAATTTACTAAATGAAATAACATTCTATATCTTGATTATAAGACTGTCTTAATTTGGTCCCTTTTAACAATGAATTTTAATTCAAGAAACAATTTCTCATTGAACTACATGAATGAATTTCCTAATTGTACCCATCATAGACAAGCTCATATTAGGCCTTCACCTGGGGCATATAAGTATTTTTCTAGGGAGCTTAATGGCTTGCTGGTTGAATGAGTATTTTTTGCCTTGTTGAGAATTGAGGTTTACTTTATCACTAAAACCCACTGGCTTTCTTAATCTCCTTTTTTTGTCCTCCTGTACCTATTAATCACACAGAACTGCTTATTCTTCATCATCTTGGCTTTGATGGATACTTCATGTAATAAGTCCCAACCTTCAGCACTGAGTAATTACTTGGGGACTCCTACTTATAAAAGTTCAATAACTATACAACAGCGATACTGTTGATATATGAGCTCTTTTTCTTTCTTGCTTTCTCAACTACATGTACCGAAATGACAGAATGTCTTTATTTTGCCTCTGTAATTTGCAATTGCTTATGTTAACTTTGACATCTAATGCATGGGAGCTAAATCTGAGCAAGGACTTCTGATTTGTAAGTCATAATCTAGGTGTTTGAAGGCATGCATGCTTTTAAAGCCAAAATTTAATTTGTTGACAGGAGTAAATTCTCGTTTGTTAAGGCTCTGAAGTGGTAAGTACATATAGTAATCTCCCTTAACAATCTATGGCTTTGCTGTCAGAAAATGTACCAGTTCAGATCCAAAGCAGTAAAATGAAAATACTGATTGACTGGCTGCTTAGAAAAAAGAAGGGAAACAAAAGACCATCACTTGAGTGCATTAGAACTCAATCCAAATGTAAATGAATTTTGTGATGGTGATGTGGAGAGGATATGAATCTTATAAAATAGACCTTCCTAGTGGTTTGGTAAGCAAATTGAAAATTCCACAGTTCCTTCACTAAATATATTTTTGAAAATCACAGCCAGGAGAAAATGTTGGGGGTTGCCTATTCATATATTTCCTGCACATATTTAGTCAAATAGATGTTTTATTTATCTAAACTTCTCAGTCTATGAAGAGCTTTTTTTTTTACATATTCTCCAGAGTCTTATTTTTTTCTCATGTATATAATATAGTAATTAAGTCTATTTTAAAAATGTTAACATCAAACTTTAATAAGCTTCTGTTTCTACTCCTATAAATTTAGTTTATATATTATTTTTGTTATGTTGATTTTTCTGGACACTTTTTTCATGCAGGACTAAAAGAAGGGAATAAGAACCTTATTTTTCACCCTTATTAAAGGCATATTGTTTCACGCCCTCCAAAATGATGTCACACCCTGGGTTTCCCTCCTAAGATTTCCATGAGTTAGTAGAATTTTTTCATGAAGTTTCCTGTCTCTCACTGTATGCCTCATCAATCAAAACTTACCTGATACCACGAGTCCGAGTCACTCAAAGTCTCACTAAGTAGCTAGTTAAAAGTTTATTCTTGAGTTTTTCAATTTCTTTTATCTCCACAGACATCTCCTTTCTTCAACTGACCTCATCTCTTGCTTGGACCACTGAAGCAGAAGCAGGCTTCTAGCAGCCTCTCTGTTGCCACCATCTTTCCTTTCCATCCATTCTCCAAAAAGCAACCTAAGCGATCATCCCAAGGCCCACAAGGCCCTGTATGAGCAACTTTTGCCTGCCTCTTCAACTACAAAGGTATAATTCCTGAAATATTAAAAAAATTTACAGTGAGTATGTGTCAACCATTTATTTAACTCATTAATTAGAAAACCCATGGGGTAACAAAGTTGATTTAAAGAAATACGTAAGACACAAATACATTTAAGATGAATAGAAAACTAAAAGCAAAGAAAGCAGGAATAAGAATGAAAAGTTAGTTAACCAAATGAAAATGTTGGTTATGTACTACAGAGAAATTTAAAATGTAGCCTTTGGGATTATCTGCTCTACTAACCAAAAACCAGTTTATCCATTTTCTATAAATTAATATCTAACTCTACAAAGATGTAAAATGCCTGGGCTTTAATTGATGGATAATGGTAAGTGAGTAACAGTCCCCAAGAATCAGATGATTCTTGGGCAGCTTGCTAGATCACGTCCTAGAGGACTGAGAACATCACAGTCTTCTTTATGCCTTATATTCTTAATTATCAAAACTCATAGCACTCTACCCTTTGGTCACCAGGGCTCTCACTACATTGCTCTCTTTTCCACTTCTTTAGGCTTTTATACTTATTACTCCCTGTGCCTGAAATGTTTACCGAATTTCTCAGATCAAACCTCTCAGGTAGTCCTTCTTTCAATAGCTTCTTTCAAGAGAGAGGGATTTAGCTATCCCATAGCTTATTATTTAGCTACCTCACCCCTTACCCACGGCTCATTCACCCTGTAGATCATCATCCTTTTTCTTTATTCTTCAGCAGTGTTCAAAATCTGCATGTATGTATATATATGTATTTATTTATTTTCTTACTAACATGTAAGCTATATGAGGCCAGAGCATCATCTCTCTGGTCATTAATGTATTTCCCTTCCAAGAAAAATTACTACTCATGGTAAGTGCTTGATAATTACATGTTAAATGAATGAATGTCTAAAGATTGTCATAGTACACTTTTTAAGAGTTTGAGATTTTATTCAAATTGTATCTGAATAAGGGCTGCCAATATATTTGTTCAAAGAAGGCATACCAGCATTTGATTTACTGGAAATAGAGGAGTTTCAATGCCTGACACATTATACCTCGAATGTCAGGGCTTCCCTTCAGGTCAGCATGGTCGAAGCCTGAAATCCTTCCTGAAAATATATTTCCAAAGATCTGATCTTACAATCAAAATCCCCTGTCCTTGACTATTTATGAGATCCCGTGTGGTACTGTCAGTTATCACAATGGCTTGCAGCCCTTGTTAAAGATGTAGGTTTCTTCCTTCCACCACCCTCAGGAACGATCCCTAGGCAGAGTGCACCTAGAGCTCAGGAATTTTCATTTGAAATAACAACTAGGGATTCTGACAGTGGCAGTCTATGGACCACATGTTGGGAAACACTGGTCTAGAAAACCCAAATTTCAAGTTGTCTGCCTGGATATTTGTATGTCATTTCAAGATTTGCAAAACATAAATCTGGAAAAACCTTTTTTTGGGAGACTGATTCCTAAGCACAACGTGCTGTAGTGATCTATCACACATTCTGATCAGGATCAATAAAGAATGCATAATTACTTAGACTAGGATGAAAGGTTTGCATAGTCTGCAAAGCTTAGGTAAGAGCTGCACTAGCAATGAAAGACTTTTAAAGTTCAAGGCTGCTTAAGGGACTTTGTCAACATCCTACTGATTTTTTAAATGAATTTCAGTATCTAATTTGAAGATATCAAGGCACTTCTGTAATAAATTTTGGTAAAACATGATAAAACCTGAAGAGTCTGTTATAAAGTTTCCTCTGTTTGCTGTTCATAACCTTGCCTCACGCAAGTTCAGATGGATAGATAACATCTGAATAACTCACAAGCCTTAGTGAGAATCTAGTTGCTCCTTATGACATTGTTGCTGAGAAAGAACACACAGGAAAATACATCACATACTCATGTCCCTGCTCCCACATAGACTGTGGGGTGTCTGACCTAGTGTAAAAGATGGAAATAAATAACTGCATGATCTCACTCAAGGATACTTTATTTTCAATTAGCAGTACCTAACACAAAATAAGAGGATGCAAAAGAAAAAAAATTAGTTTTACCTCTTACAACTATTGGACTAGACTAACCTGGAGTTAACTCTAACCCTAAAGCTAAAAGAAGGCATGGGGTGCTCAGAAGCAGGTGAAGAATCCTAAAGGAAAGTCTATGAGCATCTTCTACCTGAGAGGTGTTGGCCAATGAAAGACCCAACTTTCACTGTCTGATTCTCAATTCTTCTAAAAACTGTTGTTGGGGTAGCTGTTTTGGTTAGCTGATTAGTTGATTCAGAAAAACGATCATTCTAGTTTCGCTGAATTGGCTCGATGTTTCACCAAATGGGTAAATCTGGTAGATATTTTGGTGCCTAGGGACAAACTTCAAATATAAAGAAAGTTGTATGGCATAGTTGAAATGGGGCTAGACTAAGGTTTGGGATACCTAGATTATTGTCCTAGTTTTGATACTGACTAGATCTATAATTATTTTACTGTCAATTCATGTCTCTGGCCCAGAGTTTTATCATCTGTGCAATAATGACAAATGATCCCTGTGGCACTATAAGTTCACAAGTTGTTTTCATATGCACTAATTTATTTGATATACATAAAAATCCCAGAAAGAAATATGACATGCATAATTATTATTCCCCATGTTATAGATAAGAAAACTAGGGGTTCTGCTTCTGATTATAACTGAGTAGTTCCTACTAAAGTAACTCTTCTGCAAATAGAAAGTATACACTCTAAGCAAAATATTAAAAAAAACCCAGCTATCCAAAGGCACTAGGCGTTATCTCATAGCAAGCTGATCCTGGAAGAAGATGAACACTTGCATGACAGAAACAGCATAAGAGGAGTTTCCCACCTTTTATGGCTTTCAGCCTGAGGTGAGACTTCAGATTAATCAGGGGCAACAACTAAGACTCAAATAGAAGCCTATCATCTTACTGGCTTAAAGACAGAGTACAGATCCAGTACAACCATAGAAGCTGAAAAGTGAAGGAGAAAATCCTGGAAAAAGAAAGTTAGACAGGGAGAGCTCCAAATTCTGTGTCTGCCCAAATGTCTGGTAAATTCCAGAGTTATGCATGCATGAGACAGACTCTAAGCATTACAGCTTAGGCTAAAAAAACGGAACTGAATTTTCAGTTGTTGACCATTGCAAGGGAGACAGAGTTTGAAGATCGAGATTTGCCTAATTAACTGCCTGGTTAAAAAAGCAATGAAACAAAAATTTATAATCTTCAGAGTAATATAAGAGAATCTGTAGTCTTTTCATTGGATAATTTGCAATGCCCAAGACATAATCCTAAATTACTTTACACATGAAAAAACAGAAAATGTTATCCACAGGAGAAAAAGATTTTATAAATAAGGAAAGTAACATAAAGTCATGTAATTTAGCTAAGGTTTGATAGCTAGTGAAAACCAGTGCCAAACCTTGAAATCTGGTCTTCTAACTCTAAATCCCACTTTCTTTTCACTTCTTTAAATCTGTTCCATCTCTAAAATTTTATGTCAGTGTGATATATTTCTTCCAATTCAATAAAAATATCTTGCTCTGATTAAAGCTGGTCAAAAAAGTACTAATCATTAATACTGTTACCGTAAAAGCATATTTCAAAATACTCATTTTATGTGTTCTCCCCAAATTCTGTCCATTGTGTAACCATTTATCTTCTTTGCCTTGCTAATTGCAGTCCAGTTTTGTTCAGTCTGGGATATCATTCAACTAAATGCTGTACTAACTTTCCTAGCCTCCTATGCAGTTATGGGGTGCCATGTAGCCCAGTTCTAGAAATAAAGACATAAATAGAAATCGGTTATTTATGAAACTTTTACTGACACTGTTCTCACTCACTTACTGCATTGAAAATAGACATTACATCTGGTCTACAAAAGGAACAGTCTTTTAACCATGATGTAAAACACCTGGGTAGAGCTAGAATATAAAAGATTCTTAGTCTCTAATATCAAATCTAAGCATGTGAATCAATGACAGCAAATGCCTTCCTCTAGACTGTTTGTTATGTGAGGTAAACAAAACCTAATTTGCTTCATTGACTGTAATGAAGAATTCTGTTGCTTGCAGCCAGATACATTCCAAATTGACAACTTCATAAGACAGATAAAACATGTATGGTCTCCTGCTTGAATCCTTGAAAGTCACTGGTGGTTCCTTTGTACTATATAAATCTAAGTATTATCTGCTTTAAGATGAGCTGTAGCATTTCATGGGCAAAACCAGAAACATTATATTAAATGTTCATATATTTTATAAGACCTAGGTTTATTTTAGCAATGTTAAAATGTGTGTGTGTGGGCTTGGCAGGTAGGGGGAGTATTGCTTAAAATGACAATGAGCTACCACCACACACTAATTAGAATGTCTAAAAATTTTTTAAAACTTGGTAATACAAATTGCTATCAATAATGAAGACAACAGAAACTGTGATTCATTCCTGGTGGGAATGCAAAATGGTAGCACCACTTTAGAACACAGTTTTATAGTTTTTTATGATGCTAACCATACAGTCTTACTATACAATCTTGCAGTTGCACTCTTAGGTATACATCCAACTGATTTGAAAGCTATGTCTGCCCAAAAACCTGCATGTGAATGTTTATAGCAGCTTTTTTCCTAATCACCAAAAAGTGGAAGCAGCCAAGATGACCTTCAATGGGTAAATAAACTGATACATCCATACAATGGGATATTATCCAGTGATAAAAAGGAATGAGCTATTAGGCCACATAAAAACATAAATGAATATTAAATGCATGTGGCAAAGCAAAAGAAGCCAATCTGAAAAGGCTGCATACTATGTGACCCCATTTACAGAACCTTTTATCACAAAGTCTTTTTTTTTTTTTTTTTTTTGAGACAGAGTTTCACTGTTGATGCCCAGGCTGGAGTACAATGGCGTGGTCTCGGCTCACTGCAACCTCCACCTCCTGGGTACAAGCCATTCTCCTGCCTGAGCCTCCTGAGTAGTTGGGATTACAGGTACCTGCCACCACACCCAGCTAATTTTTTTTGTGTTTTTAGTAAAGATGATGTTTCACCATGTTGGCCAGGCTGGTCTCGAACTCCTGACCTCAGGTGATCCACCTACCTCGGCCTCCCAAAGTGCTGAGATTACAGGCACGAGCCACCGTGCCTGGCCCACAAAGTCAATTTTAATTTATACAAATTTAAAAAATAAATTAGGAGGTTGATGGATCCAGGGCAGAATGCTGAATGTGACAAAAGAACATAACTTTATTACAAATGTATGAAACTACCAGAGTAAGGAAGGTAGTGGGGAAAAGTGCTGACCCAAGTAATTGGAAATGAGTGGAGACTGTAAGACTAAAAGCAAAATAGATTGTATGTAAGAGCTGTATTCTACTTGATAAAGTTTTAATCCATGGTAGTACAGGTTAACAATTCTGAAACTCTTATAATGTATATTGGAATTGAACAAATAAGTAAACAGATGGCAAAGAGAGAGAGAGAGAGAGAGAGAGAGAGAGAGAGCCAGATAAACAAAGAATAAGCTACAATGATTCATGTAGCAATGGATTCCAAATATAAATATATATGGATACGTAAAGAAATTCCTATAGATGTATGTATATATACAAGTTAATGTGCACAAATATATTTTCTTTCTCTACCAGCTGATAGGGTCTCATGGCAAGAGCAAATCCAGCACCCATTTTTAGTTTTTAATACCATCTTCCTATGAATAGAAACAGAGCTCCATGGAGAAATGGCTAATTCTAGGTCTGAAGCAGCCAATATGTGTGATGGGCCTGGAACGTATTGTGGTGGCAAGTCCTCAAAAAATAAAATAAATTGATGGGGACATATCAAAGGGACCTCAGAGCAACTGAAGGAGCTCCCAGTGACCAAAGCTGGAATAATTTAAGAAACAAAATCAATGGCTTCAAGTCAGATTATAACCCAAATATAAAATATCTATGAGTTCATATTGATATAAGTAAATGGCTGAATGAATGAACAGAGGACAATAGACATATCTTCTATGTAGCTATTCCCCTCTCAGGGAGGTAAAGCAAATGTCCCACACATTGAGTAGGGGTTGCACAGAGTGACTTTCTTCTAAAATCGTACAGTATGTAAACGGGGAAAAAGAAATAACTCTATAGTGGAGAAATCTGGCAGTCACTACTCAGCAGAGTCATCCAGGTTAATATCATCAGTGAGAAGTCATGTTGATAGCATGCACCTTGATCAGAATGATGATCAGAGGTGATCAGAATGGTGCTTCACCTCTGTGCTCTTTTTCCTGAGAACCCATAGCTCCATTTTAATCATGACAAAAACATCAGACAAACCCAAGTTGAGAGACATTCTGCATAATTCCTAGCCAGTACTATTCAAAATTGTCAAGATGATCAAAAAAGTCTGATAAAAAAAGAAAATCTGAGAAACTGTCACAATCTAGAGGAGGCTAAGGAGACTTGTCAACTAAATGTAATATTGTATTCTGGATAGGATCCTGAAACAGAAAAAAAAATTAGGTAAAAACTAAGGAAACCAAATAATGTATGGACTTTAATTTAAAAGATCTATATGTTGGCTTACTAGTGACAAATGTCTTATACCAGTGCAAGATGTGGACAATAGTAGAAACTAGGTGTGGGGTATAGAGGAACAGTCTGTACAATCTTTAGAACTCTTTTGTAAATTCAAAAATATTCTAAAAAACGTTTATTTAAAAATGCATGTGTGTGGAGAGGGGAAGCACTTCTTAAAATCTAGGTAATACAGTGTTTAGGGTTTTGTTAGGTCCTGTTGTTTTGCTAAAGAGAAGTAGTTGGTTCAGAACTTGTTAAATGATCATCAGTCAGCACTTTAATATCTTATATCTTCTCAGGAAACTGTTTTTGTATTTCTTCCAATTTGTCACGTCAATAATCCCAAGAGCAGGACTAATTTGCCTTGTGTTCAGGTAGACAGAATTAGAAACATGATCAATGTGGTGGTTACTGAAATAAAACTTGACCTTTTCTCACAATCACAGACTTTTCTCTTGACTTGTGAGGAGATATTTCCCCAAGAAATAAAAGAACTTTTATACTTCATAAAATAAAAAGAGGAAATAGGCCAGGCGCAGTGGCTCACTGCTATAATCCCAGCACTTTGGGAGGCCGAGGCGGGTGGATCACGAAGTTAGGAGTTCAAGACCAGCTTGGCTAAGATGGTGAAAACCTGTCTCTACTAAAAATACAAAAATTAGCCAGGTGTGGTGGCAGGCCCCTGTAATCCCAGCTACTCGGGAAGCTGAGGTAGGAGAAGTGCCTGAACCTGGAGGGCAGATGTTGCAATGAACGGAGATCACACCACTGCACTCCAGCCTGGGCAACAAAGACTCTGTCTCAAAAAAAAAAAAAAAAAAAAAGTGGAAATAAAACTTTTAAATCATTTTAATAAAAAAATAAGCTATTGAATGCAATTCAGCATTTTAAAATGTTTGGAATTCAAGTAATCTTTGTAGCAAAATTGATAAAAGCAAAAATAAGAACTGAAAAGCATGCCAAAAATTGGGGAGATATAAATACTATAGCACCAAGCAGGGAATCTGCTTAATATGACGATGAATGCTCCAAAAGCCTGTATTTCTTCTACTTCTTTCCTCTTCCTTATAATTTCTTTCTTTTTCACCTCATGGTTTCCATTAGGAAGTAGTCTAATTTGAAGTCTAATACCTTAGCATCTAGTAGCGGTTTGCAAAATACAAAGTTAAGGTGGTAGGACACAAAAATGAGCTGTTTTACTTTGTGTTCATGCTTTTGGTAAGAGCACTACTGTAGAACCAGAGAGTTATTATAGAAAGTCTCAACTATTCCATATCTATTTGCTATCAAGACAGTGTTGTGTGCATACACATGCACATGCATGCACTTACACATGCACATGCCATACTGCAAACACACACACACCACACTGCTCATGTGTGTCAACAGGCTAGCTGCAGGTACTCAGTATGCTGAGGGCACAAAAGGGAATGGACAGTTGCATTTCATTCAGAGTCAGCTAAGTGGCGTATATAGGATACATTTATCAGATTTCTGTGCCAATTGTTTGCTGAGACTTTGAGAGAATAGAGCACATGACAGTTAAGTTTTAGTGTAAGAAAGTGTGATTGTTGTAAGCAGGCTTAGGGACCATAAGGAATTGCCCAAGAGGGAAATTCGGGGTATGAAGTTAGCATGAGAATCCCTGAATATTCAGGGGGCAGCAGTACAAGGCTTTATAACAAATGTCAACAAGTGAAAAGCAGACACTTAGAATTAAACGCCACAAAGGCAAACATTCCATTTTCCATTTTTTTTAAGAAAAACTTGAGGGTGGTCTTGTAGACAGAGTAACTGATTTCAAGACAAGAATAGGATATTTTACCTTCCTTTGTCTCATATATGGCACAGAGAAAATGCCATTGCACCAGTAGTCAAGGAGCTGCTTCTAGTTTCAGTTCTGCCTCTAGTTTAACTTGTAACCTTGGAGAAAGCATCTTAATATTCTGACCTTAGTTTTCATTTTTTAAATAAAGACATTAGACTAGATGCTCTGTAAGTCCCTTCGAAATCTACTTTTCTGAGGCTAGGAGGTTGATGTAACCATGTGATCAGATTTTTCAGATAGTTTCCCCAGAAAATTGGCACATGAAGAAAATGACTTTAGATATTCAGAATTCTGAATCTGCAAATAAATAGATACATTTTAACATTTTGTCATTCCTATGCCCATTTTCCTCTATTTTCTTGTTGTAAATACAAAGATTATTTTCCACCAAACTGTTTCTCTTTTTCTCCAGTTAGTACATAGCTTCCCCTTTCCTTCATTCTTTGCTCCTAGCCCCAGAAAATGGAGTTGACGCCAGTTAAGATATTTGCAGGTTTTAGTCCAGACTCCAAGGCTTGAGGGCTCCAAGCAGTGGGGGACATTCCTATTTCTAGTGGCTTGGACTTACTCTGCTTCCTATTCATTGCACATATATTATCCTCAGAAGATTTTTGGAAGATCCCTTATTGGTCTCTAGGCCAGTTTGACCCCTTGGAAATATTCAGGATCATGCATTCCAACTTCTTGGAAGTATTTTTACAGCTAAATTGTGCTTTTGACTCTGTGACACTTTGAGTTTAGAATCTAAGACTGTTTAAGTGAGTAAGTTATGCATGGGACATGTTTTCCAGTTTCACACTTCTGTGCAGATCCATGACCATGTCAGCAGTAATGTCCTTCCTGACTGTGTTGGGGGCTTCTGAGGACAGTGAGCAGCCTGGCAAGCTGTTGGTCTTTCTCTGCCTGTTGTCTGTCAGCCTTGTCGCTGGAACATGGATAAGCATTGACAGAAATATTCTTTTTCACGAGAAACAGCTATTCAAAAGAAGAGGGAGAGCATTTCTACACATCAGCCATTTCAGGGATTTTTCGATGACAGTTTGTTGAGTAGGATGTGGGTGATGTATTATATGAAGCTCATAACCACCAAGTTTTCAACTGACAAATTAACTAGAGGATTTTCTCAGTCATTAACTGCTTGACAGGTTGAGAGTGCAAACTGCTTTAGACTGATTTTTGCTGACAGACTCGTTAAGCTGTGACACATCATGTCTCTAATGTCTTCATTCTCGTATAAAATGTTCATGTAAAATCCATACAAATGAAATGGCTTTATATGAAGAAATAGTAATATTTCAGCAGTCAACTTAAAAAGTACCTTTTTTTATTTTGTATTTTTTTTTTTTTGAGACAGAGTCTCGCTCTGTCGCACCGGCTGGAGTGCAGTGGCGCGATCTCGGCTCACTGCAAGCTCTGTCTCCTGGGGGTCATGCCATTCTCCTGCCTCAGCCTCCCGAGTAGCTGGGACTACAGGTGCCCACCACCGCACCCGGCTAATTTTTTCTATTTTTAGTAGAGATGGGGTTTCACCATGTTAGCCAGGATGGTCTCGATCTCCTGACCTCATGATCTGTCCACCTTGGCCTCCCAAAGTGCTGGGATTACAGGCGTGAGCCACCACACCCGGCCAAAAACTACCTTTGTATATTACATATGGAATTATTTTAAAAACAAGGACAAGGAAATCTACTAATTAAGCAAAATATATCCCTCATTTCCATAAGGGCAAGCATGGAATTTTAAATGATAAAATCATTGAGAGACCAAAACCTGGTGATTGATCTCTATCATTTATACCCCACATCTAATGATTAGTGATCAAAAACAAAATTAGATAGCCTTTTAGTTTTCTTATTGTTTTTAAATTCTCTACAGACAATGCAACCCTTAGTGCCTGTACCTGAGAAGTCTTCTCTTACCCTTCTTCCTACCATTGGTATACCATGAGTCATGGAAGAGGCATAATTTTGAGAAATAGCATAATTAAGGTATACCCTTCTATTATAGGTATAATGGTTCCTAACACATTGTTTAACAAAGAACTCAATTTTGCAAAAGAAATAGTTGGAGTACCTCCTCCATTTTCAAGGATATCTTAGAGAAATCCATCTGTGTCAGTGAAGCTGATTGAGCTCCTCATCCCTGAGCTGTTTCTTGCCTTCACTGGCACACACCTTGACTCTCCACTATTTAACACAAATTTTTTCTCTTTTATCTACTGTCTATTTCTCTGGGCTTCAGGATTTCTTTGTCTCATACTCCTACTGTTTCCTTTCTTTGCCTGCATTTCCTCTAAGATAAGATAAGGATATAAACTCCTGCATGGCTAGAGACTTTGATTATTCGTTTGTACCCTCACTGCCTTAATTAGTAACAGACCATTACTGGGTTCCTATCACGTGGCTGTTGTAATGTTAGGCCCTTTATATTTATTATCTGTTAATTTTTTCAGTCATCAGAAAGAGCAGGCTTAATTATCCCAATTAAAGATTGAAAACCAAGATTCAGAGATTAAGAAACATTCTCAAAGTCAACCAACCAGTAGGAGCTTGGATTAGAATGCAGGTGGATGTGACTCCAGTGATCAATTTTTTAAGTTCAAGGATTTTGGTATCAGTTTTCTATGTAGTCTGATAATATGTAACATTATATATTATCAAGCATTTACTATGCTCTAGTCATGGTCTTATGTGTCTATTACATGTATATTATTCTACTTAATTCTCATAGCAATTGCCTGCCATAGGTATGAATACTTTGTTGAAGAAGTTAAGTGACTTTCCTATGGTCACACAGGCAGAAAGTGGCAATGCTTCAGAGCATTGCTCTGCAATCATGTGCCACAGGATGCTAAGTCTTGGGCCAGTATTCCAGAGTAAATTTCATGTACAAAACTAGACATGCTCATGTACAACACTGACTGCTGTCATCAATAAGGAATAAGAGACAAATGACAACTGCAAATTCATAAATCATGGTTTTAAAGAAAATTTGTCCTTTCTATTTTAGTTTGTTTCCAAAATGGCCCTAGCTCTATCCACAATGTGTTTATCAGGTGACTGGCTAGGTCTGGTTCATGAAGGGGTGAAAAAACAGGATTTTGTAATAGCCAAGTGCACTTGAATACCAAATGTGGGTTCTTCCAAGTCAGTCATTAGTTAATTGGTCTTTCCCTACCTAGTAATCTGGTCTAGTGTTTCCATCTACATTTAAATAACGCTACTTGTCCTGATGCTTTCAGTAGATGCTGCTATCCTATGATTATAAGGAAGCATTTATACATTTTTAAATAAATTGTACATTTGTAAAATTTTGAGTAAGAGGCTATAACTGTAGACATTGCAGCAAGAACAAATGCTTTTGGAAGCTAAATCTCATTGATTTAATGTAAAAGTGTTAAGAGATAGGCATAAGGAAAATAACATTCCATTCTAAAACATTCCAAAATCAAACGTGTTGAGTATGTTATCTGTGGGTTTCTTTGAACAACAATGTATTTTACAAAATAGAATTAAAATCCAAATTGACACATGTATTTCTTCATGAAGAAAATGCTTGGCACTACTCCACATTTTGCCCCAAATGTTATTTTTTTTAACTTGGCAGCTGAATAGTTTAAAATCTTTCTAGTCAAATTGGGCTAGTATTAAATTATGCATGGGCTTAACCAAACACAGTTCATGTGTATGATACTTTCTGTTAGTGGAGATCTGAATGGTGGGAAGCCTTCCAAAATGCTTAATCAGAGAGTAATCACCCACACTAAAAGATGCTGGAGTTGCACATGGTGGTAATGTTTCACACAGAGCTGCACAGGGCTGAGCTGCAAGTCATCACCACCCACACAGCTCATTCCAGCTCTGTTCATTGCTGCCCAGTCCATTTATGGGCAAGCCCTTCTCACGGCTCTTGGGAAGTAGTCACACACCATTGATTCTCACTACTGGAGATTCTCCTGGAATCCATCTAGACACATCTGGGTTCGAATCCTGACTCTAGTAGTTAGCAATTCTCAGCCCTTGAGCAAGTCATTTAGCCTCTCTGATCCAGTATCTTCCCCCATTAAGGGAAGACAAGAATACTTACATGATTATCGTAAAGATTAACTATTTAGCACAGTGCTGGATGAGTAGCACATGCTCAATAACATAGATGATATTATTGCCAACAGCAGAATTCCTATTTAATCCAAGGAGTTGCAATATTGTTCTATTATTAAATATCATTTGAGAAGAAGATTCCACACATTTCTGGGTAACTCATCTTCATTTTTAATTTATGTATACATTTGTTTTCTCCTGCCATATTAAAGATCTAATATGAATTATCATCATACCATGAGGAAACCTCAAAGGCTAATTCCTTATTATAAGTAAAACATTAAGGCATGCTCCATAAAAAAATCTTCAGATAGTTCTTAAATACCCACAAGCAATTCACTGAAGAGTTGGACTAACAATGTTCTCAGGATCTGGATGGTATGCCTGTGACATATAGAGCTGAAGAGGCATGTCACAAATAAACACAGTTGCCTAAGTACTGACTGTGTGTCAGTCCGTGCACCCAATAAACTAGGCACAAAAATATACTCGGCACGATTATCAAGGCTGCTGGGCTGGCTGGGAAATGTGTAACTAATGTTTAGATTGTAACAAATTTATTATTTTAGGTAATACTCACATCTAATCTTTCTTCTCCCTCTGTTTTTGGTAGCCCCTTCTATTTCCTCCTAGAGATTCCATCAGCCTCCTACTCTCAAGCTACTCAGGGCCTTGGAGAAATTTCCTTTAGGCTGTTCTTGTCCCCATGTATTAGCCTGCTATCATGCTGCTAATAAAGACATACCTGAGACTGGGTAATTTGTAAAGGAAAGAGGTTTAATTGACTCACAGTTCTGCAGGGCTGGGGAGACCTCAGCAAACTTACAATCATGGCAGAAGGGGAAACAAACACGTCTTACATGGTGACAAACAACAGGGCTTGTATAGGGGAACTCCCCTTTGTAAAACTATCAGAATTTGTGAGACTTATTCACTATCACAAGAACAGCATGGGAAAGACCCGCCCCCATGATTCAATTACCTCCCACCGGGTTCCTTCCTTAAAGGCAGGGTGGGACACTTCCATGAAACTGGCTGACAAATGCCTATGGATCTAAAACATTAGATTTAATTTCCAATGGTGAATTTCTAACTCTTCAGGAGACCAGGCAAACAGCCATTTATACTCTGATCCTAAGGAGAATCCATTCCTCCTTATAGATCCCCATAGATGTGGTACCACAAAGACTGCTTTTCCTTAGATACAAATGAAGGCCTAGATAAAGCTGATTAAAATGGACAAAGTATTTAAGACTCTTCTTGTCGAAAACCAATCAATTATTAAAGTTATCTTTCTCTGAGAATATTATGATGCTAAAGACTACCCATTTAGTAAAAATGCCTTAAAATTTGATTATTATGGTTGTTTCCAGCTATAGCTATATATCTCTCTGTAGAGAAGATAGAGAAGACTAAAGAAGAGAAACACTTGTCATTCTGGCACTGTAATTGGAATTTGAAGGACTAGGACTCCTGTACTTGGAGCCAAGAATAGTCTTAGTGTGTGAACTTGTAATTTTTTGTCTTATCCTTAGCTGGTATACTTGAGTGAAAATCTTGTTCAAGTAATGGACTCAGAGTTCTTGCCCTGTGCAATAGGAACTTTCCAGTTGGCAGAGCTCTTTAAGGAGAGTTATTTACTTTCCAGATCCCCTGTCGTTATCATGTGTTTTTGCCTACAATGTTCATCAAAAAAGCAAAACAAACCCACAAAACACTTGCACTATTTTATAAAGCTATAAAGCTGACAGATAGGAAAAGAGAAAGGCAAGGTTTAGAAATGTTCTAACTTAGTGACAATCAAACTTTTATACTCATAAACCCCCTAAAAGAATTTTTGAAAATATTCACACATTTTTTAGACATGTGAATATTTTTGTCATAAATTTTTGTCATAAGTTTAAATAAATACAGAGTATAATTTCCTATATGTTGCAAATATTGACATTTAAAAATAAAATATCATTCTTTTTATGTATCCAGTAGCATTTAAATGCTACAGACATTTCATACCCAACAACATCCTTTAAAATATACACGAACAAACTTTTTAACAATCAGACATTTTGCAATATCTGTATGTATCTTTGAAATTGGATTTCCATTCCATTTCCCACCTAGAATTTTATTCTAATATAGTATGACTTTATGTTTTAAAATCTTTTATTGATCACCTTCTCATACATTTCTGTAATTATGCACATACACAGTTAATTTTTCAATTTGTCATCATGAGGTTATAAGAATTAAAATGTTTTGCTTGATGAATGATCATTACAATCATTAATATATAATCAAAACAATATAGATGATATTATTACTAAGCAGAAAAAGTAAAATTTTGTTTTAAATATATCTCTTGAAACAAATGGAGTATGCTGTTTGTAGTTGTTGATTTATCCCTTGGTTTGGTGCCCTGGAGATTTGTACCCTTCACATAAGGTGCCATGTAAGATTCCTGACTAGTGTGGGTAGGCCTATTTCTTACAAAGTGGAAAAAGAGCTGTTGTGAAAGGTGGTGGGGAAGAAGAGGGACGACGAGTAAATTTTAGGAAAGAAAATACATAAAACACATGATATGTATCTTTGTAAAACTCTTCATGACTGCCTGCTACTTGGAAGGTCTTCGAGAACACACAGGGCTACTCGTATCTGCCAGTTTGAAGACCACTGCTCCTGTTCACAAAGACCTGCTCATTTTATAAAGGAGAACTTGAGGCCCAGAGAAATGAGCTAGGAAATGTGTTCAAGTTTCAAACAGTGAATAAGCAGCATGTCTGGGGCTCAAGTTGAAAGTCTGTAAGCATGTATCTCAGCATCCTTTATTCTATTCCACAAGAATAACATGGTCATTCTGACAGCAAGAGACCACTTACTTTTATCTTTGTGCTCATGCCCAGGTCTAGAATCACATTTTCACATTACCCAGGCAGTATTACTTGGAAACAAGATGATCTGACCGCTAGTTCTCTGCCATGATGTTCCATTGATCGTGTTATGGGATTTAATTTGTCTTCTGTTTTAGACCTTTGATCCTTTAGTCTCCAAATATTCTGAAACTGATGTTTTCCCTGCAAGAGCTGGTATTTCCTACCATTCTTACTTTTTTTATTTTTTAAAGGGAGGAGCATTTTCATACTAAAAAGCTCAACTATACTACTGCAGGCTACATGAAACTCTCAACCGGCCTGGACAATCTATCCTTCTGAAAAACTGCTAAATTGTAACCACTATTATAAAAATAAACCCCAAAACTGCACAACAGACTGAAACTGATTTGTGATTTTCCTGAAACTGATTTGTAACCTATCTGATATATTGTAAAAGTCACTTCTTTCCATCAAGCTACTATACTTACATTAATGCAACTGAAAACATCAGCTTTTACAACAGTTATTACAAACATTAAGTTTGCAATCAATAAACTCAGTTGGACCTTTTCCATGAACTTTTATCAGGCCAGATCTCTATCGTTTCTGTTTATGTAGCTAATTAAAGAAAAAACCCCAAAATTGCAAAGACCTTATTTCACATTTTTTCCTATTAAATTTTATATTATCTTCAGGGCACTGTGATACATATTCTATGATTTGGAGCTATTTATTGCTCGTGTTAATTTTCAGATATTGCATTTTATTTTACTAGTTAGATACTTTGGTGAATTTTCTGTTTTAAGAATTGGCTAAAATTAATGATTTTCATGTGCACTGAAAGGATGTTGACATGGACGTTAGAGGTCTGAGAAACACAGCCCTGATGCCTGCCTGCCCTAAAATAACATAGAAGAATATCATTTACCATGGTATCTTTAGGATGCTGAGATTTTCCCTGTCTGGAGTTTCAGAATAGCTTGTAACTTCAGGCAAACAGAGTTTCTTCCCATTTTTCTCAATATCACTTTGACTCCCTTTTAACATGGACTTAAAATTCCCAGAAATAATAGCTCCCTTCTTGGCTTTACCCTTCGTTTACTCCTTTTTGAGGAAATTGGAAGTGTAGCTGAATGCAGTTTAAGATTTTCCACCATTCTCTCTGGTGCAGAAGTTCTCAAAGTCCCTGACACTTTCATAGGGGGCTTGTGAGGCCAAACCTACTTTTATTAATATATTATCATTAATAATATTAAGATATTATTTGCCATTTTCACCATGCTGACATTTGCTCTGATGGTACAAAGAACTGAAGTAGCACCTGTGGTTTCCGTCATGCCATTCACTCATAGACAACATACCAGCTTCATTTGAGGTTTTTGATAAAGCAATAAAAATTATAAAGTATATTAAATTACAAGAAGAACACACTTTTTAATGACATTCTGTGTGACAACAATGAGAAAAACTCATGATATCGTTTGGCTGTGTCCCCACCCAAATCTCATCTTGAATTGTAGTTCCCATAATCCCCATGTGTTGTCAGAGGGACCTCCTGGGAGGTAGCTGAGTCAAGGGGGTCATTACCCCCATGCAGTCCTCCTGATAATGAGTTCTCACGAGATCTGATGGTTTTTATAAGCATATGGCATTTCCCCTGCTGGCACTCACTGTCTCTCCTGCCACCCTGTGAAGAGGTGCCTTCTGCCGTGATTGTAATTTTCCTGAGGCCTCCCCAGCCATGTGGAACTGAGTCAATTAAACCTCTTTTCTTTATAAATTACCTAGTCTCAAGTATTTCTTCATAGCAGTGTGAGAATGGACTAATACAACTCATAAAGCACTTGTGAGCAGGATGGTTGTCTGAAGAAAAAGCACTTGTGTGATTGCAATGCAAGCTGAATGAACTGCATTTTGCAAGAAACAACATTTTTATTTTAAAAGACACTGATATGCTAACTATGGCTATTAAGACTGTGATATTTAACAGATATTTTCATGAAAATAATTGAAGTGAGCCTGTCATGTTAAAAAAAAAAAACTGACAGCATAGATTGACAATTAGAAAACTGGAAATTTCAAGTGAAATTTAGAATTTTGGAAAACTGTGGTGTCACTCTAAGTTTGACAGCTTCCCAGTTTGTAAAGACTTTTCCGATGAGATCAGAGGTGATGATAATTATGTGATTTTTTTATAACGCTGAATGAAATGTGTCAATATTTAAAAGATCCGTGTAATTATTAAACTGTTATATTTTCAATGACCAAAGCATAATTTTATGAATTCATGGCTGCATAAAAAATTCTTTCAAACTGTGAGATTCACTAAAGAATTTTAATGAAACAAAGTACAAAATGCTCATTGATATGGGTTTAGATTCCAATTGCAACTATTATTTGAGAAACTAGCACTTGTTGAATTCTAATGTAGTATCAAAGAAGAATATCCGGAGTTGTCTGAAAAGATAATTAAAATACTACTTTCTTTTCCAACTACATATGTGTGAGAGGCCAAGTTTACTTTAGCTACTTCAATAAAAGTAGCATATTAAAACAAACTGAATGCAGAAGCAGACATAAGCATCCCAGTGCCTCCTATGAAGTTAAACATTATGTAGATTTACAAAATTGTAAAACAATGCCACTCTTCTTGCTAAATTTTTGGTTTGGGAAGTTATAGTTATTTTTATAAACACATGTTACTATGTAATGGGTTTATTGTAATTTTTTACTGAGTAATTAATGTTTTAAAAAGTCTGGTTTTAATGTTTAATATAGAAAACATGAATAAATAGAAGCCACTTAAACAAAAACTCTCTGGAGTCCTCCAATAATTTTTAAGAATGTGAAGAGATTTTGAGACCAAAATGTTTCACCATTTCAGCACACTGGTGCTCAGCCGTGATTCTAATGTGAGTCCATCTGCATATTAGAATCAGCTGAGACCTTTAAACAAGTCTCAAGCATGGGGCCTACCATCAGAAATTCTGCTTAATTGGTCTGGATTGTAGCCTGGATACAACGGCTTTAAAACTTGTTCTGATGAAGCTACTGAGTAGCCAAGATTGAGAGACACTTGAAATCACCTTTGCAAAAATTATAACAGTGAGAAAATTATAACGGTGCAAGAGATCTGATCTAACAAAGTCCATCTTGCCTTTAATCTCCAAACTGCCATTGGGCATTACTGTAAGTGGGCCAAGCTGACTATGGGATAAATTTATTTTATAGTCTAAATGATAATAACACTTCCCAAAACTAAGCCACCTTTATAAAACTAATAAAAGTCCACAAGTTTAGGATTATGAGTGGGACCTGAATCTGCTTAGAGACAGACATAGTTAAATAATTACCAGCCATTGTTCCAGAGGTCACAAGATCTATAACTTCCTCAATTACTTCCGTAATTAACAACACTATTGTGGAACCTAAGATTGGCCTTTTGAGATGCCTTTTCAGACTTTTGCATTTCTGATGACTAGATGACTTCACCCAGACCCATGACTCAAGACTCCACTGGTCCTGTGACCCCTACCCAAAAGTGCACTAGGGTCATTTTCCACACCCCTATGGCTACATCCCCAAGCAATCAGCAGCATTCATTCTGTAATCCCCTGCTTGCCAAACTATCTTTAAAACACCCTGTCCTCTGAATTTTCAGGGAGGCTGATTTGAGTAATAATAAAACTCTGGTCTCTTGTTTAGCTGGATCTGCATGTATTAAGCTCTTTAATGCAATTTCCCTGTCTTGATAAATTGGCTGTATCTGGGTAGGGGGCAAGATGAATCTGTCAGATGGTTACACAGTGACAGGGCTTGCATGCCAAATAATCACCTTAGGCATAAATACCTACATATTCACTAGAACACATTCCCAGCATCTCTGTGTCAGAGTATATCAATGGATGATAGCCTCTTTCCTATATGTTGGAAACTCTTGTTTTCTATTGTTCCTGAATAGGTATGTATTTTGTTTTTCTCCATTCTCCTTTACTTGGGGTGGTGTTTTTATAGACCATTCCACTTGTTTGCACTTTTTCCATTTATTTATATGTGCATTTATTTCACAAATACTTTAAAATGGGCTCTTTCTTTGGTCTGTTAACTAATAAAAGATATCTAAGAAGGTGCTTACAGGAACTGGAAGTTAACTTGGTTGTGTTGAGAAGCCTTATAGGAGGAGCTTTGACTAGAATAAAGGTTATTTATCCTGGAAGAATGGTAAATTCAGAGTACAGGAAAAATGACCAAGTTCTGTGCAGTGGCTAAGAATGGTTCATTTAAAGTTCTTATTCATCATAGATTTTGCCTAGGCTCTTAATGGCTACCTGAATTAGCATTCTAGTGTCTATCCTTTTTTCTGAAATGTGCTTTGGACACACTAACTTCTGTTTATTCAAAACATCTGCCATATGATGTCACTTCTGATATTTAGCTACCAACCAGACCAAGAGTAATACTATTCCTGCAAACACAGGTCTTGTTTCTCGATGAACAGCGCAGTTTTCCTTTCATCTTCAAAATTCCCAGAGCAAGGCTGGAGGAAGAGTGTTGCCTATGGCTCAGTCCTTTGTGATGTCTTGTACTGGCCACCAAGTGTCACTCTTGTTCTTTTTGCTATTGAAAAAATGTTCTTATAGACAAAGGGACACTGGGTCTCTGTTCCGGTTCTGTTATATAGCTTCTAGTTCCAGCTGGAGGCTTTTGCATTTTAGCCAGCTTTCTTGTGTGACACCGCTTTAGCAGCTTATAGCTGGTTGCTTGGATCCTGCTGTTTGGGTTAATGACATGAAGAAGAAAGAGCAATAGCACACTGATATGATGGATTTGAGTCTTTGTGCCCCACTCACCTGGTTGAGCTGGGTTGCCCAGCTTACTTCTTGTCTTGAAGAAATCACTTTGACAACTCTGTCTGCAAGTGATCATTCAGAGTAAATCACTATGGATTCCTGTTGATAGAAACAGAATGCTGGTTATTTATAACAGCAGAACCATATAATTTCAAAGGGGTAAAAAATGATTGTGAACTCAATTTTCTTATCAGTATAAGGCCAATTACAAAGCAAAATATAGAACATACTATTGAGAAATGAATGTATTGTCATAAGGAAACACATTTTCCCAGAATCTCAATAACAAGACCCTGCAGTGTGTAGCATTTCAGTTCTTCTTTTAAGTTTTAGCTTACAGATTTTGTTTAGCGGAAGGGGAGGGGGCATTGAGGGGGGAGTCAATGAAATTTGATGTTAATAAAACAGTTAATGTCCATGCAAATGCTAACTTGATATTCATCTGGGCCTGTTGGTGGGAATATGCTGTTGATGAACATGTGTACCAATTTTTCTAGAATGTGCCTTCCTAGTTCCATGGTCAGTAGATAGAAAGTGATATTTTGAGCCCCCAGTAACAAGTTAATCACACTGTAGTTTTTCACATCTATTCTCTGACATTCTGAAATTCATAAAGCAGGGTTGGAAGCCTCAGTATTGGATCTAATTTAATTTAACTTAATATAATCCAGGGCTGAGACTCAGTGATTAGATTTTGTGCTTACAACAATTCTGGTTCCTTAAAAGTTTATCTTTAGTGGAACAGGCTGGGATGAGTAAATTGGAAACTAAGAGTCTAGATAAAAGTAGGAAACTGGACTTATTGATGTTGCTTCCCCCAAATCCTACTCAATGTGCATTAATTGTTGATATATACACAGGCTCTTCTGGGTGCCACATGTGTCATGAAATGAACTTGGACTTTTGATTTTGATGGCTTTGGGATTTAACTTCTGGTTCTGGCACATATTAACCATATGACCTGGAGCAAGTAACTTTACCATTCCAAGTCTTAGATTCTGTAGCTCTAAAATGAGGAATAATAGCATTAATTTTCCAGGGTTATAATTTTTAAAATAATATATAAAGGGTGTTGGGTGCATAATAGGCACTCAATAAAAAGTATAAACAACTGCATGATGAAAAATGCTCTTTAGATTCTCTTCCGAAGTTTCCAAGAGCTGTATCCCCACCAAATAATAGTGAAAACAAAAAATGTTAAACTGTCTTGTTGTATAACTATTCTGTAGTCATTCAGTGAAATGAAAAAAGGTGGCTGTCCCCAAACAATAGTTGTTAGTTGATATACTAGCTTTCTATTGCAGCTGTAACAAATTATCACAAACTTAGTGGCTTAAAACACAGATTTATAGAAATTATAAGAGGATTTAAATTAAGTGGTTCCAAGAAACAGGTTATCAAACTGGCCTTTCCAGATGAAATTTGTCATACATTCAAAGGGTATGGTATAATCTCCTCATGGGGGTAAGGAGGGAAGGAACATGCAAACCATGGCCTGCTCTGGAATCATGGTTACTCGGATTATTAATAGTAGAATTGAATTAAATGAGAAGTGAAAATTAGTCACCAAAGCAACAAAGTGATTATAAAGATGATATAATCATCAGGCTTTTTATTATGGTCCTGAAGAGGCATATGCAGGGAAAACATGACATTAAGGGCCATGAACATCCAATAAAGAACACACATGGAGGACCCAAAGTTCTTCAAGTAAGCTTTGAAGAAATGCTTTGAGTAGATTTGACTAAGGACAAATCCTAGGGCTGATTGTCAGAGTTACAGAATGGAAGAGATCACCAAGTGTCTATACTAAGGTAAAGGCACTGGTGGGGAAGTAGTGGAATGCTGAGAAATAGGATAGAAACATATGAGCTGACCCAGATGTCCTAAATGTCCCTTAAATTATCTTTGCCTATGGAGGGAGCACCATTTCCCTATCGGAGGAAATAGTCCCTGCTGTAAAAGCTTTTCACCGACTGTACTTGAAGCACTAACATCCGAACAGGACCCATCCCTACCACCTCTGATTGCCTCCAGAGAAGTTACAATATTATATAACCCTAAGAGTGTTCAATAGAAGGCTTGCTCAGAGCAGAGATAACCTATAGATTAAAAATGTGTAAGACCTCAGCAATACATAGGGGCAAACTAAAGGCATTTAGGAAGCTTGTGGGGGTGAATTCTAAAGATTTTTGAATAAGGGGGATAGGATATGAGTCTCAAATAGGCCAAATTCATTGGTATGATGGACAACCGAGGAGTCAGGATTTGGTGTGTTGGTTCAAACACCTAGAAGTGATATTCATCATCTGTAGGATTGGCAAATCTAAGTATATTGGTCTAGATTTTTAAAAGTAGAAAAATGGGGGCAGCTGGCCAGATGGCCGAATAGGAACAGCTCCGGTCTGCAGCTCCCAGCTAGATCAACACTGAAAGCAGGTGATTTCTGTGCTTTTGACTGAGGTACCTGGTTCATCTCATTGGGACTGGTTGGACAGTGGGTGCAGCCCATGGAGGGCAAGCCAAAGCAGGGTGGGGCATTACCTCACCCAGGAAGCACAAGGGGTCAGGGAATTCTCTCCCCTATTCAAGGGAAACCGTGAGGGACTGTGCCATGAGGAATAGTGCACTTTGGCCCAGATACTGCACTTTTCCCATGGTCTTCGCAACCCACAGACCAGGAGATTCCCTCTGGTGCCTATTCACCCAGGGCCCTGAGTTTCATGCACAAAACTGTGCGGCCATTTGGGCAGACACCGCACTAGCTGCAGGAGTTTTTTTTCCATACTCCAGTGGTGCCTGGAATACCAGTGAGACAGAACCATCCACTCCCCTGGAAAGGGAGCTGAAGCAAGGGAGCCAAGTGGTCTAGCTCAGCAGATCTCACCCCCACAGAGTCAGCAAGCTAAGATCCACTGGCTTGAAATTCTCACTGCCAGCACAGCAGTCTGAGGTCGACCTGGGATGCTTGAGCCTGATGCGGGGAAGGGCATCCACCATTGCTGAGGCTTGAGTAGGCAGTTTTACCCTCACAGTGTAAAAAAAGCCGCCAGGAAGTTCGAACTGGGCGAAGCCCACCGCAGCTCAGCAAGGCTGCTATGTCCAGACTGCCTCTCTAGATTCCTGTTCTCTGGGCAGTCCATCTCTGAAAAAAAGGCAGCTGTCCCAGTCAGGGGCTTATAGATAAAACCCCCATCTCCCTAGGACAGAACACCTGGGTGAAGGGGTGGCTGTGGCCGCAGCTTCAGCAGACTTAAACATCCTGCCTGACGGCTCTGAAGAGAGCAGCGGATCTCCCAGCAAAGTGAGCTCTCCTAAGGGTGAGACTGCCTCCTCAAGTGGGTCCCTGACCCCCGTGTATCCTAACTGGGAGACATCTCCCAGTAGGGGCCAACAGACACCTCATACAGGAGAGCTCTGGCTGGCATCTGGTGGGTGCCCCTTTGGGACAAAGCTTCCAGAGGAAGGAACAGGCAGCAATCTTTGCTGTTCCGCACCCTCTGCTGGTGATACCCAGGCAAACAGGGTCTGGAGTGGACCTCCAGCAAACTCCAGCAGACATGCAGCTAGGGGCCTGACTGTAAGATGGAAAAATAACGAACAGAAAGGAATAGCATCAAAGTCAACAAAAAGGACATCCACTCAGAGACCTCATCTGAAGGTCACCAACATCAAAGAACAAAGGTAGATAAATCCACGAAGATGGGGAGAAACCAGCACAAAAAGGCTGAAAATTCAAAAAACCAGAATGCCTCTTCTCCTCTAAAGGATCACAGCTCCTCACCAGCAAGGGAACAAAGCTGGATGGAGAATGAGTTGGATGAATTGACAGAAGTAGGCTTCAGAAGGTAGGTAATAAAAAATTCCTCCGAGCTAAAGGAGCATGTTCTAACCCAATGCAGGAAGCTAAGAGCCTTGAAAAAAGGTTAGAAGAATGGCTAACTAGAATAACCAGTTTAGAAAAGAACATAAATGACCTGATGGAACTGAAAAACACAGTATGAGAATTTTGTGAAGCATACACAAATATCAATAGGCTAATCGATCAAGCAGAAGAAAGGATATCAGAGATTAAAGATCAAACTAACGAAATAAAATGTGAAGACAAGATTAGAGAAAAAAGAATAAAAAGGAACAAACAAAGCCTCCAAGAAATATGGGAATATGTGAAAAGACCAAATCTACATTTGATTGGTGCACCTGAAAGTGACAGGGAGAATGGAACCAAGCTGGAAAACATTCTTCAGGATATTATCCAGGAGAACGTCCCCAGTCTAGCAAGACAGGCCAACATTCAAATTCAGGAAATACAGAGAACACCACAAAGATACTCCTTGAGAAGAGCAATCCCAAGACACATAATCATCAGATTCACCAAGATTGAAATGAAGGAAAAAAATGTGAAGGGCAGCCAGAGAGAAAGGTTGGGTTTTCCACAAAGGGAAGCCCATCAGACTAATAGTAGATCTCTCTGCAGAAACCCTAGAAGCCAGAAGAAAGTGGGAAACAATATTCAACATTCTTAAAGAAAAGAATTTTCAACCCAGATTTTCATATCCAACCAAACTAAGTTTCATAAGCGAAGGAGAAATAAAATTCTTTACAGACAAGCAAATGCTGAGAGATTATGTCACCACGAGGCCTGCCTTACAAGAGCTCCTGAAGGAAGCACTAAACATGGAAATGAACAACATGTACCAGCCCCTGCAAAAACATACCAAATTGTAAAGACCATCAACACTATGAAGAAACTGCATCAACTAATGGGCAACATAACCAGCTAGCATCATAATGACAGGATCAAATTCACACATAAAAATATTAACCTTAAATGTAAACAAGCTAAATGCCCCAATTAAAAGACACAGACTGGCAAATTGGATAAAGAGTCAAGACCCATCGGTGTGCTGCATTCAGAGACACATCTCACGTGCAAAGACACACATAGGCTCAAAATAAAGGGATGGAGGAATATTTACTAAGCAAATGGAAAGCAAAAAAAAGCAGTGGTTCCAATCCTAGTCTCTGATAGTACAGACTTTAAACCAACAAAGATAAAAAGAGACAAAGAAGGCCATTACATAATGGTAAAGGGATCAATGCAACAAGAAGATCTAACTATCCTAAATATATATGTACCCAATACAGGAGTACCCAGATGCATAAAGCAGGTTCTTAGAATCCTACAAAGAGACTTAGACTCCCACAAAATAATAGTGGGAGACTTTAACACCCCACTGTTAATATTAGACAGATCAATGAGACAGAAAATTAACAAGGATATTCAGGACTTGAACTCAGCTCTGGACCAAGTGGACCTAATAGACATCTACAGAACTCTCCACCCCAAATCATCAGAATATACATTCTTCTCAGCATCTCATCACACTTATTCTAAAATTGACCACATAATTGGAAGTAAAATACTCCTTAGCAAATTCAAAAGAATGGAAATCATAACAAACAGTCTTTAAGACCACAGTGCAATCAAATTAGAACTCAGAATTAAGAAACTCACTTAGAAACGCACAATTACATGGAAACTGAACAACCTGCTCCTGAATGACTACTGGGTAACGAAATTAAGGCAGAAATAAAGATGTTCTTTGAAATCAATGAGAACAAAGACACAATGTACCAGAACCTCTGGGACACATTTAAAACAGTTTTTAGAGGGAAATTTATAACACTAAATGCCCACAAGAGAAAGCAGGAAAGATCTAAAATCGACACCCTAATATCAAAATTAAAGAACTAGAGAAGCAAGAGCAAACACATTCAAAAGCTAGCAGAAGACAAGAAATAACTAAGATCAGAGGAGAACTGAAGGAGATAGAGACATGAAAAACTCTTCCAAAAAAAAATCATTGAAACCAGGAGCTGTTTTTTTTAAAAGATCAACAAAATAGATCGATAGCAAGACTAATAAGAAAAGAGAGAAGAATCAAATAGATGCAATAAAAAATGATAAAGGGGCTATCACCACTGATCCCACAGAAATACAAACCACCATCAGAGAATACTATAAACATCTCTATGCAAATAAACTAGAAAATCTAGAAGAAATGGATAAATTCCTGGACACATAAACTCTCCCAAGTCTAAACCAGGAAGAAGTCGAATCCCTGAATAGATCAATTGGAAGTTCTGAAATTGAGTCAGTAATTAATAGCCTACCAAGCAAAAAAAATCCAGGACCAGATGGATTCACAGCCAAATTCTCCCAGAGGTACAAAGAAGAGCTGGTACCATTCCTTCTGAAACTATTCCAAACAATAGAAAAAGGGGGAATCATCCCTAAATGACTTTATGAGTTCAGCATCATCCTGATACCAAAACCTGGCAGAGACACAACAAAAAAAGAAAATTTCAGACCAATATCCCTGATGAACCTAGATGCAAAAATCCTCAATAAAATACTGGCAAACCGAATCCAGCAGCACATCAAAAAGCTTATCCACCACAATCAATTTGGTTTCATCCCTGGGATACAAGGCTGGTTCAACATACACAAATTAATAGATGTAATCCATCACATTAACAGAACCAATGACAAAAACCACATGATTATCTCAATAGATGCAGAAAAGACCTTCAACAAAATTCAACACCCCTTCATGCTAAAGACTCTCAATAAACTAGGTATCAATGGAACATATCTCAAAATAATAAAAGCTATTTATTACAAACCCACAGCCAATATCATACTGAATGGGCAAAAGCTGTAAGCATTCCCTTTGAAAACCAGCACATGACAAGGATGCCCTCTCTCACCACTCCTATTCAACATAGTGTTGGAAGTTCTGGCCAGGGCAATCAGGCAAGAAAAAGAAATAAGTGGTATTCAAATAGGAATAGAGGAAGTCAAATTGTCCCTGTTTGCAGATGACATGATTGTATATTTAGAAAAACCAGTCACTTCAGCCCAAAATCTTCTTAAGCTGATAAGCAACTTCAGCAAAGTCTCAGGATACAAAATCAATGTATTGCAAAAATCCAAGCATTCCTATACATCAATAACAGACAGAGAGCCAAATCATGAGTGAACTTCCATTTGCAATTGCTACAAAGAGAATAAAATACATAGGAATGCAACTTATAAGGGATATGAAGGACCTCTTCACAGAGAACTACAAACCACTGCTCAAGGAAATGACAAGACACAAATAAATGGAAAAACATTCCATGCTCATGGATAGGAAGAATCAATATTGTGAAAATGGCCATACTGTCCAAAGTAATTTATAGATTAAATGCTATCCCCATCAAGCTACCCTTGAGTTTCTTCACAGAATTGGAAAAAACTACTCATATGGAACCAAATAAGAGCCTGCATACCCAAGACAATCCTAAGTAAAAAGAACAAAGCTGGAGGCATCACGCTACCTGACTTCAAACTATACTACAAGGCTACAGTAACTGAAACAGCATGGTACTTGTACCAAAACAGATATATAGACCAGTGGAACATAACAGAGACCTCAGAAATAACACCACACATCTACAACCATCTAATCTTTGACAAACCTGACAAAAACAAGCAATGGGGAAAGGATTCCCTATTTAATGAATTGTGTTGGGAAAACTGGCTAGCCATATGCAGAAAGCTGAAACTGCACCCCTTTCTTACACCTTATACAAAAATTAACTCAAGAGGGCTTAAAGACTTAAACATAAGACCTAAAACCATAAAAACCCTAGAAGAAAACCTAGGCAATACCATTCAGGACATAGGTATGGGCAAAGTCTTCATGACTAAAACACCAAAAGCAATGGCAACAAAAGCCAAAATAGACAAATGGGATCTAATTAAACTAAAGGGCTTCTGCACAGCAAAAGAAACTATCATCAGAGTAAACAGGCAACCTACAGAATAGGAGAAAATTTTTGCAATCTATCCATCTTACAAAGGGAAATACTCAGAATCTACAGGGAACTTAAACAAATTTACAAGGAAAAAACAAACAACCCCATCAAAAAGTGGGCAAAGGATATGAACAGACACTTCTCAAAAGAAGGCAGTTATGTGGCCAACAAATATATGAAAAAAAGCTCATCATCACTGGTCCTTAGAGAAGTGCAAACCAAAACCACTGTGAGATACTATCTCACGCCAGTTAGAATGGTGATCATTAAAATGTCAGGAAACAACAGATGCTGGAGAGGATGTGGAGAAATAGGAATGCTTTTACACTGTTGGTGGGAGTGTAAATTAGTTCAACCATTGTGGAAGACAGTGTGGCCATTCCTCAAGGATCAAGAACGAGAAATCCCATTTTACCCAGCAATCCCATTACTGGGTACATATCCAAAGGATTAGAAATCATTCTAGTATAAAGACACATGCACATGAATGTTTATTGCAGCACTATTCACAATAGCAAAGATGGACCCAACCCAAATGCTCATCAGTGATAGACTGGATAAAGAAAATGTGGCATATATACACCATGGAATACTATGCATCCATAAAAAAGAATGAGTCCATGTCCCTTGCAGGGACATGGATGAAGCTGGAAGCCATCATTCTCAGGAAAGTAACACAAGAACAGAAAACCAAACACCGCGTGTTCTCACTGATAAGTGGGAATTGAACAGTGAGAACACATGGACACAGGGAGGAGAACATCAGATACTGGGATCTGTTGGGGGTTGGGGGGCTAGGGGAGGCATAGCATTAGAAGAATACCTAATGTAGATGACAGGTTGATGGGCTCAGCAAACCACCATGGCACGTGTATACCTGTGTAACAAAACTACAGGTTCTGCACATGTACCCCAGAACTTAAAGTATAACAATAATAATAATAATAATAATAATAATAATAATAATAATAATAATAAATATATGTATATATATAGGCAAAATAGAAAGAAAAACTTTCTATATCTTTAACTTAATTTTTAAAGAAGTATTTATAACAACACTTAAAGGTGAATTATTTAATGTTTTACTTATGAGAATGGGAAACAAATAAAGATATCCACTACCTCTTCCATTAAACATTGTACTGAAGTCCTAGCCAGTGAAAGAAGATAAGAAAAATAAATAAAAGTCAGAATTGGAAATAAAAAATATTTTATTATTATTTACAGATATGCTATTTTATGCCTCTGAGGGCCTTAGTAAATGTTGTTACTCTTACTAGGATGCCTTGTTAATGAAACATTAACTTGCTTCATCTTTCAAAAAAGAAAGTAGAAATATGGAAACTTCCTTGGCATACCATGGAGATGGGAGTCTGAAGAATTGGGGAAATAGGAATGTTGTAATTATCTATTATTTGCTTTGCCAATCTCCCTAACTTTACTCCCTGGGAGAACCTAGAGATGTTTCTTTCACCAAGTGATTAAGAAATCCATTGATCTTTGGCAATAAAAGAAAATGTTTACTTATAATATTTATAACTATAAAACTTTCTTCCTTAATCCTCTTGTACATTTTCAAATAGCATTTGTTAGAATGTTTATAAAACAAACTGTGAAAATGCTATTACAATGCATGAAAATTATTTGGAATACCAGACAGAGGCGACATGGCAAAACCCCACCTCTACTAAAAATACAAAAGTTAGCTGGGTGTGGTGGTGCACTCCTATAGTCCCAGCTACTTGGGAAGCTGAGGTGGGAGGATCACTTTAGCCTGGGAGGTCAAGGCTGCAGTGAGCCATGATCATGCCACTGTACTCTAGCCTGGGCCACAGAGTAAGACCCCACCTCAAAAAAAAAAAAAAAAAAAAAAAGAATACCAGACAGAACTAGATTTTGAACTGATGGTCTTAAGTTATAACATAAGACGTCTGCCTTTTGTAAAAATAAAATACCTTTATTACAATGCTAGCAAAAGCCACTTTTATTTAGATTTGTCCTGTACAAATCAAAAGAATGCTATAAAAGCTCTATTATTTTTATTTTATATAATAATACTTAATACTTGTATAGAAGTTTTACTTTCCAAAAGTATTTTAATATGTTGTTCATAAATTATGTCATATCTGTATTTTTAAGTGCATAAACATATGGGTATAATTTAACAAATACTCAATAAAAGACATTTTTGTGCAGCTGTCACCCAGGCCAAGTAATAGCATACTGCCAGCGTCCCAAGGCTCCCTGTTTACACCTAACTGATTATAATCATGTCATTGTCGCCAAAATTAACCAGTGTCTAAATTTCTTTGTGTTTCTTTGAAGTTTTGTTATCCATGTATGCAATTTTACACAGTATAATTTTTGTCTGATTTGGCACTGTTTTCAAAGTTTCTATTTTAAAAATGTCAAGCCATGAGAAAAGTTGTAAATGTAGTAAGTTAAGTGAAAAGGACATTTCTGGAACAATAAATTTAAATATGGACTGAGTATTAATATAAAGGAATTTTAATTTTTAAGTGCAATGATGTTATTTTGGCTAAGCAGGAAAATATTTATTTATTTATTTATTTTATTTTTTGAGACAGAGTCTGACTCTGTCGGCCAGGCTGTAGTGCAATGGCATGATCTCGGTTCACTGCAACCTCCATCTCCCGGGCTCAAGCAATTCTCCTGCCTCAGCCTCCTGAGTAGCTGGGATTATAGGCATGTGCCACAATGCCCAGCTAATTTTTATATCTTTAGTAGAGACTAAGTTTCACTATGTTGGCCAGGCTGGTCACAAACTCCTGACCTCAGGTACTCCGCCCCGCCTCAGCCTCCCAGAGTACTGGGATTACAGGTGTGAGCCCACCATGCCTGGCCAATATTTTTATTTCTTAAAGATATATATACTAAGGAATTTAGAGGTGTAATATCAAGATGTTATTGATTCACTTTAAAATATTTCAGCATAAATAAATAGAGTTTTAAAAATGCATACTGCACAAACCATAGTAGGAGAATAGAAGACTCTAGGGTAAGACATTTTCATCCCTTGCCAACTACTATATTTTACTTAAGAAACAGCTCTTGGGTTGCTGCTGGACCCTGGTAGAGACTAAATCAATGACTCTGGTCATCAAGTTAGTATGCAACCTCAACTGCCAGTCATACACTGGTGTTATTGAATCCATTGGACCATAAAATTGGACATGTCTAGCAACATTCCATTATAAAATGGAAGTTGAATATAGAGACCAGGTCTGAGCAGATATAAAAGGAAAAGTAAACTGCATGATCAGGTGGCTCCGATTCTTGTGCTACCTGCCCCTGATGCTTTACCGTCTCCTCCTCAATTCACATCTATGACACCATAACTGATTCCCTCTGGCCAGCCAAGGGACAGGGAAAAGCATGGGCCTAATTATAGGTCTTTCTGCCCCACATGCTAGGAAAAAACCACTATACTACAGTCTCACTGTTTGTGCTGGGGAAGGTGGGTATTGATGAAGGGAAATTATCCCAGTGGGCAGAACTTAGAATGGTGGGTTGAATTGTCCATTTTGTGTTAAAAGAGAGATGGCCTAAGGTGCAAATCTACGCTGACTTCTGGGCAGGGGCTAACACACTGACCTACTGCTCAATGACTAAGAAAGACAAATTGGAAAATTATTGACAAAGAGTTCTGGGGGAAACAGATTTAAATAATCCTCTCAGTATGGGCATGGAGTATGAAGATATCCACTTAATCTGTAAATGTGCGCCAGAGGGCATCCACTTTGGAGGAGACCCTTAATAATCAGGCAGACAAGGCAACTCATCCTCTTGATGTCAGTTTCTTTTCCCAGACACCCTGGAACATACTTAATGGATCCATGTACAAAATAACCATAGCAACTGGGAAAGAGGCTATGCACAGGCTCAAAAACATAGTCTTTTTTCTTGCCTGGGCTGATGTGGCTACTGTTGTGCTCAATGCTTAACCTTCTAAAAGCATAGGCTGATGCTGAGCCACGTGATGTACCATTTATCAAGAGTCAAGCTGGTCACCTAGTGGCAGATTAATTATATTTTATCTCTCCCATCTTGCCAAGTGTATCACTTTGTCCTTATATGGAAGATGCATATTTCACAAGGGATTTGCATTTTTTGCTCACGGTGTTCCTGATAGCACTATCATTTGTGGACTAACAGAATACCTTCTTTATTCATTCCCAACCTATCCCGTGCAACATCACCTCTGACCAGGAAACATATTTCATGTGAAAGAAGGTGAGGCAATGGACTGCTTCTCATTACATTCACTGGTATTACCCTACCACCCTATAGAAGCTGACTTAATGGGATGGTAGAGTGCCTGGTAGAGGCTCAGTTATGGTGCCAGCTAGGGTAGACCACCCTGAAGAACTGAGATGCTGTTCTGAAGGATGAGAGTTTTACCTTAAACTAACAGCTGCTATTTGGTGGTGTCACTGTATTCAGAATGCATGGGTTCGGGAAAGAGGGGAAAGTGAGAGCAACCCCTTCCACTATTATCCATAATAATTCACTTAAATTTTGTTGCTTTCAACGCTATGACTGTTAAGTCTGGAAGTCTTCATGCCCAAGTGTAGTAGTCTGTTTTCACACTGCTATAAAGAAATACCCAAGCCTGGGTCATTGATAAACAAAAGAGGTTTAATTTGACTCTTAGTTCTGCATGGCTGGGGAGACCTCAGACAATTTACAATCATGGTGGAAAGTGGAGGAGAAGTGAGCACCTTCTTCATAAAGCGGCAGGAGGGAGAGTGGGCGAAGGGGAAGTGCCACATTTTAAAGCATCAGATCTCATGAGAATTCACTATCACTAGAACAGCATGGGGGAAACCGCCTCTGTAATCCAATCACCTCCTACCATCTCTCTCCCTCGACATGTGGGGATTTTAATTAGAGATGAGATTTAGGTGGTAACACAGAGCCAAACCATATCACCAAGGGAAGAATGCTTCCACAAGGAAACAGTCCTCATTCTGATTCACTGAAAAATGGGCTTGTCTCGTGGCCATTTGGCGTTTTTCATGCTGATGAACCAATAAAGAGATGTTTCACTGTATGAGCTAGGGTAACTGATCTTAATT
Organism: Homo sapiens; assembly: GCF_000001405.40. Classification (NCBI taxonomy): domain Eukaryota; kingdom Metazoa; phylum Chordata; class Mammalia; order Primates; family Hominidae; genus Homo; species Homo sapiens. Next base: position 114,031,549 of record NC_000005.10, read on the forward strand.
TCCAGGGGAAAATCGCATTTCTGCTACATAATAGGAGCAAAGAAGACCCCTCTATTTTGAACCTAAGAAAACAATTAGATTGTCTCTTATATTCCCTTGTCCAGTAGCATAGGTCAATGGAAAACTTTGGCAGCCCAATAAAGATGTGACCATTGAGTATACAATTTTTACTGGAATGAAGTTTTATATCTTTCCCTATAGAGAACTGTATCCAGCCAAGGTGGATATGTTGAGGGAAACATGAAGTAAGTGACAGAGAAAGGGAGTCATAATTACCAAGTTAGGTGTTGGCACTAACTGCATAGGTAGGAATTATAATTACTTATTTTTCCCTACCTCCACACTCTTATTTTATACAATTGACACTTATAATACTGATATTTAAGGTTTGATTTGTGAGTATGGCCAAATTAACATCACTTTGCCCTAATATGAGAGCTGAAGAACATGTGTGTCCCTTGTATTGAGGGCATAAATTTTTCAACCATTTGAAGAATAAAAATGGACTAAGAGGGGAAAAGGGATGGACCCTGCGGCTACCTGCCATCTACCACTTCAGCACTTTCTCCTTCTCCACACTTTGCTGTATCACAGGAAGCTGACCTACATGGATTATATTAAACAAACCATCTTAACCTCTGAAGTTTGGAACCTTAACTGGAGACTGGAGGAAGAGAGGAAAAGGAAGTTTATAACATTTATTCTCCTATCCCCTTCCCTACAGGAGGCAGCCTCTGGCTTCCTGGTTCTCTTTACTACTCCCAATAGTCATTTTGCATGACTGACTCCTTTTGAGTGCCGGTAATCTCTTCCTTCACTAGGGACCTATGCTTGGTAACAACGTCACTATTACTAATCCTGTGGTACTCCATATCTTTCATGTTTTCTCTACACCCCGCCCTTGTCTTGTAAATGGTCTTTTTTATGAATCTTCCTCAAATTATCCTAATTTAGTGCCATCAACTTCCTGCTGGTACTCTGATAGATACAATGGGTGATATTATAGCATATTTGTATGTTGATCAGAATGACTCTAGCACAGAGGGAAAGCTTGATGATGAGAAGAGGAAATAATACTTGAAAGAAAGAAGATCTTAAGTGGGTGAGTGGATGGGAAGCAGTGGCAGTTTTGGCTGTAGTGAGGAGCAGGGAAAACCCATCCATTGTTAATAAGAGAGAAGAAAGAGTATGGGTAGAGGTACAGGTAGCTTGATGGATTTGTTGTTAGGCAGGATATGAACATCGTTTTTTGGTTGTTTCCACTTTTTTGGTGAATGAGAAAAGTAAGTTCATTAGCAAAGACTTAAAAAAGCACTAACTATAAAGGAAAATGATAACTTGGACATCATTTAAATTAAGAATGTCTATTTGCTGTAGTTTGAATATGTCCCTTCCAAAATTCAAATGTTGCCAATATTAAGAGGTGGGGCCATTAAAAAGGTGATCAGTCTATGGGGGCTCCTCCTTCATGAATGGGAATGAGGTGTTCTTATAAAAGAGGATTCACACAGCATTCACCCCTTGTTGGCCTTCTGCCTTCTGCTATGTGAGGACGCAGAATTCCTTCTCTTTGGATGAACCATCTGAGAAGCAGAAAGCAAGCCTCACCAGATAACTGAGACTGGTGGCACCTTGATCTTGAATTTCCCAGCCTCCGGAACTGTGAGAAAATAAATTTCAGTTGTTATAAATTACCCAGCTTCAGATATTCTGTTTTAGCAAAACAAACAGGCTAAGACGTTGTTCACCAAAAGACACCATTGAGAGGGTGAAAAGATGTGGTTTAAACTGGGAGAAGAGATTTAAAATACATATAAACATTAAAGGATACATATTCAGGATATGTGAAGAACTACAAACAAGAAGGGGGAAAAACAGTCAAAAATAGGCAGAATACTTAAACTGGCACTTGACAAAAAGTACCCAAATGGCTAAACACATAGGGGAAAGTGCTCAATATCATTACTCATCAGAAAAATTCAAATTAAAAATCACATTGAAATACCACTACATTCAAATAATAATGATTAAAATTTAAAAGACTGATATTATAATAACAAGTATTGATGGGGAGTTGGACTTAACCCTGTGGGGTTTAACCAATTGAGTCTTACAGAGGGATAGAGGCAGGGGGATTGAGGCTATGTACCAAGAAGTGGTTTTAACAATCGTGTGGAATCTAAATAAGGACAGTGGGAAGTGAGTACATGAGGAGGACGTTGGACAGCTGAAAAGATCAGTGATGGGAACTCATGTGGTCAAAGAATTTTTGGCCTTAACTCATTGCTTACACATAGTATTAAAGAAACCTCTGTTTCCTCATCTTCCCTCTATGAATTGTACCTCAGGGAGACAGGGATATTATACCCAAAATTTTTAGAGTATATAAGAAGAGATATCCCAAAATGCTTTCTTGTCCTTGAGGATACTTTTTTCCCCCTTGAGCAGATGTGTGCCTTTTCTATGTCTGTTAATCAATGTAAACACAGCCTGAATCTTATTGTACAATTTTGTGTTTATATAAGTTACGGCATTAATTTCACAGGAAAACAGCTGTGCAGTAACTTCTTTTCCTGATGAAGTTGTGACAAGTTAACAGGAGGTGACTTTTGAAATGGGAAAACCATCTTTAGTACTCATTTTATATAAACATAAACATTCACCTAGTGTTAAAAAGTGAATGAATAATTTATATAATAAAGAAAGAGCTACTTTAATTATTGTTCTGAGGAGAGTCTCATGGTTGTTAGACAAGCTGCAAGGTTAACATACTGCCTTTTAAATTATTTCACCATTCAGCCAGGAAAATGGTTTTATGTGATGTTTTTCTTCTCCAATTACAATAAAGAATGAAAGATAGCCAATCTGACTCATAAATACGTAATGAACACTGACTAGAAAAGATGAGTCCAGTAACACCTCAAAGAGTAAATCAACTATAAACTACCCCCTCATTAATTTTTTGCACAGTAATATGCCATTGCTGTGAATTTGGGACAACATATAAAGACTCTCACTTTTTGTTAAATTTTAGATTCAGGGGGTATATGTACTTGTTTGTTTCATGGGTATATTGCATGCTGGTGGGGATTGAGCTTCCAGTGTTCCCATAACCCAAATAGTAAACATTGTACCCAATAAGCAATTTCTCACTCCCCACCTTCCTCCCGCCCTCCACCCTTTTTAAGTCCCCAGTGTCTACTATTTCCATATTTATGTCTATGTGTACCCATTGTTTAGCTCCCAATTATAAGTAAGAACATGCAGTATTTGGTTTTCCATTTGTCAATTAGTTAACTTAGAATAATGACCTCCAGCTCCATCCATGTTCTGCAAAGAACATGATTTAATTCTGCTTTATAGCTGCATAGTATTCCATGATGTATATATACTACATTTTCTTTATACAGTCAACCATTGATGGACACTTAGTTTGGTTCCATGACTTTGCTACTGTGAATAGTTCTGCACTGAACATATGCATGCAGGTGTTTCTTTAATATAATGATTTCTTTTACATTGGGTAAATATCCAGTATTAGGATTACTGGGTCGAATGGTAGTTCTATTTTGAGTTCTTTAAGAAATCTCCATACAGTTTTCTATAGAGACTAAAAAAATTTACATTCCCACCAACAATGTATAAGCAGTCCCTTTTCTCTGCATCCATGCCAACATCTGTTGTTTATTGACTTTTTGATAATAGACATTCTGACTGGTGTAAGATGATATCTTAATCTCATTGTGATTTTAATTTGCATTTATCTGATGATTAGTGATGTTGAGCATTTTTTCATGTGTTTGTTGACTGCTTGTATTTCTTCTTTTGAGAAATGTCTGCCCATGTCCTTTGCTCACCTTTTAATGGGGTTTTTTTTTCTTGTTGAGTTGTGTTCCTTGTAGATTCTGTATATTAGTCCTTTGTCAGAGGCATAATTTGCAAATATTTTCTCTCATTCTTTAGGTGGTCTGTCTGTTGGTTATCTCTTTTGCCGTACAGAAGCTTTTTAGTTTAATTAAGTCCTGTTGGTCTAGTTTTTGTTTTTGTTGCATTTGCTTTTGGAGTCTTCATCACAAATTCTTTGCCTAGGCCAATGTCCAGAAGAGTTTTTCCTAGGTTTTCTTCTAGGACTTGTATAGTTTCAGTTATTACTTTTAAGTCTTTAATCCATCTTGAGTTAGATTAAGTCTTTAATCCATCTCGAGTTTTTGTATATGATGAGAGATAGGGGTCAAATTTCATTCTTCCCCATATGGCTGGCCAATTTTCCCAGCACCATTTATTGCATAGGGAGTCTGTCCCCCATTATTTATTTTTGTTGACTTTGTTGAAGATCAGTTGGCTGTAGGTATCTGCCTTTGTGTCTGGGTTCCCTGTTATGTTCCATTGATCTATGTGTCTGTTTTTGTACAACTACTATGTATGCTGTTTTTGTTGCTATAGCCTCAGAGTATAGTTTGAAGTAAGGCAGTATGATGCCTCTGGATTTGCTCTTTTTGCTTGGTGTTGCTTTGGCTGTTCAGAGTCTTTTTGGGTTTTATGTGAATTTTAGAATAGTTTTTATCTAATTCTGTGAGAAATGACACTGGTAGTTTGATAGGAATAGTATCACATCTGTAGATTGCTTTAGGGGCAGTATGGCAATTTTAATGATATTCTTCCAGTCCATAACTATTTAATGTTTTTCAATTTGTTTTTGCTATCCACAATTTATTTCATTAAGGTTTTGTAGTTTCCTTGTAGAGCTCTTTCACCTCCTGGGTTAAATGTATTCTTAGATATTTTTGGTGGTGTGTGTCTATTGTAAATGGCATTAAGTTCTTGATTTGGTTCTCAGCTTGAATGTTATTGGCATATTGAAACGCTACTGAATTTTTTACATTGATTTCGCATCCTGAGACTACTGAATTCATTGATCAGGTTTAGAAGTCTTGCAGAGAGGTCTTTAGGGTTTTCTAGGTATGCAATTGTGTCATCAGCAAACAGAATTAATTTGACTTTCTCTTTTCTAATTTTGATGCTTTTTATTTCTTTCTCTTGCCTGATTGCTCTGGCTAGTACTTCCAGTACTATGTTGAATATGAGTGGTGACAGTTCCAGTTCTTAGGGGAAATGCTTTCAACTTTTCCCCCTTCATTATAGTGTTCGATGTGGGTTTGTCATACATCGCTCTATTCTGAGGAATGTTCTTTTGATTCCTAGTTTGTTGAGTGTTTTTGTTACAAAACAATATTGGATTTTATCAAACGCATTTCCTGCATTTATTGAGATGATTATATGGTTTTCGTTTTTAGTTCTGTTTATGTGATGAATCATGTTTATTGATTTGTGGATGTTGAAACATACTTGCATCCCTGGAATAAAACCCACTTGATCGTATGCTGTTGGATTTGGTTTGCTAGTATTTGTTGAGAATTTTGTATCTATGTTCATCAGGGATATTGGCCTGTAGTTTTCTTTTTTTGTTGTGTCCTTGCCTGATTTTGTTATCAGAGTGGTACTAGTTTCATAGAATGAGTTAGAGAGTACTCTCTCCTACTTACTTTTTTTGAATAGTTGCCATAAAATCGATATCAGCTCTTTTTTGTATGTCTGGCAAAATTTGGCTCTGAATCTGTCTGATCCTGTTTTTTTTTGTTGTTGTTGTTGGAAGTTTTTTTTATTATTTATTTGATTTCATTACTTGTTATTGGTCTGTTCACAATTTCTATTTCTTTCTGGCTCAATCTTGGGCGGTTACGTGTTTCCAGGAATTTATCCAGTTCCTTTAGGGTTTGTAGTTTGTGTGGGTAGAGATATTCATAGTAATCTCTGATAATCTTTTGTATTTCTGTGGTATCGGTGGTGATATCTCATTTCTCATTGTGCTTATTTGAATCATCTCTCATTTTTTCTTGGTTAACCGAGCTAACATTCTGTCAATTTTGCTTATCCTTTCAAAAAAACAATTTTTGTTTCATTAATACATTGTATCATTTTTTGGTCTCAATTTCATTTAGTTCTGCTCTAATCTTTGTAATTTATTTTCTTTGGCTAGCTTTGGATTTGGATTGTTCTTGTTTTTCTAGTTCCCTGAGGCTTGATATTAGGTTGTTAATTTAAGCATCTTTTTAATGCTATAAACTTCCGCTTTTCCAATTGGGAAATCCAATGTGGCATTTAATGCTATAAACTTTCCTCTTAGCACTACTTTTGCTCTATCCCAGAGGTTTTGGTGTGTTATGTCTCTATTTCCATTTTTTTGGTTTTTTTTTTAATTTTTGCCTTAGTTTTGTTGTTTACCCAAAGATCGCTCAGTAGCAAGTTGTTTAGCTTCCATGTATTTGTATAGCTTTAAGAGTTCTTCTTGGTATTGATTTCTAATTTTATTATACTGTGGTCTGAGAAAATACCCAATATGATTTTGATGTTTTGGAAGTATTGATATTTGCTTTATGTCCAAGCATATGGTTTATTTTGGTTAATGTTTCATGTGGAGGTGAGAAGAATGTACATTCTGTGGTTGTTGGTTAGAATGTTTTGTGAAGGTCTATGAGGTCCATTTAGTCTATACTCCAGTCTAAGTCCAGATAAGTCCAGAGTTTCTTTGTTGATTTTCTGCCTTGATGGTCTGTCTAGGTATGTCAGTGGGGTGTTGAAGTCCCACACCATTATTGTATTTATAGTAATATGTTTTCGTACATCTAGTAGTATTTGTTTTATGAATCTGGGTGTTCTGATGTTGACTGCATATATACATATATATTTAGAATAGCTTTGTCTTCTTGTTGCATTGAACTCTTTATCATTGTATAATGCCCATCTTTGTTGTGGTTGGTTTTTTTTTTTTTTTTTTTTTTTGCTGTTGTTGGTTTAAAATCTGTTTTATCCAATATGAAGATGGCTACTGTTGCTTGCTTTTGTTTTCCATTTGTGGAGTATAACTATTTTTTCATACTTTCAGAGTTGTTTCTCTGGTTCTTTCTCAGAGGAAGGAGAGATAAGCTATCTCTCCTTATTTTTTAATTTTGCTTTTATTTGGATGGGATTTTTCCCCATTGAGGAGGTGTCTATAATATACAATGTTGTGTAGGGTCCTTTGGCTTTTGTTCTGGGTGTTTTCAGTCACTAAGAGTCTTTCTACATTCCTTGGTTATAGCTAGCCTTTGCACGGTGGCTTTTCCAAAAGCTGGATGTAGTAGTGATGTGCTGGGTGTGTGAGCAGGTTCACTGCCTTCTGTGGGGCCAGAGTAGTGGAGTCTCAGGAAACTTATTTCATTCCCCAGTGCTGTATGCTCACGGAGCAAATGTCCTGCTGTGTCATTCAACCTTCAGGATAGTAGGTGATGTTTATGGGTAATAGCTGGCTACTGGCAATGTGGATACTTGATCCTTGTTTACTAGGAGAAGCTCTCTGTTGCCTCAGGCAGTAGGCTGATCTGTGGAATGCAGAGTTCCCTGAGCTGCCTGCTCAGCCCCAGAATGGGGAGCCAAGATGGGCATGGCTACACTGGGCAGGCCTGCCTACAAGTCCCCCAATGGCAGGCATAAGCACAAGCTCAGAGGGGATGTCCAGTGGGCGGCCACTGAGTGCCCAGAGGTGTGCCTCAGCATGGAGTTGACAAACCTCTGCTGTCCCAAGTTTTCTTCATGAGAAATGGAGACAGCCTAAACTTCTAATCTAGAAGAATGGCTGTTCCAAATACCTGGAGTCTAGGCATAATGCAGAGAGTATGCCACTGCACCAAGGTCTCTGCAAGAGAAGGGAGGGGCAGCTCAGGCTCCTATTCAGGTGAGTATGTACACCAAATGCCTGGGAATATACCCTGGTGAGGAGTGAGAGAACAACCACTGCAGCAATGTCTTTGTAGGGGATGAGAGGGGCAGCTCAGACTACTAGTCCAGGTGAGTGGGTATTTCAATTGCCTGGAAGTATATCCCCCAGCAAGGAGTGGAGTGACCCATGGTGAAACAATGTCTTTGCAGGAAAGTTGGGGGCAGCTCAGGCAACAAATCCTGAAAGAGGGAAGTACTAAATGCCTAAGAATATGCCCAGGTGTGGAGTGGAGGCAACACCACTACACCAAGATCTTGGGACAGGAAGAGTAGGGTGGCTCAGGCTGCTAATCCAGGTAAGGGTGAGTGCTCTGCATGCCTGGAGTATTACTTGGTCATAGAGTAGAGAGGACCCCTCTGTAGCACAATCTCAGGGGAGAAGGCTGGACACCCGATAATGATTATGCAGACAAGTTCCAGGTTGCAGAGCTGTCCCTGGCTGCAAGTCTTGCCACCCAAGAGAAACCATGGCTTCAGCAATTCTCCTCCCACTCTAGTCTTGTGATGGAAGAGAGCCCAATTCCAGCACCTACTTCGGGGGCATTTTCCATACTTGTTACTCAATTCTGGCTGTGGTGGCCCTTTCCCTGATCTAGAGCAAGCGCTCCAATCTCTGGGCCAAGGTTTAAATGCCCGTGCAGCTGTGCTGCCGGATTGCCAAACAATGGCAGACTTTGTGTGTGCCCAGATTAAAAATGGCATACTGCTCTCAGTCCTAGGTCTGGGAAGATGCCCATAGCTTTTCCTGGTGTCTTTCCTTCTCAGTATCTCCCAGCCTCTCCCCACGTTAGCTCCAGGGCTTGAGAGACAAGGTGCTCTCCGTTGGAGTGGGTTGCATGGATCTCTAGTGGAAGGGTGAGTCAAAGAGGAACACTCTCTGCCCCTCTCATATACAGGGGCTTCACTCACTTTCCTCAGCTGAATGCTGTCCCGGGGACTGCTTGCTCACCTTCTTCTGTCTGGGATCTGGGGTGTCTTTCTCTATTCCAGTGAATTCTTCTTTTCCTTCTTGAATTCAAGCTCACAGAGTTTATTATTATGCATTATTTCACTATTTCCATGTGGCTGAGGCATGCTAAAGCCTCAAATTTTCTATCCTGGAAAATTTTTTTATCTTAATAAAGGTTGGGAGGAAAAAGACAAACCACAGACCAGAAAAAAATATTTACAAACCTGATAAAGGACTTGTATGTAGAATATATAAATAACTCTTAAAGTGAATATTAAGAATATAAGCAACTCAACAAAAAAATAGACAAAAGATTTGAACAGCTACTTCACAGAAGAAGATATATGCATGGCAAAACAGTACATGTTCAACGTCACTAATCATTAGGGAAATAAAAATTTAAGCCACAGTGACTTGCCACGACATACTTATTTGAGTGGCTAAAATCAAAACGACTGAGCATAGCAAGTGATTGTGAGGATGTGGAGCAAGTGGAACATTTGTACATTTCTGAAGAGAATGTTATATGTACAATTGATCGGGAGGACTGTTTGACAGTTTCTTAAACAATTAAACATATACCTACCGTATGGTCTAGCTATTATCTTCCTACGTATTTACCCAAGAAAACTAAAAGCGTATATTCATGCAAAAACATGAACTTGAATGTTCATAGAAGCTTTATTATAATGGCCAAAAACTGTAAAAAAGTCATATATCCATCAACAAATTACTAGATAAACAATCTGTAGTATATGCATACAGTGGAATACTACTCAGCAGTAAAAAAAAGGATAAACTATGAATGCACACAATAACTTTAATACATTTCAAAATCATTAGTCTGAGTGCAGTGACCCAGACACCCTGTCCCTGCAAAATGATAGTACATAATGTGTGATTCCATTTACATAAAATTCTAGAAAACTCTAACCTATAATGGCAGAAAGCAGATCTGTTGTTGCCTGGAGATAGCAGAATGAGAGGGATTACAAAATGATGTGAGAAAATTTTTGGAAGTGCTGGATATGCACACCATCTTGATTGTGATGATAGATTCATAGGTGTATACATGTCAAAACACATCAAATTGTATACTTTAAATGTGTGCAGATTATTGTATATCAATTATACTTTGATGAAGCTATACAAATAAAACTGAAAAGAAAAAAGATAACTACCGTAAATATATTGACCCACATCTGAAAATTTTTCTCTTTCTATTTCTGTGTGTGTGTATGTGTCCTGTTTTGAAGTATAGATTAGGTGCAGGGCATCAGCCCTGAACCAGAACAAGGGATGAGAAACTGGGGAGAAGGCTTGCCTCTCCTGAAGGCTTGCAGCAAAGTCTGTCTGCAGATGCTGCTGTCTCCATAGTCACCTACTGTCATCTGTCTGCAGTTTTTCCCAAAGGGAGTCTTAAAACTTATGATTTGCATCACAAAATTTTTAGTGAGGGAAACTTTCTCCTTTGCTGTTGATTTTTGCTTCTTTTCAGTGGCAAGAAAAATGTAGTCTCATCCAAGATCTCTCCTAAATGCACAGTAGAGTCAAAAAAGGAAGGTTTCAGACTCAGGTACCCGGAATGCCATCTTTTCAGAAACCTTGCTTAGGATAGAACATTTTCTCTGTTTATCATCAGTTGGGCTGAGACATTAGTACAGTAGTCCCCACCACCCCGCCCTCCACAGTTTCAATTATCCACAGTCAACCAAGATCTAAAAATGATAAATAAAAAAATCCATAAATAAACAATTCCTAAGTTCTCAATTTTTCATTATTCTGAGTAGTGTGATGAGATCGAGTGCCTTCACACTCAGTCCCACTCAGAATGTGAATCATCCTTTTTGTCCACAGTATTCATCCTGTATAAGCTACCTGCCTGATTTTATTAACATCATCTGCTCCTGACATCCAACCATCGACATCGTCATGGCTCCATGATCCAGGGTCACCAGAAGCAGGTGATCTTCCTTCTGACCTATGGTCAGAAGGTCAATAGTAGCCTAATTCTACATCACAATGCCCAAGTCATTCAGCTCACTTTATCTCCTCATGTGGGCATTGTATCATCACAAGAAGAAAAATGAATATAGTACAATAAGACATTGTGAGAGAGAGAGACCACATTCAAATAACTTTTATCATAATATAATTGTTATAATTGTTGTATTTTATTATTAATTATTGTTGTCAATATCTTACTGTGCCTAACTTATAATTTAAACTTTATTGTAGTATGTATTATAGGAAAGAACATAGTTTATATAGGGTTTGATACTATCCATGGTTCAGCATCCAGTGGGGATCTTGGAATGCCTACCATTCCAATAATGGGGGATGACTAATATATTTGTTAAAATGTTTTCACTGTACTGCTCTAATTTAAGCTAAAACAACAAACTTGCTCTAGATCCTGACAGCATTTCTTCTTGAAACTCTACTTGCATACTTGACTCGACTTGGGGCCTGGTGCAAAAGTGGTAGATTTGACAGTGCCTGGAGAGGTCATAGGCAGAGAAATCCTGCCTATGGATTTCTCTTATGGAGCTGAGATAACTGGCTAGCCATAGGCAGAAGATTGAAACTGGACCCCTTCCTTACACCATATAAAAAATCAACTCAAGATAGATTAAAAACAAATGTAAAACAGAAAACAACTACAACCCTAGATGACAACCTAGGCAATACCATTCTGGACATAGGAACTGGCAACGATTCATGACGAAGACACCAAAAGCAATCACAACAAAGCAAAAATTGACAAATGGGATCTAATTAAACCTAAGAGCTTCTGCACAGCAAAAGAAACTATCAACAGAGTGAATAGACAACCTCCAGAATGGGAGAAAATATTTGCAAATTATGCCTCTGACAAAGGTCTAATATCCAGTATCTATAAGGAACTTAAACAGATTTACAAGAAAAAAAACAACCCCATTATAAAGTGGGCAAAGGACATGAACAGACACTTTTCAAAAGAAGACTTACATGCCACCAAAATGGAATGAACAAAAGCTTAATATCACTGATTAGAGAAATTCAATCAAATTCAAATCAAAACCACGATGAGATACCATATCATACCAGTCAGGATGGCTTTTATTAGAAAGAAAAAAAAAAGATACTGGTGAGGTTGTAGAAAAAATGAATGCTTGTATACTGTTCGTGGGAGTGTAAATTAGTTCAACTACTGTGGAAGACAGTGTGGCAATTCCTCAAAGAGCTAAAAACAGAACTATCATTCAATCCAGCAGTCCCATTGCTGGATATATACCCAAAGGAATATAAATAATTCTACCGTAAAGACACCTGCATGTGTATGTTCATTGCAGCACTATTCACAATAGCAAAGACATGGAATCAATCTAAATGCCCATCAGTGGTAAACTGGATAAAGAAAATGTGATACATATGCAGGATGGCATACTATGCAGCCATAAAAGAATGAGATTATGTCCTTTGCAGGAACATGGAAGGAACTGGAGGCCATTATCCTTAGCAAACTCATGCAAGAACAGAAAACCAAATACCGTATGTCCTCACTTATAAGAGAAAGCCAAATAATGAGAACACATGGACATAAAGAGGGGAACAGTGTACACTGGGGCCTACTTGAGGGTGGAGGGTATGAGGAGGGAGAGGATCAGAAAAAATAACTATTGGGTACTAGGCCTCGTACCTGGGCGATGAAATAATCTGTACAACAAACCCCCATGACTCACGTTTACCTATGTAACGAACGGGCACATCCTGCACATGTATCCCTGAACTTAAAATAAAAGTTTTTAAAAAATAAGAATAAAATTTGCCTCAAAATCAGATAAAATATATAACAAGTATTCTTAAATTTCCGTGTACATTATTATATTGTATAAAATGTTAATTCAAAGTCAGCTTGGCTTACTCTTATACTACAGCATAATAGATCTAGGAATAGCTCCAACATTTGAATTCAATTATCAAAATACAAGTTGACCAACAAGCTAATAAAATGTAACCTTGTCAAAGCAAATTCACTAAGTATAAAGTAAATAGCTTCCTTCTCTCTATTTTAATCAATTTGCAAGGACTACATTTTAGATAAAGCCATCATTAAATTATAAGTTAATAATATTTCATGTGTTAGAACAGCATGTGTTAATTTTATTGTAACCCTAATACTTTTCAAAATCAATCACTGCTTTCTAGAAAGTAAAATTTTCATATGGGCTAGCATTTGACTTTTGCAGAATGTCATTCTTCTGTGTTGTATGTCTCACACTTGCTGTGGGGGAGTAGTTGTTTCTTTTGATAAGGGGTGGATTTTTGTTTGTTTTATTTCACTGTCTATAAACTTTTGAGAGGAGGAATTAAATTGTGTGTTTATGACATGTTTATTACCTATTTGCTGGATAGATTCAGTATTTAAAATGAAACATACTGGCATCATAACTGTTTTTTCTTCTAGAGGTATGAATGGGTTTGATCTGCAAAAGTAGTAATAATTTTTAAGTATAGGACTATGAAAACAGAAACATGTTATTATTCTGAGGTTATGAAATAGAGCATAATGGTATTTATCTATTATGCTCAGTCATGCACCTCATTTTTAAAATGAATATTGAGAGCCTACCTTATCTAAGGTACTTCATTAGGTACTGGGGAAACATAGCAGTAAATAAGATAAGGAATCCCTAACCTCATAAAGTTTCTATTCTGTGAAGGAAGACAGGTAATGAACAAGTATTAACTATTGCCTCATGTACTTATTTTTTTGTGGTGAGAACACTTAAAATCTATTATCTTAGCAATTTTCAAATATGACCTATTAACTATAAGTCACCATGATTAACAATAGGTTTCTTGAATTCATTCTTCCCATCTAACTGAAATTTTGTGTCTTTTGATCGACATCTCCAAAACCCCTCTACCCTCCAGGTTCTTATAACCACTGTTTTACTCTTTGTTTACATGAGTTTGATTTTTTTAACACTCCATATGTAGAATATATAAATAACTCTTACAAATCAATAATAAGACAAATGGCCCAATATGAGTCAAAAATTTGAAAAGACACTTCACAAAAGAAGACGTAGAAATGTTGTTTCATGCCAATAAGCACATGAAACAATACTCAACATCTTTAGTCATCAAAGAAATGTAAATTAAATTCATGAGCTACCACTACATGCTAACTTGAATAGCAGAAATTAGAAGTCTGACAGCACCAAATATGGGTGAGTATGTGGAGCAACTGATACACTCATGTATTACTGGCGGAAAGGTAAAATGTGCAATAACATTGGAAAACTATCTGGCATTTTCTTATTAAGATAAACATATACATATTACATGGCCGAGCAATTCTACATCTAGATATTTATACAAGGGAAACAAAAACGTATGTCTACACAGAGACTTGTATGTGATTATTCATAACAGTTTTATTCCTAATAGCAAAAAAACTAGGCACAATCCAAATTTTCATCAATGTGTGAATGGGAAAACAAATCGTAGTATGTCAATAATATAGAATACTACCAATTAGCAAAAGACAAGAGGGTTTCGTGATACACGTAACAATATGAATAAGTTTTTAAAATATTTTCATAAGCTGGGCATGGTAGCTCAGGCCTGTAATCCCAGCACTTTGGGAGGCTGAGGCAGGCGGATCACCTGAGGTCGGGAGTTCAAGATCAGCCTGACCAACATGAAGAAACCCCGTCTCTACTAAAAATACAGGAAAAAAAAAAAAAATTAGCCGGATGTGGTGGCACATGCCTGTAATCCCAGCTACTTGGGAGGCTGAGGCAGGAGAATCACTTAAATCCGGGAGATGGAGGTTGCAGTGAGCCGAGATTGCGCCACTGCACTCCAGCCTGGGCAACAAGAGCGAAACTCCTTCTCAAAAAAAAAAAAAAAAATATATATATATATATCTATATATGTGTGTATATATATATATATGTATATATATGTGTATATATAGATATATATATACACATACACACACATATGTGTGTATATATAGATATATATATACATACACACATATGTGTGTGTGTATATACACATACACACATATGTGTATATATACATACATATACATACACATATGTATATACACATATATACACGTGTGTGTATATATACATACATATACATACACATATGTATATACACATATATACACGTGTGTGTATATATACATACATATACATACACATATGTATATACACATATATACACGTGTGTGTATATATACATACATATACATACACATATGTATATACACATATATACACGTGTGTGTATATATACACATATATACACGTGTGTGTATATTTATATTTTGAAAAACAAAAGAAAACAAGACACAAAAGAGTATATACTGTGTGCTTTTATTATATGAAATTCTAAAGTAAACATATCTAATTCTATAGTGACAGAAAGCAGATCCATTGTTAATGGAGTCCAGGGGTCAAGAGAGGTTGGAAAGGAGAACAAAGGAAACCCTTTGGGTTGATCAAAATGTTCTATATTTTGATTGGCTCATAGTTATGCGACTGTATATAGTTTTCAAAACTCATCAAACTGTATACTTAAAATATGTTAATTTGGCCGGGTTTGGTGGCTGAATCCCAGCACTATGGGAGGCTGAGGTGGGAGGATTGCTTGAGGTCAGGAGTTTGAGCACAGCCTGGAAAACATAGGGAGACCCTGTCTCAAAAACAAAAAAACAAACAAAAAAAGAAATAAAAATTAGCTGGGCATGGTGGTGTGTGCCTGTAGTCCTAGCTACTCAGGAGGCTGAAGTGCTGATTGCTTAAGCCTGAAAGTTTTAGGTTACAGTGAGCTACGATCATACCACTGTACTCCAGCCTGGTGACACAATGAGACACTGTCTTAAAAAAAAAAAAAAGAAAAAAAAAAAAAGGGCTGGGCACGGTGGCTCACGCCTGTAATCCCAGCACTTTGGGAGGCCGAGACGGGCGGATCACGAGGCCAGGAGACCAAGACCATCCTGGCTAACACAGTGAAACCCCGTCTCTACTAAAAATACAACAAAATTAGCCAGACGTGGTGGGGGGCGCCTGCAGTCCCAGCTACTAGGGAGGCTGAGGCAGGAGAATGGCGTGAACCTGGGAGGCAGAGCTTGCAGTGCCGAGATCGCGCCACTGCACTCCAACCTGGGAGACAGAATGAGACTCCGTGTCAAAAAAAAAAAAAAAAAAAAAAAATCAAATGTTATTTTTTTAAATTACAACTTAATAAAGTTGATTTATAAAAATATGGTCATTTGTCTCTTAAAGGCATACTCAAGTTTGTCTTTTATTCTTCCAGGTCAGGAAAAAGTTGGCTTTTAACTCTGCAAAACCCTGAATATTTTGGGCTCTCTTTACTTTTACTTGCCAGCCAGCCAATGCTTTTGTGAGCTCAACTCTTTTATATTGTACCTTGTGAAATACAGCCAAACATATAAGTATACCTGCTGCTAACATTGCTACTTGTTTATTGGGATGTAATTTCCCCTCCAGCGGTTTCTACAGACAACAGTGTTACCACATTTTGCCATTAGGTAACACGGACATTACGTTCATAGCTTCCATGATCGGTTTCCTCCTCATCCACAGAACAACCACGTAGGCCAATGCCACATATTTTAAGATTATATCATGGCATCATCCTACAGCTCATACCAAATTCTGTATTAATCAGGTTAGTCTGCGAACAATCTCAGGGTCTTAAAGTAGAAAATATATGTGTCCCACATTACATGTCCAAAATGAATCCACAGTAGGGCTTTTCTCATCATTGTCACTCAGGGACTCAGGGTGATAGAGGCCCCAGACATAGCTTCAAGGTGAGGAAGGGTTGGAAAGCTTCACACTGGCAAGGAGTTAGAAAAGTATGAAGAGAAGAATTTGTACTCCAGATTAGAGGAGATCTGGATATTTGTGCACTTCGATATTATTTTCCTTAAGAGCACAAGGTTAGACATTAAAATTAATTACTTCCTCCTAATCACTCAAAACCTGTAGCAACGCTGTAACCAGAGTGCCAACAAGAGTAATAACAACCCTAACATAAATTCTTGCACAGTTAAAAGGCATGAACAAATTATAAATATAAGCGTTATCTTGAAAACTAAAAAGGTAAACATGGCTCAACTGAGTTGGTATAAGGGAAAAGGGTTGAAGCTACTGAGTTTGAGAGACAGGAGCAAAATGCACTAGAGAGTCATGCAGAAAGCCCTTCCGAGAGAGACAAGACAAAATGCACACAAGAGCAAGTTTGGGGAGAATCATGCAAAAAGCCCTTCCAATAGACAACACTTGGCTAAACTCAACCCAATAATAATGCGGTTGAATGGCTTCTGTGCAGAGACATATTCCTCTGTGGCTTGCTGTATTCTGCTGTATTTTTATTTTCAAAATACCTGTACTTTGTTGTTAGCTGTTATTATTTGTGTAAAAGGTTAATGTGTTGGACAGAAAAAAACTATATATGAACAAATGTGATCTATATGGTACATTACTATCTCCTATTTACCAAACATGTACTTATTTATATTACAGAAATATGCATTATAGTGGAAAATTATATTAAACAGGAGAGCACGATGGTGACATAGAATCTATGGTCCATCGTTACTCTACTTTGAAGGAATCAGGGAAGGCTTTCTGGAGGAAGCAACTGAAACTAAGATTTGAGGTATTTTTCAAGGCCAAGCTGTTGCAAAGGACAAGAAGAAAGTATTTCAAATGGGAAGAAAATTTTGGAGAAATGTTCAGAGGCAAAAAGACAAAAAAGCAAAAAAAAAAAAAAAAAAAAAAAATCCAGTACTTTTTTTGGAAAAGCTAAAAGAAGTTCAGCATTTTTGGATGTGAGAAAGTGAATGGTGT